>NC_000007.14:155892258-156205323 GCF_000001405.40 Homo sapiens | reverse complement strand
ACTCAGGAGGCTGAGGCAGGAGAATCACTTGAACCTGGGAAGTGGAGGTTGTGGTGAACTGAGATCGCGCCATTGCACTCCAGCCTGGGCAACAAGAGCAAAACTCCATCTCAAAAAAAAAAAAAAAAAAAAAGAAAGAAAGAAAAAGAAAAGAAAAGAAAGGGCTTGGGAACCAAGGCAGAGGCTATTAGGGGATCTTCCTGACAGGACGGCAGACTCTGCTTAGAAATGCAGGGAGAGACGAATGGCGAGCAGAGAGGGTAATGAGAACTGACAGGCTAGGCAGTGAACATACATGACACATTCTAACAGGAGAACCACTCAGGGTTGAATTCCACATGGACTGGGAACTATTTACAAAAACATTAAGCTGCATTGGTGAAAAGGACTTCTGAGGTCAAGTCGCATTAGGGAAATAAGAGCTTATTCAGCGTTGACTCAGGGGCCTTACCTTTCAGGTGTGCATGTGCCAGGGTGGATCTGTGTGGTTGGCCATCGGGAAAAGATGTAGTGCTCTTTGTTTAATGCCAGACTGAAGGCAGACTGGGGTCTGGGGGTGCAATAATGGTTAGAAGCACAGTGCTCAGGTGATGGAGGGCTCAGGCACTGAGATGGAGGGGTGATGGTGAGCGGCCCTGTGCTCAGACGTACAGGGTCATCATATACAGGTTGGGCATGGTCAGTCTGTCTTGGGCTGACTTAAACTTTGGTAGCCCTGATTTCACTCTTAACTAACTTTGGAGTTATCCTGCCCTATCAGGCTCCCTGTAGTTCTACTGCTTCTTCAGGTACACAGATCTCTATAGATGGAGTGTTTGAAAAAATTACCATGGGTTCTATTCACAAAATCCCATAGCTTTGAGATGGATAGGGGATGAATGTGGGTTTGAGTCAGGAAAGCTTATAGGATGCAGTAAAGGCTGAGATGAATTTGACTATGTGACCGCAGGTCAGCAGTGGATTCAAGAGCCTTTGACTCAATGGGATCTTTACATAAGGTATAAGGATTTCCACAGAAAAGACCTGGGTCTGCTCCTGAAGCCCCTCCCTCCTTGGGGGACAGGTCTCTCCTGAGCAGCCCAGCCTTCCTGGCCTCCCCCTTCCTAGGAGTGAGAGCAATGGGCTCTGCAGGCCTCTGGAAATTGCCTTGTGTGTCCATGGGCAAGATGGCTCGATGGGCCCGGGCCTTGACTGAGGCAGGGAGGATTTCTCACCAGTCTCCAGCTGTCATCCACCCCGAGCAGACATATCGTGAGCAAACCCAGACCCTGCAACAGGGCGGGCATCGTACCGGGGTGAGAGATGCTGCTCCTTGCCTATGTTTTGCTTCTCGCTTTGGGAGCTTGGCCTCATCGGCTTTGCAGCAAAGAGGCTCCCGTTTTCATCTCTTCTCCATGGAGCAAAGACATGATGGTGCCACGGCAAGGACATTGACGCCTCCCGGGGTCCTGCTTCTCTCTCTCCAAATGCTCCCTTCGGGGCATCTTCCTGCCTGTTATTCCAAACCCACAAAGGTCAAGAGCTCAGAGAGACGTCTCTATGTGCCCGGCCTCTAAGCACCAGACAGCGGAAGGGAAGCTTCCCACAGCCAATCTCGCTGTCCAAGACGCCAAGTAGAGCTTTACATCCTGGGGATCAATGGAGGGCAAGTTAGGCGACGCTTTACTCAGCGGCCTGGAGACCTGCATCGGAATCTCCCTTTGATCTTTCGGGGAGAACTGGTGTCATGCTCTTCCCTTCCTGAGAATTGAACAAAGGCATTTGAGCACGGTATGTTTCACAGGGGAAAACAAAGACACGATTACAGACTGAAATAATCTCGGTAAACAATTATTTCATAGAATTATGAATATACAAAGATTTCCAACTCCCCTCTCCTAAGACTATTAAAGTGCTGGAATTTTGAATAGTAAAACAGACAATGGGAGATATTCAGAAGTTCAAATAAATAAAAACAATCATTTTCCTTTGCAGCGGCAAATAGTTCAGTAAATACATGGGAACGGTGAGACACTCCCGTGAAAAACATTAATTAAGTAAATTCTATGGGGCTGGGGGTGGGGAAAGCGGACTCAGAGGAGGAAACCTGGGCATCGGGGACACCTGACTCTTCTTTAAAGGCAATCCACTGCGCAGGCGGGACCAACAGGACCACGCCAGCCACAGCACCACTTTCATCTTAGAAGGTCCTGGGTTCCGCAGACCTCAGAGATCCAATGGCACCGAAACTCAGAAGATGGCAGAACATTCTAGATGGGAGGGGTCTGTCAAGGGGGATAATCTTGTGTCATAAGCACTCGACTGTGGCTGGGGTTGGTCAGGGCCGTGCCAGGTGCAGAAGAGCCTGTGGGGGTTGGGGGACTGCCTCAGATTTCTGTAGAACACGATCAGAATACATCCCCCTAACTTTTCTTATGTACAAAGCACTGTGCCCATGGAGGACAAACAATAATTCCTGGTTTTTTCAATTTAAGATGACATCTGCCTCTTCTTTCTTCTCATTTTTGATGTTTGTCTTTTCTTTTTTTATTAGCCCTGCCAAAGTGACCCTTCCCATCAAAAGCCAGATCCTGGGCTTCCGTCCTCTAGAAACCCCTTCCTCAGGCTGGAACCTGACTTGCTGTTTGGAGATAAGTTGCTGATGACTAACTAATGGCCATACATTTTTCCCTTGCACATAGCACCATCTCATTCACGGGAGCATGCTGAGGGTCAGTAAGGAGAGGACTGGGCTGGAGCCTGCAGCCCCTGCAGGTGTGGGAACTCCCCCAGTCACCTCCTCACAGATGTGGGCCTGGCAGATGTGGCTCAGACATCTATGGTAGCCTCATATGCTGTTTTACTTGTTTGTACTTTGACTCTTTTAAGCGACATTTTAGACAATTAGAAGCTACCTGTCACGAAATGCTCATTGCAGTAATCTGCCAGCCAGTGGATTTTGTTTTGGAGCCAATGAGATGATGGAGAACCTTGGGGCCATCTCTCTCCTGGAGCGGAGCCAACATTCCATAAATTCATCAGCATTTTGACCCAGTGAGTTTTTACTCCCATGATGGTAATGCTTCCCTCTCACTCTTTCCACTTTCTGGTTGATAAGGCCCTAAAAGTTCTTATTGGAATCTGCAGCTGAAGATTCCAACAAGATTTAAGCCTTGGCGCATCTGAGCTTGGGAAAAGCAGGCATCCCGGTTGTTTGGGACACACTGGGAGCCTGGAGTCTGGCATCTCATGTGTGCTCAGTGGGCCTGCACTATCTGGAGCCCAAATTACAGTCAGAGACCAGGTGAGGCTCCTTGGGGGATTCCGAGACTCCCTTTGGTCTCTCCAGAGGTGAGGCTGGGTCTGCTGAGTAGAGGTATGGGACGAATTATTAACAAATGTTTGTTGACGACCTGAGTGACAAGCTCTCTTCATCATCCTGCAGCAGGCAGTGGTGTGCAGAGCCACCTTGGACTGGCTCCTGACACCCAGTGGGGAAATACTTTCAGGAACGTTTACACCACAGGAATCAGCACGTGCTACAAACCAGGGGGCTTTCTCCCGTCGAGAGCTCTCTCCAGCACAGCACTGCGACTCTCAGTGATAGAGTCAGGGTGGAGTTCAGAGCTCAGGTCAAATGAAGCCGGCCCCTCCGGACTCTAACGAGGGGGTCGTTGGGATGCTCCAAAGGGCGTGGTCTGATCTATGCAACATCCGTGTAAAAACAAGTTGTGTAATAACAGGCCTCCAGCTTATTTCTTAAATCTCAGCATCTCTTTAAGCCAGCTTCCTGAAGGTGTTCACTTCAGGATAAAAGGTGAGGGAAAAAAGTGCAGCCTTTCATCTTTTGCCTGTCAGATGTCCTACATTCCCTCTGTGAATTAATATGTCCATGTTTGTTTTTGCTCTTTGGCCTTAAATGTATAACAAACATTTTCTAGAGACAAACCAATAGGAAAGGATTTAGAATACTGTTTGTTTTAGAACACAGGTAGCACTCAAGGACAAATAGACGTAGTGTTCCCATATATTCTTGGGAAATTCTTAGGGTTACTTAACATCCTCTAGTTAGATCCAGTTAATTAAAGCCAAATCATTCTGAACCTTCTCCCTAAATTATCTGGATATTTCAAATAGACACAGTATTTGGATCTAAGCTATGTGGTATAATTCACTGGCCCACATTATTTTTCTTGTGAAGAATTAGTAAATGAGCCACATGTGAATCTTTTGTGCTTTACTAGTCCTTCTGTGTAATACTCCGGACTAACTTCCCACAAGACAAAAGCTTTCTGAGTCCATCTTGGTCCCCAGAGACTTGCTGTCTTGTTTTTGATTCTCCTTGTAACAATTTGGGGTTGGTTAAAGGAAAACCCACTATTTTTGATTTCTGACTCCCCAGCTCACCAGCATATCAAAATAGGCCCGCACAGATAAATGTCACCATGGGGCCAGTTGCTGGCACCAGAACAGAGCCACTCAGCCATCAAGAGTCAGACCCGAGCCCCTGCTCCCCCTGCTCAGCTAGCTGGGAAACTGCAGGACACCAACCCTGCGCTGCCCCCTGACCCAAATGGCCACGCTCCCCACTGCCCTGCTCTTCTCCAACAAGCTATGTGGAGAGGGGTGGCTGCACTCTACCTTATCTTTAAGGAAAGCTTTTGATGCTTTCTCCTTAGGAAGATTAATACATGAGGCCACAGAGTACATGAGGCCATTCAGCACAAGTCCTGAAGTGAAATCAAAACGAGGTCTTTGTGGGCTGCAGTGATCTGAGGCAGAGCAAGGGTTTCCCCCAGGCCAGAGAGATGGTCCTCAGGGCGGGTGCTGCTCCCTTGACACTGCAATGACCTGGAGAGTGGCACTCCTGGGCAAGCAATGGAACCTGCTGTCAACACTCAGGTACAAAGGACAAGAGTCATCGAAATGGGGGGGACTCATTCACCTACAAGCAAGCTCTAATACACAGCTTCAGAGAAGAAGAAATCCAAGGACACACCCGCAGTTCTCTGTGATCCTCTTTCCCCAACAAAGGAGAGTAAAGTACAGGAACAGCAGCCCTGGCCCCTGGAGAAGAGCCTAGGGCAGAAACTACAGATTCATGCGGATCAGCTGCAGAAAAGGAAAGGGTTGGGGATGTGTCATCCACAGCCAGGAGTCACCTGAACTACAGCTTGGATGTGGAGACCTGGGTGGAATCACATTGCTGTGGCCCGGGACAATTTATTGGCCATACGACATCACTCAGTTTGATAAGTCACTTGGCATTCTTTATAGGATTCAGTATGCCATCCTCATGCTGCCAAAATAGATTAAGACAGAATCTCAAATGACATCAATTCGCTGCTATCCCCCAAGAGGTAGCAGGAAGGACGAGGAGAGCGACAGCTGCCTGATAGCTCACTGCAGCAAAGTGGGAGCGAGACACAGATGCGCCCTGAGAAAGAAATGTGTTGAATTTGTCCATGCCAAATGAGGGCTCAAGGTGAAGATTTAGGGACCTCCTTCATGAAATGGGAGGAGCACTCACCTGATGTTATTAGGAGCCAACATTTTATAAAGGACCTAGTATCTTTTATCGGTGCCATAGATAGAAATTAAAGTTCTGTTACATTTCTTCGTCTGGTCTTTTTGGCTCTGCACTTTCTGAAATAGTGGTTCTTGAATTTAGCTTGCAACAAATTACCTGAAGAGCTTGTTAAAAGTATAGATACTCAGGACACATCATCAAAGAAGCTGACTCCATAGGTCTGGGTGGCGCAGAACTCTTCACCGTTGTGGGGCTCTCAGTGAGTTTGGAGACCACCCTTTGAGAAACCCAGCTCAAACACAGGGATCTGAATGGGATGCTGCAGGGAGATGATGCCACAGGGAGATGCCACAGGGCAGGCTCCCCAGGAACCAGCTCTGGAAGGGAGCCTGGTGCCTAGGAGAGGGTCCACACCTGCAGGTGAGGCAGAGGGAGAAGGTGAGTGGCCTCATGGGCCCCCAGGGAAACTAAAGCTGGAGGGCCCTTCCGAGGTGTCCAGAGCCGTGGAGCAAGGGCTGGGTGGTATGAAGACCCCACACGGACTGATCTAGGATGTAGGCAGCTCCTGGAACTGTGGCCTTGAGTGAGGCAGTTTTGTTCTTCACCTGAGACAATTCCCAGAGTTGACTGTGAGGACTCAAGGAGCAGGGACTCCCATGGCTGGGGACACAGCCCTTCACCCCGGGGCAGGGGTATCGTGGCGGTACTCTCAGTGCAGCTGCATGTGCAGGCCCTGCCTCTGCCGGGTGTTCTCCCCACTGAGCCTGTCTGCCCTCCCCTCTGTCTCACTCTCCCTCCTCCCTTCCTTCCTTCTCTTCAGCTTCTTTCTCTCTTTTCTCCCTAGTCTTCTAGACTCACATTTTCTTAATTTAAAATTAACCCCTCACCTTTTGTTCACAGTTCCTCTTTGTACCATCTTCTTCTCTTAACGGCTGCAAATAAACATCCTTATCTCTCCTAAGGCCTATGGTTTCCTCGAGCTATGAGTGATGTGTAAATTCCTTATCACTGATCATACAATGCCAGAGTGCGATCATTTATTTATTTGTCTCCAGTAGGGTCCTGTTTTCTCCAGTAAAGGACGTATGCTCATTAAAATCCGGACTTAAATTCTATATTAGGAAATCTAAAGCCTGCTCCCTTTAAGAATAAGCCAAGAATATCCGCTCCCCTGAACTGGCGCAGGACTTGGGCTGACCCGGGCAAGGCCCACCCCTGTGGAACAGGTGAACTGAAGACACCTGGGGGCAGCTTCCTTTGGCTCCTTGTGGTCCCGGGAGATCGCATTGGCACCTGTGTTAAACACAGGTGAGTCACCTTATGGTAAGTCCAGCTTGAGTCATTGACAGAAATAATCAAACAAAGCATATGTGGATCTCATTAAACAGAGGGGAGCCCTGATGGGCACTTTCGGGGAGGCTGAGAATGCGTGAATCACAGGCATGCCAAGGAAGAAAATGCAGACTCAAAGCAGAATAAAGGCAGTGACTTGTGCTGGGAAAGAGTCCCTCCCGTTCTGACTTTTCTTAGGGCATACGCCTGAGGCACCCCCCAGTGTCCTCCACCGTCGCTTTATTCTGTTCCGGTGTTGGGTCAACACAGCGTTGGAGCCCTTACTGTGATGTAGGCACTGTTCCAGGGGCTGGAAATCCAGAGGCTTCGGCACAGAGAGACTGCACCTGGGCCCAGGGATGAAGGTGGAGATGGCCTCACATGTGACCCTGCGGCTTGTGCAGAGCTCCCGCGGCAGGACTACTGGAGGAACACATGGAGAGAGGTCTCAGGGCCCAAGCCATCACAGCTGCTTCTACTTTTTATAGTTTTCCCTAAACTGAGAGCATCCTAGGGATGAAGATAGAGTGGTTCTCACTGATATGTTTATTCTACAGATGGGGAAACACAGGCACTGGAGCTTAAGGGACTTCCTCATCACACAATTCTTTCCCACTAGGGCTGAGACAGATGTCATCATGGGTGGAACGGTGTCCCCCACAACTCTCTGCTACCTTCCTACTTAGAGATTGGAAATTCAACCTCCAGGAGTTGTTGGTGAGACAGGTCATTCCTGGGACCACAGTAGGCTTAGGTCAAAGTCAAGTTCCCACAGGAGACAGCTTGTAAGTAACTTAACTCATACAACCCTGACGGCACTTGGCATTTGCAAACTTGTATTGTTATTATTATTATTTCTTCTTTACAAAGGTGTCCTGTATCCTAAGCTATGTCCTAAGTCCAAGGGGGGAGATGCTTCACGTTTCGACTCCTATCAAGGTTAGCACCTCCTAAGGAGTGGGTGTCCAGTGCCGATGCCCAGGCGTAACTACTGAGAGCTGAGTTGACTTGTTTCAAATCCATTTGCACAGGACATGCCCAATGTTGTTAATGATTGTAGCACAGGGAGCGTGGTCAGAGATCACTGGCGCACAGCTGGAAGCAGAGCTCAGTGATACCAGGAGGAGGCCGTAAGCCAGAGAAGGCAGGTGGCCTTGAGAAGCTGGGAGGGGCAAGGAGAATTCTGCCCCGGAACCCCCAGGAACCAGTCCTGCAGCCCATATTAGACCTCCGGCCTCCAGAACTGTAGGATAAGAGATTTGTGTGGTCTTAAGCCACGAAACGTAATTCGTTACAGCAGCTGCGGGAAGCGAATATGCCATACGTTTTAACAGAGCACGAATCATATGAAGAACACGTTTTATTTTACAATGCAGTGATCCCAGTGTTTCTGTGGTTTCTTGTAAATCACGCATCCTTCCCTGGCTGGGAAAATGGGTAGATGCTTGGATGTGGGGCCATCATTGGAAAGTGTAGGTGGATTTTATTTTTAGTTCGGGGTGGTCATGTTGCCTACAGAACCATTTAGAGGAGAAAGAAAGAGAAGCTAAGAAAAAAATGAGAATAGGAGGAAAGGAGCAGGAGAAAGAAAGAGGAAGTGAAGAGAGTCGGGGAGAGAACCTGAAAATGAAGGGCCTTGGTATGAAACAAGTGGGAGGAAAGCTTCCTTGTCCTCTGAGCGTTTGCTGATGCAGGCCACAGTTCCCCGCACTGGCTGAGGCCACACCGTGTCGTGATGGCGAGTGTGGCCTTTGGAGCATGACCAGACCTCACCTCTGAGCGTTTGCTGATGCAGGCCACGTTCCCCGCACTGGCCGAGGCCACACCGTGTCGTGATGGTGAGTGTGGCCTTTGGAGCATGACCAAAACCTCAGACCAACACTGGACTCAGTTTCCTCCTCTATAAAATGGATCTAGTGACAGTGTACATCTTGTAGGCTTGCTGTGAGTATGAACAGCACTTAGTGGTGTGACTGGCACATAGTGAGTCAGTGGAAAACGTTGGTTATTACTTATTTAAAACAAACAAACAAACAAACAAACAAACAAAAAACCATGAGCTGTGATGACATTTGACCGTGCTGAGAGATTTTTGCAAAGAAGATCCTTTTGGAAGGTGGACTCACTCCAGCACCAAGGAGTATAGACCATCAGATATAAGGAGACACGGCGCACATTCCACCCTGGAAAGGGGCTATTCTCTTGTCACACACTTTGAATAGGTTTCAGATGAAAAAATCAAACAGCAAAGAAGGAGTGGAATGGGCATGCATTTGTGGGAGTGTGTGTGAGGGTGCGTGCTTGACTTACTGTGGTTTCCAAAACGCCTTGTAGCAGAAACTTTACCCGTCCAATAGACAGCTTCGGCTTTGATTTTGGTCAAACTCAGCACACTGCAAACATCTACTTCTGATGTATTACTCTTTCGCTCTTTCCAATCCTCCGTTCATGTTGGCTGCAAGATAACACAAAAGGTTAAGTTTACAGTGATCCACAGTCCTAAAGTACTGTGCCAAAGTAACAAGATTAATACCTTTTTGACAGAGTTTAATAATATGGTTTTATAATATTTAATTTTGTTCAGCAAATATCTCTCAGTAGGAAGCCTTTTTTCCTTTACTTACCTAACATTATTGCTTTAAAACAATTTAATTCCTATTTCCTGGCACAAAGAACTTATTATGCAGACATGTTGTGATCTGATTCTTATAGGCCTTTGAGAGCTGGATTAACTTCAAGTTAATTTGGACATCCAAACAATTTTGACAGGCAGAGCTGTCAGCCTACTGCAAATGAGGGTTGTTAGATCTGGGTGTATCTTATTTTACGGATAACTGACAGAGAGAAACGTTGTGTTTTGCTTCAAACAACAGGGGTTCTTTCCAGTTGGGTTTTCCTGGTGTTGGAGGTGGGCATTGTTAGCCCTGTTTCCTTGTCTCCCCTGTCAGTTTCTGAATACAGCTCACACCTAACTGCCCCAATTACCTCTCTAACCCCCCAAACAGTGATTTACCATCCATTAGGAAATTCCTAGTGGAGTCTTCTTGCTAATATCCTAGTGATAAAACCAATAAAAATAAATTGGTTCTGTGGAATACACTCTGATGAGGCTACAGTTAACTTGCCCCAAAAGGCATTGTCAGCAGTTGCAAACAGCCTCTCGTAAGTGTGTAAAATGACTTTTTTGAATGATCTACACGGTGTCCTCAGAACCATTATACTTAAGGGAAAAAACGGACCCTGGACCCGTGGCTGCCTGGCGTCCTCACTCCCGCCCTGGCTCTGACCCCCACAGTGGCACTCTGTGGCTCCCTGGGGCATGGCAGGAAACGGAACCATTCCACTTAAGGGAAAAAACAGACTCTGAACCCGTGGCTGCCTTGAGTCCTCATTCCCGCCCTGGCTCTGACCCCCACAGTGGCACTCTGTGGCTCCCCGGGGCATGGCAGGAAATAGATGCCTTACGCAGCTGGCAGGAGGGGCAGCCCTGGAGACCGACAGGGAGGTGCCTGAGACCCGGCCACGGCTCTGCACTAGTAACGCTGAACCTGGTAATCAGATGGGACCTGGCTCTGCCTGTCTCTCCCTGCTCATCTTTGCTCCCCAAATCCTTTTCAACATGTAGCCCCATTGCAAAGGCCCAGCTGCGGTCATTTCAGAGGAAAACTCCAGTGAAGATATCAGGGTTAGGGAAAGAAGATCAGAAAGACGCCAACAGGATTTCTGAGTGACAAGACTCTAAGGTTTAACTGCACTTCTAAAAAGGGTGTAGGAGGGCACAGTGACCATATATCACTTTTAAATGTGTATAATAGCAGCTTATGCTGAACTCTTCCTATGAGGTACTGGCACTGTGCAGGAGGTTTCATACACATCACCTCTGTCTCCCTCAAAAAACACTATGGTTTACATTCTATTATTATCCACATTTAACCGAAGGGGCAATTTAAAAAGATCACACGAGTAGTCAGCGAGAGGACTAGTTTTTACGTGAGATACATTTATTCCAAGAAGAATAAGTATGGAAAAGAAATGAGTAAACACATCTAGCAGTCTCTGCATGTGAGCTCCAGCCTCTGGAGGAGATCGCTGGGTCACCATGGAGGGGATGCTGCCTGTCCCACCCAGACCCTCCAAGCAAGACACTCATCTCCAGCCTGCGGGGTCCTAGGGTTCCCCTTCTCCAGGAATTGTCCCCCAATGAAGGAGCTGCCTTGCCAGGGTTAGGGCCTCTTCCCGGGGGCACCCACATTCACTGACGTACTGCTACAGGGATTCAAGGCCCTGTCCCACCCGGATTTGGGATAACTCCGTAGCAGGTCAACTTCTCTCTCGGCCCAGTTCTGCTTCTCTTACCTTTTTAAAGGTGCTATTCCCAAGAGCTCTCCACACACCCCTGCACACTCATCTCCATCTCAGAGTCTGTTTCCTGGGGAATCTGACTGAACAATTCATGGGCGGGGCAGTCGTAGGTCACAGACTCTAAACTGGGATTTTGGTATTGGATCTCCTGCTGGCCAGCTGGAAGTGAGAATGCACCATTGGTGGTGGATGAGGTGCTGATGGCCCTGACATGCAGGGGGGCATTGCTAAAACTGCACCAGGGTGAACTGGGGTGAAGCACCATGGAAGAGAACCATAAGTGCCACATCTCAGGCGTGTGAGAGGTGCTGGGGCAGGAGTAATGGTAAGGGGCATGGAACTGGATGACTTCTGCTGGGAGTCACAGAGGTGTCAGAGGCAGCCAATGAAAGCCTGGAGGTGCAGTGTGAGTGCTGCAAGGCCTCCTGGGAAGCACACAGAGTGATAGGGTCTGGCTGTGTCCCCACACAAATCTCACCTTGAATTGTAGCTCCCATAATTCCCACGTGACACGTGGGACCTGGTGGGAGGTAATTTAATCACAGGGTGGGTCTTTCCCATGCTGTTCTTGTGATAGTGAATACGTTTCATAAGATCTGATGGTTTTATAAAGGGCAGTTCCCCTACACACACCCTCCTGCCAGTTCCCCTACACACACCCTCCTGCCAGTTCCCCTACACACACCCTCTTGCCTGCCTCCATGTAAGATGTGCTTTTGCTCCTCCTTAGCGTTCCACCATGATTGTGAGGCCTCCCCAGTCATGTGGAACTGTGAGTCCATTAAACCTCTTTCCTTTATAAATTACCCAGTCTTTATTAGCAGTGTGAGAACAGACTAATATATAGAGAGAATCTTATCTCCCTCCAATTGCACAGCATCCCCTAGGAACCCTCCCTCTTTTTCTCCTAGGCCCTGGACCAGTAGCTAGGATCCAGGCTCAGCATATCCCAGCCATGAAGGTGCTGGGCCTCGGAAGGGAGGAAGCGCATGACTCAGCAGCACAGCCGAGAGCTGAGTCAGCAGGGCCAGCAGAGGCTAGAAGAGGAGATGTGGACATGGATACCTGGGGGCTGGATCAAAGGGAAATTCAGGACCCGAAGTTGGGCAAGCAAGAGTCTGGCAAAGATAAACCATGTTGATAAACCCCTCCCTGCACTGATCAAAAAATAAATTCCCAGGATCAGGAATAAAAGAAGGATTATCACTACAGATCCTAGGGAATTAAGGGGATAAAGAGGGAATATTATGAAAAGGTTTATGCCAACAAACTTAACAACACTTAGATGGTAGGAACAAGTTCCCTGAAAAACTATAAATGCCCATAGGGAATGTATTGGGGATTGGACGTAGGAATCTCCGAGAAGCTCCTTGGTGACCGTTCTCAGTAGGTCTGCCCTGGCGGAAAGAAGCCCATCACGGAGCTAGACATGCTGATAGCAACGACGCAACCAGAAGCGACAGAAGCCAAACGGCAGCACTCAGGCATTTTTGTTACTAGCGGCCCGTTTGGAGGGGTAGCTCAGGGCCTGAACTACAGAGAGCGGTTTTAGAGAAACACGTATATTTTCAAAGAAATGTAGTATTTAAGGCTGGGTGTGGTGGCTTGCACCTGAAATCCCAGCACTTTGGGAGGCAGAGACAGGAGGATCACCTGAGGTCAGGAGTCTGAGACCAGCCTGGCCAACATGGGGAAACCCCGTTTCTACTGAAAATACAAAAATTAGCCGGGCATGGTGGCAGGCACCTGTAATCCCAGCTACTCGGGAGGCTGAGGCAGGAGAATCGCTTGAACCTGGGAGGTGGAGCTTGCAGTGAGCTGAGATTGTGCCACTACACTCCAGCCTGGGTAACAAGACTGAAACTCCATCTCAAAAAAAAAAAAAAGTATTTAAATAGAAAATAAATGGAGAGCCAAGGAGGAGCCACACAGTTTGTGCTATCAGATGAAATCCAGGGTGGCTGGGCGTAGGTCTTCCAAGCAAGCATCATAGCTTCTCTCCTCGTTTCTGGGCCTGAGCCCATGGACAGAAGAAGAGAGTGGGTCCCTGAAAGAGGCCTCCGGTAACCCAGCAGATGTTCCTAACAATGATTCCAACACATCCCACAGGGCTCTGCAGCCATTTGCCCAGGCGGTCACACCCTGAGGAAAGAGGAATAGCAAGGATGTGACAACTTCCAGCAGGCACAGCCAGGGGAGATATTTTGCACCCAGAGACTGAAGTGTTGTCTGTGTTAGAATAGCGGGAGGGGATCAGGCAACACATGGTGTCCTGGCCGAGGACTGGCTCACCTGGACCCCCGGGTCCACAGGCCTGCCTCAAAGCCATATTCCCAGCCCCAATGTACAAGGGGACCAGGCACACTTGGCTGCTTCGCTTCCCCTCTGAGGAACTTCAAGTGGAAGACTCAAAAATGTCCAGTGACTCCCTGACCTGGCTAAGCAGTAAATAAAAATAGTATTGTTTCCCAGTGGAGATGGTGAAAATCAGTGCCACTCGTAAAGATGGAAAGCATGCGAGCATGGTGGCCCCGGCTTATCTCCATTTAATTCCCCAGTCCCTTCCCTGCAAAACCAGACAGAGGCTGGAAGCTGACAGTAGATGGCCCTGACCACAGGCCTGGCTGAGTAGTGGCCCCATTGCAGCTCCTGGGCCACAGGCAGTATCATGACAAGATAAAGGGTGCAAAAATTTCCATGCCTGCTGCAGCATAAAATGTTAGGCAGTTCAATGGCCAAGGACATGCTGAGTGTCCCATTTAAAGTAAAGAATAAACACTCCATCCTGCCACAAGGAAGCAAGTGCAGTGTGTAGTAGGCCTCCTAGGATTCCACAGGCAGCATAGACTGTACCTGTGAGCGGTGCTCCCCGCACCAGTTTTCTGTGGAGCCCAGAGCAGGAAACAGCTATTCTGCATGCCCAGGCTGTGGTACAAGCAACCGAGAACTTGGCAGCTCCCATGGCATTAGAGATGTCATTGCTGGGAGAAGACGCAATGGGAGAATCTCAGGCAATCCCCTAGGATTCCAAGAAGGCCATGCCCTCTGCAGCAGAGAATTACATGCCTGTTGACAAACAGTTCCTGGTGTTCTACTGGGTTCCAGTGGAAACAGAGCACCTGGCCATTAGACACAGACTGACCTCGCAGAGACAACTGCAGGTCACAGACCCACCACATCAAAGATTCGCGTGAGCCCAGCGATCCATCATGTGGATCGTGCACGTGAAGAACCACAGGGCACAAGCAGGCTGCACAGGCAGGGAGCTGGGGTCCTGGGACTTTCACGACTGTTCCAACACCACCACTCCCTCATCCCATGCTTAGCGCCACGTGGAGGGTCATGTACAACCAGCTGGTGGGGAGGAAAGGCCTGAGCACTCGCTTTATGAATGGGTTGCTTTGATCCCGATATGTAGGTGCCACCCAAAAGTACCTGAGCACTGCACTTGGGTCTTCTGCCTGAGTGATGTTGCATGACCTGGCCAGGAATGTCCTCCCAGTGGGCGAGGCTGCGGGGAGTCCATGGCCGTCCACTTGATGTGGAACAAGAAGCAGCTCAAAGTAAGAATAAATTTTGAGAAAATGAAAAGACACCTGGGCAATGGCAAACAGTCTGGCTGGCTAGTCAGGGGCTTGGAAGGGGTGAAGCTCGAATACTGGGGACAAGGAAATCTTGGCTTGTGGCTGGACATATGGAGTGGGCAAGAAGTGCAAGTATCTTTGTGTGGAATATTAGTATTCAACAAACGATGCCCATCAGGGAGGAGGCACTAAAACCTAAAGAAGACACAAAACCACAATGCTGGCCCAATGGCACCTGAACAGGGTAATGCTGTTGGCAAGGGTGGGAGTCATGCATTGGGTCCCAGGCTTCTGGTACAACCAACACACCACATCAGCAACAGAAACCCATGCTTCACCCCCCAAAAAGGCTCCATATCTTGAGGACACTTACCAGCCACTCAGTGGCAAGTTGACTGCACTGGATTCCTTCTGGAGGAGAGGGGCAGTGATTCATCTGGACTGGGATGGACACACATTACAGGGATAGGATAAGACTGTCTTCCCTACCTGCAGGCTAACATAAGGCTGGATCCGCTAACACAAAACATGCCATCATATCTCCTTGGATGAAAGCCACATCTCACCAAAGAAAGTCGGCAGGAGGCACAAGATCATGGCAGTAACTGGTCCATCCCAGTGCCATCAACCTGATGGAGAACTCGTTGGCTTGAAGATGAATCCCTGGGGCATCTGTTGGAACTGTGCCCAGCTTTGGTGGTAAATGGGCAAGCACAGCAGTTACATGCTAAGAAGAGCATGATTATCACAGGTGGGAATATGGTTTTTCTCCACATTGATAAGCCACTCAGGGCAGCAGGGGTGCTGGCCAGGCTGAGGGCGCCATGCGAGTGTGGAGTAGCCTCAAGGCCACTGCAGTAGCAAAGGTCAGAACTTCTGGGGGCTGATTCTTAGTGAACCTGTCTTATGACACATGATTGGAACTGCTTTTGAAAAATTAGAAATACCATTTCTGGAATTGTTATTTATTTATTTTATTTATTATTTATTTATTTATTTGAGATGGAGTCTCTCTCTGTCTCCCAGAGCTGGAGTGCAGTGGTGTGATCTTGGCTCACTGCAACCTCCGCCTCCCGGGTTCAAGTGATTCTCCTGCCTCAGCCTCTGGAGAAGCTGGGACTACAGGCGCCCGCCACCATGCCCGGCCAATTTTTGTATTTTTAATAGAGACAGGGTTTCACCATGTTGGTCAGGCTGGTCTTGAACTCCTGACCTCAGGTGATCCACCTGCCTTGGCCTCCCAAAGTGTTGGGGTTACAGGGTGATTTTATTTTTGGTTTATTGTAGGCAAACGTTAAAATTCCTGACTGTGTCTCTACCCAGATACTTAATCTGTAAATCTGAGTAGAGAAGTTCCTGGCTGTAAGGCTTTTTCCTGGGAAACTCCCAACTTTCCTAGAATATCCACTGGATAGGCTCTTGTCTCAATTCCTGTGTTGTTCATCCCGGACACACTAATATTCACACAATTTGGATTTATTCATTCACCAACTTAAAGCAGCAAAGGTGCTCGCTGCAGCAGAGTGACAGAGGGGACGATTGGCACCAGAGGCATAAGCCAAGCAATTCTTTCTTCTCTTGAGTCTCAAAAAGTAAGTTGCGACCTCCAATAGCCATCCATTTGATAATTGACATAGTCAGAACTATGCCGTTTAAAAATATGGCTATGCCACTAATTGTGTCACATTAGGTAACAACACCACTGGTAATGCAACTGCGATGATTTATAACACAGAAGACCTTATGTGAAGGCGCATTTTATGGTTGATGAAAGGCTTTTAAGTAATTATCTTCATGGTTTTCAAAATGTACCCCTGAATATCCAAGGGGTGAATACGCAGGAGAGTCTTGGAGTTTGGAAGTGTGGGTGGACTACAGGGACACATTCCGAGGATTCTATCTTAAATCTACCTGAGTGTCTCTGCTGTTACCTGCTTCCTATGTGGGGATTCCTTATAAGATTTCCTCTAAAGACAGTCGGTTTCCTGATGACTCCAACATTCAAGATTTTGGGTGGACTGAGCATGAAACTTCTACCACTGCCAGGGCTCAGGGTAGGATATGAACCGCTTTTGTCTAAAGAGTCTCTTGAGTGTTCTGTCCCCCAAGTGACTTCTGAAAGTTCTAGTGTTTTTCAGTGAATGTGAACAATGACTTTGCCAAAAATCTTTCACGATATCCTTGCACATCTAGGTTTTATGTGGCCATTATCTCTGATGCTGCGTTGTGGGCACATGTGCCCTCGATTGCTGAAGCAGGAGACACAGCCAGTGGGGTGAGTGGAGGAGGACGTGGTTCAGCAAAGTGACATTTAGAGGGATCTTGCAGGGAGTTTTTGGAATTGTATAATGTCCTATTGCTTAAATCAAACTCCTTTATTTTTCATAGAAAATACCACATGCATTTAAGAAAATTCTATCACTGGATAGTTTTTATCAGTGACTATTAATTAGAAGTGGTTATTATTGCAGTAATGCCTCCAAGCACATAAATGCTCTTTCTTAGTAATATTAATAATAGTCCTAATAGTATCAATCATCCATTCAGTGTTTAGATGTGCCAGGCACTATTCTAACTGCCACTTTATAATAATTTAATCTTCATGGCAGCTCTCTGAGATAAGTGCTATTAAAAGTGCTATGTTGTAGGTAAGGAAACTGAGGCATGGGAGTAATTGCCTGAAGACACAGGGCTAGGAAGTGGTAGAGTCTGGAACCCACTCTGGAACCCAGGCAGTCTGACTAGACTCTGCTCACAATCGTAATACGGCAAGCAATTCTGCTCATATTCAGTGGCCCATTTCTTTTTATCTGAAGAACAATGAATTCCAGGATAAAAGAAGAGAATGCTGATCTCCCTGGTTTAACTATCTGTGCATCTCCTTTAAAGGGGAATTATGAGCAAAAGAATATGTTTTATAAAAATCAAGTTTCAGATGTTGCCGATGTTGCCTTGTCAAAGCCCAGCACCCCCTGGGGACTGCAGTGTTGCTGGAGGGCACCCCAGGGCTCAGTGCCCAGGTAGGCAAGCCCACAGCTGAGCAGCCTGCTGCCAGGAGTCACACGTGTAGAGTGACATGAAGGACTTCAGGCTCAGACACACACATGACACTTGTGGGTTGAGTGGAGCTGTGCTATGCTGATTGGCTTACTGTAGATAGTGCAGGATGTCCCCACTTCTTGTGTGGTCTCCAACTTATATTTGGAATATTCATAGTAAACAGTACCAAGCCATGCTGTCGGTACTGCATTTAAGTAGTCCAAAGTTTCCTCAAATCCCTCACCCCTATTCCACTGCATCAGTAGCCAATGCATTGGTAATCCCAACTCTGTTCCAGGACTTTGTGTGTTACGATGTCAACCTTTATGTTTTCTTCACTAGACTGTGAGCTAGTCAAGGCAGGGACTCACTCATGAGGCTTATGTCTTTCCCAGTGGAGAGTCCAAGCCAGTGTAGATACTCAGTAAATATTTCCATAGTGTCTTAGTCTATTTGGGCAGCTATAACAAAATACTGTTAGTTGTGTAGCTTATAAGCAACAGAAATTTATTTTTCACAGTTCTGGAGGCTTGGATGTTCAAGGTCAACGCAGATGTGGTGTCTGGTGAGGGCCTGCTTTCTGGCTCATAGACAGCACCTTCTCCCTGTGTCCTTACATGATGGCAGGGGTGAGGAATCTCCATGGAGTCTTTATAAAGGCACTAATCACATTCATGAGGGCCCCACCCTCACGATCTAATCTTCTCTCAAAGGTCCCATCTCCTAACACCATCACATTGGTGATTAGGTGTCAACTTAGGAATTTGGGGGAGACAAAAACATTCAGACCATAGCACTGAGTAAAATGAATTAATGAGTGAAAGTTCAGTAGAGAAAGAGATTCTTGGAATTTAGGGAAAATAGCTTTATGGATGAGGAATATGAGTTCTAAAATAAATTAATATAGTGGTATTTGAGCCAAGGCTTCCCTTTGGGAAGGAAGGTCTACTTTCTACTTAAAGATTTCTTCAACTGTCATAGACTACAAGGATATCCGTTTTTAAAATTCCTACATCAATTTAAGAGGGAGCTCCTAAGATTGGCTGCTGAATACCAACTCAAGTTAACAAGAAGAGGTCTCAAGCCCTGGTGGGAAGGATTTTCACTTCTAGCTATGGTGGAATAACTGGTTTTAGGCTATCCTCCCACTAAGGACAACTATACAATATGTACATACAAAACATCTGTGGGCAGGCATCAGGAAATAGTTAAGATAGGCAAGGCTAAACAGCCAACATCCTTAAAGAATCCACATAAAATTGAGGTGAGCGCTCTGCTGGTCTGAGTGCAGTGGTGTTTACACCTAATTGATCACAACCAGTTACAGATTTCTTTGTTCCTTCTCCACTCCCACAGCTTCACTTGACTAGCCTTAAAAAGATAAACTAAAATTGAGGCAAGCCCAACATTTCCCAGCACTATTTCTCCTCAGAAAATTTGACAATTATTAATACAAAACATTGTATCCGTTAGGGTTAGGGTGAGGGTTAGGGTTAAGCAAACAAAATTGGGAGTGCATGCAATTGTTTTGAGGATGATTCCCATGAAATACAAAAGACAGAGGAAGCAGAATAGGACCAGGATGCATGTATGAATCCCATAAAATTAAGTGGGGTGGGAGTAAGAAGGATTTGGACAGGGAGAGCTGCAGGCCTGACAAAGTCTTGGCCAATCCTAAAGGGAGCATAAGAGCAAAGATTTCCCTTTAGAGGAATCCTGCATTAGGTAGAAATGGCTGGTCATCAGCAGAGGACTTGGAAGGAAGAGCGTGATGGTAGACTGAAAGCTGAAGTGGATCCCGGAGACACTGAACTAGGGCCTGTCAACTAAATGCATTCATTTTGGATGAATTGCAAGTCCTTCTTTTGAAAGGAGATCCAAGAAGCACACCTCCATGGCGGCCACAGAGGTGACAAAAAGATCTAATGTGTAAGTAACTAGAGTCTAAGAAGGATAGAAAAGAGAGATTAGGGGAATAAGCAGTATTTGAAGAGAGATTGGCCAAGAATTTTCCAAAATTGATGGATGGCAACAAGTCACAGATTCATGAAGCCCTAAAAAATATTAGCAGGAAAGAAATAAAGACAATCACACTCTGTACATCAGAGTCAAAGTGCTGAAAAATTGGGACAAAAATAACTCTTAATAGAAAGCAGAGAAAATAAGTATTGCTTTTAAACAAGCAATAAGATTAGAAATCGCTGATGTTTCAATGGAAATGATGGAACGAGGAAGACAATGGGATTGCATCTTGAAAGAGGGATGTTGTAACAGCCTACATCTTGATCTGGGTGGTAGTTACACAGATGTAATAGCTTGGCAAGAATTTGCTGAGCTGTACAATTGAAATTTGGGCACTTTAGGTATGTATGTGATACTTCAATAAAATTATCTAAAACAAAAACCAAAAATCCTGTGCAATGTGAACACATCCAATGGTAAAGTAAATGAAAAACACAATCCTGTTTACAGTTTTAAAAGACTATTCTGAATCCTGTGTGGAGAATAGCTTATCACAGGGGACATTTAGAAGCTGAAAGCCATTTAGGAAGCTACTGTAACAGCACAGGAAGATCGGGGTGGTTGCAGCAATAAAAAGAGAGAGAAGCAGAAAAATAGATAAGTTTTGGCAGGACAGTTCACAAGGTTGCTGGATGTGGGGTGTGAAGGAAAGAGTGAACATAAGAACAACTCCTAGAGTTCTGGCTTCAGCCAGTGGATGGAAGGTGGTGCCTGTTACTGGGATGGTACCAACTTCGAGAAGAGCATATTTGCATGAAAAATAAAGGATTCCATTTTTGACATGTTTTGTTTCAAACAGATTGCTATTGGACATCCAAGTGGAGATGGAATATCAATTTGGAGTTGGTCATTGCTTCGCTAACTTCTAAATTTAATTTCTATTGAATCATACACATATGCTCATATGTGCAATATATAATTTTGTGAATGCAAAAATGTGATTCTCTGGTATGTTATTTTCTTTATAGTGGTTTCTTTCCCTTTTTCTTTTTAAGCTTGACTTCTCCTCATTTGCCTCTACTCATCATACTTCACTATCCTTCAGTAACTGTGGTAACAACCCAGTAGTCTCCCTTCCATTCTCATGCTGTACTCTGATGACTACATCTGACAGGCAATCATTGTTGTGCAAAGACTGGATTACATCATACACTTTCCTGCTTCACTCAGTGACTCCGTATGGAGATCTCACCAAGTGACTCTGCTTACCTCTGGTTTATTAATTTAATGGTTGCTTTCTATTCCATAGGGTGGGTGCTATCATTAATTTAACATTTCCTCCATTATTCTTGTAAAGACAGGGTCTCACTACATTGCTCAGACTGGTCTCCAACTCCTGGTCTCAAGTGATCTTCCCACCTTGGCCTCACAAAGTGCTGGGATTACAGGTGTAAGCCACTGCACCCAGCCAACAATTCCTCTATTGACAGACTTCTCTTTCTTCCTAGATTTTTTTTCTGCTGTGAAGAATATTGCAATAAACATTCTAGAATATAAGTCCTGACATGACAAAGTCTTTCTTCTGTGAGAAGTTCTCAAGGAAGAATCTCTGGGTCAAAGAGCAAATGTATTTTTAATTTTAATGTAGGCTGCCATATTGTCCCCACTGCTCCTTCCAAAAAACTGTAGAACTTTTCTCTTTGTATGATTAACATATATATGCCAACTTACTAAGCTTTCAAATTAATTCTAGTAGTTTTTGTTTCAATGTAACTTCTTCGGGATTCCGGTATACAATCAATCAATCTTCAGCAAATTCAGCAACCAGATATGACTTCATTTCTACTTTTCCCAACGTCTATACAAGTTAATTCACTTTCTTGTCTTATTGAATTCACTAAAAATCTCTAAGATAATGTTAAAGTGTAATGCTATTATACACAAATCTTCTAGTTCTGGATTTCAATTTCAATTATTTCAATATTTTGTTATTCGACATTTAGTATTGTAACATTTGCTTTTGTTTTCTGTTAAATAATTGATATTTATGTTTTTTCCTTTTTTGTATTTTACATAAAGTTTTCATTAGAAATTATGGCTGTATTTTTCAAATACCTTTGAAGTATCTATTGATGTGACTAATTTGTTGAGATAATGGTATATGGATTGCCTTTTTTATGTTGATATAGTCTTGCATTCTGCTTGGTCATGGTGTGTTATTTTCTTAATATAGTGCTAATATTATATTTATAATTTTGGCACATATTTTAAAGTGAGATTAGTTTATACTTTTTAATATTGTTTTTATCATCAATAGGTTTTTGTATTAAAAGTCATGCTGCTTTCATAAAATGAGTTTTCTATGTCCTGAAACAGTTTAAATAACATTAATATCGCACATTTGTCAAATCTTGATTCCACTCCTATATGGTAATTTGTTAGTGCTTCCTAGTTTTGTAATCAAAATATGACCTGGAGTCAGTTAAGATGAAATTGTAACTACTTGTCACAAAAAAGACAGGGAATTTAATGTCCTCTGTCTCAAAGTATGCTTAGTTTTTGCAGTGGGAGACTTCTTAGAAGAAAAATGTCACAATCAACTTCGTAAGCCATTTATTAAACCATGATGCGTGTTTATGTGTTAGGTTGCGTGGCAGACAGAATGCTCAACCCGAACTGAGAGGGTTTATTTCCAGGACTGACATTATCTGTTCTAATTGTGTGGCCTTTGGCCTTAGTTCCCACGGCTGTAAAAGGGAATTTAAAAAGCCACCTCACATACCACCTCACAGGCAAAGAAGTGAAAACAGGAGTGCCCCTCATGCCAAAGGCTTCACATGTCTTAAAACCAAACAGACTTTGGGTCCCATGAAACTTATTTCTTTACAAAGTTTCCTGAAACCCCTGCAAAGTTCCACGCAACTGCCATGTGGGCAAATCATTTCCTTATAACCCAGTGACTTCATCTGTGTCTATTGGGAGTTTTAGATATTCAGGAAGCTTTTATCAATGGTGATATGTAGAAGGCAGGTAAAAAGGGAGAAAGGGAAAATCACCTTACATTTTTCCTCTTTTATAGCCAATACCTGCATTTTCTTAAAGGTGATTTTAAATCTGAAGGTCAGGTCCACGGTGATGGTTCCATTAAAATGTTCCAGGGCCTGTATTTAAATGATGGCTATTTCTATGTTAGCCTTCCCTTGTATTTTAACTCCTCTCAATATCAACTTACTACCAAATAGTCTACAGGCCAAGCATAATGTATACCTGCAGCAAATGACACGTCTTCACCTGCACACTCAATGCATCTCCATCATGCCTTCCAGGAGAGCTGTCATTCCCACTAATGACGCAGCTCACATTCCACTCCGCCTGCCTCTCACCCAGCCGGTCCAAGGCTAGCATTCAGAAAATGGCTCAATTAGGACCAGCTTTCGGGTGTTTCTGCTGGATATCTGGAGTGGTGAGGGGTGGGGAGACAGAAGAATGTGCATCGTTTTTCACCTCCAGAAAGTTCACCCGTTATCATGATGAGTGATTTTCTCTTAAAGTCAGACACATTCAGGGGGACAGAATGAGCCAGTAGTTAGGTCTTGCCTTTGCTAAGGCAGAAGAACGTAATGACTCCATCAACAACCAGATGTGTAAACACTGGGAAAGGGGAAGAGCACTGGGCGTGGGTCTTCAGGAGGCTGTTCAGACTTTCCCTCTAAGGGAAACATGTGGTCAGCAGGGGGCAGGGAGCACTGAGGCTGAGTATGTGCACGTGAGGTTTGCGTCTGCTTCTAAAGCTGTTTAGGAAAGCAAGTTTCTCTGTATCCAGTCTGTCTTCCCACCTTCTGGCTCTAAAAGCAACATTTGCTCCTGAATCCTGAAGCATGAATGGCAGCATCTCTGACTCTGTCCCTTTCCCCGGACTCTCTCATCCTCCTGGGTGTTGCTGCTCACGCCTGGATGGGAGAAGCCTGGAAATCTTGTAAAGCTTTGGTTCCATGGGACTAACGTTCTGTTGATGTTGACATCACATTAATTGAATGCTTTATGGGATCTAAACCCCCAAACCAGGTCTTATCTGTGTTATTGAAGGTGGCTGCATGGCATAAAGTGGAGCAGATGAGCTGGAGATACTATCTGTTTCTGTGTCTTCATGTGCAAAAGCCACCAATGGGGACATCGACATTTCAGTCAGCTCAGAAAACAAGGTGCTGTGTGGGCATTTGCTCTAAAAGAATCCAAGGATGGCCACATGACTAGATGCTTTGAGCCAATCATCTGGCCACGTTGGAAGTATTTCATCCTCTGAGCTCCAACCCTGTCATGTTAGGGCACTCCAGTGGCAGGAGTCAGTCTCATTAAGTGGTGCTTTTTTTCCAGAGCAAGGAGCTGGCTGCAGGCTTGAGGATGTCTTGGTGCAGAGCAAGGAGCTGGCCGCGGGCTGGAGGGTGTCTTGGTGCAGAGCAAGGAGTCAGCTGCGGGCTGGAGGGTGTCCTGGTGGAGACTGTGAAGGCATTGCTGTGAGCAATTTGTGCCTTCGTGCTTTCTGTTTCTCCTCATTTCTCCAGACACTGCCTCTTTTTGGCCTGGCAGGGCCCAGACCCTCCGGCTGAGGCAGGTCGCCTGGGGAAGAAAGCTGACTCTCTCCTAGAAGAGGCATGCTGGTGAAAGGAAGAGGGGTGAAGCGCCACAGATTCCCAAGGATTGAAAAGTGCCTGTGATACAGGGAGGGGAAGGTGGGCAGGGTGCGTAAAAGAAGGTCGAGGAGTTTCCTGAAGAATTTGTCCACCCACCACCCTCCCCTTTGGGGACTGTCAGTCCCCAGGTGTTCCCACCTGTGCAGGTGAGCAGGCTCCTCTGCAGGCTGCCTCTGCGGGGCTGCCCTGGCTCCCACCCTCCTCCCTGAGGCTGCTCACTGCAGAGGCAGATCGGTCCCATCACCCCTGCTAACGACCTTCCCATAGCAGCCCATGGTTCTCAGATTCGAGTAACAGTTCATTTTATTTTATTTTACTATTTTATTTTATTATTTTATTTTATATCTTATTTTCATCAACTTTTATTCTAAGAATGGTCAGGGCAGAGAGGGAATCAGGTTAGAGACATCAAGAACTGTTATGGCACATGTCACAATTCTTGATATCTCTCACCTGATTCCCTCTCTACCCTGGGCGTCTCGAATCACCTTGTGCTTTCCACCTCAGGCCTCTCAAATACATCTGGCCCTTCTATGTGCTTCTCCGTCAGAGTTTCCTCCTCCCCTTGTCTTCACCTGGCATGGACGTCTTCCAAAACTAAGCAGTGCTGTCTCCACCCCAGGAGAGTCTCCTGAGCACACTGGGCTGCCTGCCTGAGCCTCGGCATCTCCTGGTCATTTAGACGAGTCCAGTGGCTCGTAGCAACCCCAAGGTGGCCAGTTCCACAGGTCTGTGCAGCGAGGTGAGACTGTGATGACAAGAACGCGTGTGTAGCACATCCCCCGGGAAGGGTCTGCTGAGAACCTGCTGTCTCTTTTGAATGTGGCTGTCTTCACTCACAATACTTTGGGGAGTCCTTTTACAGCGCGGCTTCAATGTGTACAGCATAGCATTTGAATATTTTCACAGCAGCAAGTATTGATCCTTTAAGTCTAGGTTTAATTTTTGGAAATAGTAAAAATCACTCAGGAATATGGCTGGGGGATGAGTTGGGTGACTTTATTTGGGATGAACTGTGGCTCATGGCTGTAAACAGTGTTTCTGAGGACAGTCCTGCGAGGGCAATTCTGTGAGCCTTACTACCAATGAGAACACTGCTGAAATTGGTATGCACCACTGTCAGCTGTTCTCCACTTTAAAAAGTCTAAACCTGGGGCCTTAAAGACATCCTCGCCTACATGTCACCTCTGGCCAGGTTTCTCCATCACTCGGGGACAGGTCCTGGAGTCTTAGGGCGTTGGAAGTTTCATTTGGGAGCCAGCAAGGCTCAAGATGACAGGAAGGCAGTTCCCATGCCCACCTCTGGCCTGCCCTCTACCCCAGCGACCCTGCAGATCCCCAGGAACAGCTCCTGCCATCTCTGATGTGTCTCGAGAATGTTCTGCTCCTATTGGGCTGTAGCTACTCAACCTGCCCAAGCAGGGCTGGAAGGCTTCCCATCTCTTCTGGTGCTGACGTTGCCAGAGTCCCTTGCCAGGACTGGAGAACACACGGGAGACACGTCACACAGGCTGGAGAGCCTTCGATCTGCCAGCTGGGAGCTCCGGGCAACATCCGACTCCCCGTCTCTGCTCCTCTGGGCCCCAAGCAGCTTCCTGTTGCTCTCAGATCCATGGTCCCCCTTTTCCGCTGTGGGGTACGCCACAGGGCCCTACATTTTCCCGGATGCCTTTGACCTCCGGCTCCTCTGTAGCTTTGGCCAACAGGAGGCACAGGTGGAAACCTGTGGGGCGGCGGAGAAAGGAGCCTGTGCCACTTCTTCCCCCGCCTGCCCTGCTGCCCCGGCCTCTCTGCGGCTCTTATTCCTGGCAAGGGCCCTGACTCTGGGCTCTAATGATGCCAAAGGGTGCAGCGGCCCCTCTGTGGTAACCTCAGGGCCTGCATGGACTTTATGAGAATGATCTGTATCAGTTTTCCTCCTGAAAGACGTAGAGTGCCTCCGTGGCCCTGAGGAGGACTGGGCCTGGGCCTGGATTCCTCCTGCACGGAGTGGAGGCCTGAGCTGTCCTGCCACGAGGTTTAAATAAAGGTCTATTGACGAATGCAGTGAGCACACTTTAGTGCAAAGGGAGATGCTATGGAAGAAATGATTACCATTATCATGAATCATCAGGAAAGCCTGTGGCTGCCTCGGGTCCACGACATGCTCCCGCCATCGTCAGCAACACTAGGGGCCAGATTTCAACAGACAGCAAGGAAGGAAGGTGCCCCTTTAGTTTTCTTTTTGAGAATTTCAAGTTCAGCTTTTAAGAAGATGCTGCCACCTCGGTTTTCCCTCCCAGCCTTCACCTCCTCTCTCCTTCCTCTGCCTTCACTCTCACGCCCTCCCTTCCTCGCCCCCGATCCCGCCTCTCCCTTCTATACGAACTCCAGCCTGGCTGGTGGGGAGAATGTGCCAAAGCTTAGCAGGGGAGCGCTGTCTTCCTGCCTCCCTGTCACCGCAGGCTCATGCTAACAGTCACCCTCCGGAGCAGGATGGCCTTGCAGAGGCTGCAGAGATGTCCCCGGAGAGGCCTGCTCCTTCCCCGTCCCCACGCAATGTAAGCGTGGATCTTCTCAGCCTCCGTGTGTCTGAGTGTGCAGCGTGTGCATTCTTCTGCTTTTCTTCTTCCTCTTCCTCTTTCACTTTTCTCTTTTATTTTTTTCCTTTTTATTTTTTAATTTTAAATGTTTTATTTGAGTAGGTTTTTGGGAACAGGTGGTGTTTGGCTACATCAGTAAGTTTTCAGTGATCTCTGAGATTTTGGTTCACTCATCACCCGAATACTTTTCTCTTTTCTTCTCTTCTTCCCTCTCCTCACTTTCCCCTTCTTTCTTCTCTCCTCTTCCCTACCCACTTCTCCCTCTTCCCCGACTTCAGCATCCAAATCAAAACCAAACGCAATAAAGAATAAAAGTCCTGTGGTTCCCCAGCCCTCTCCCAAAGTGGGGAGAAGGGCACGTCTGAAATTCCCTGTCTGCTGACAAAGGAAAAGGTAGTGAAAAGCTCCCTCTTTCAAGAGACCTGGCCGCCGCCGTCATCCTGCCTTAGAATTAGACATCATAGACATCCAAAACAAAAACAGCAAATCCAACGCCATCCACGAGATACACATTCCCTAATTGCTAATGTTTCCTTTTGATAACTAAAAAGACTGTGCACATTAAATAAAAGGAGATTTAATTTCTAGTTTAAATACAGCTGCTGTGATTCTTATGTACCACACAGCTGTGGTGAGGCTGGCACGAGGCCACGACGCGGAGGCCCCTCGAGCCGGTCCGCATTGTCTCTGACACGCGTACACAGAGCATCCTGGAGTGCTTAGGAAAGATTTTTATTCATTCTCAGGTCTGCGCTGCACCACGGGGACGAGCCTCACGAGCCCACACCTCGGGGCTCCTTGCACCTGTCAAATCATTTTATTTTTCTCCCTCTGGCAATGTTTTTTCTGTAGGGGAAAATAATTTGTTTCACCATTTCTCTTCCAATTCTGGGCAGAGACAGACCTAATCGAGTGTAATATTTCTTAGTCTTCCTAAAAAATTTCTTTTCAATAAAAAGGACTGATCACATGTTTTTATTTTGAAAACCACGAGAGCAAAATTTGGGGTTGGAGTCTTAAAGAGACATTGTCAATCTGGGTCTGTGTATCTTGGGGTGGGGGATAAGAAATTCCTGCCAATTGGTGTCATTCCCGATTCATTTCAGAACGAAAATAATCTTAGAAGATATAGGAAAAAATTAGAAAGATTAAAGTCTTCAAGGACATTCTGGCCACTTATTTTAATTTAGTAGCTCTCCTCCAGGAGGCCTGAAGTATTTCCTGCTCTGTTCGATAAATGAGGATTGTTGCTGTTGGATTGCCATGAGGCCGGTATTTCCTGGAGCCCTCCGGAGTCCTGATGTGGGACCACTCTTGCTTTGAGAGGATTTAACCTCAGGAAGGGCCCTGCAGCCACCTTAGCCTTTGAGCATTTCTATGGCTCCCAAAGTGTGGAGACGACCCACCTCATTCAAGGCCCCCTCCTCCTGGCCACAGCTCTGCAGGCCCCTTAACATTACCCTCAGCGTTCGATCTCCAGACTCTGACCCCGTATCTTTGAACATGAAATGGACTTCCCAGTGCAGCTTGCAGAGGGAGGGTGTGAAGACTGCGGCCCGAGGAAGAGCCAAGGTGATGTCCTAGCCAGTGAGGTGGAGACCTGGGCCTCACTTCCTCTTAGGAACGTCGCCAATGCAATCCCTTCCTTGCAGACACGCTGTGAGTCCCCCTGGGGCTGCCATAACAAAGTGCACAGGCTGGGGCTTGAACAACAGAAATTTATTTCTCACAGTTCTGGAGCCTTGAAGCCCAAGATCAAGATGTCAGCAGGATTGGTTCCTCTTGGGGCCTCTCTCGTTGGCTTGTAGATGGCTGTCTTCTCCCTGCATCCTCACACAGCCTCTCTGTGCGAGTCTGTGTCCTGATATCCTCTCCTCATCAGTCACGTTGAACAAGGGCCACCCTAGTGACCTCACTGATTCCCTCTGTCTAGACCCCATTTCCAAATGCAGCCACCTTCTGAGGGACTTGTGGTCTGGGCTGCAGCTTATGACTCTGCGGCCACGGCACAAGCTGAGCCTGTAGGGAGGGTGTGCAATGCGGACCTTCCAGCCAGAATGCAGGCCAGGGCCACTCCAGGGTGACATATATGTCCCCTATCCCTTAGCCCAGGCCATTGGAACACAGCCACTCTGACTGTCCTGGGAGCGAGCTCACCAATGGCAAGAGGAGGAAAGGATAAAGTGACCGAGCAGAGGTGTGGACAGGGACCCAAGACCCAGCTCAGCTATTCACAAACTCATGTGGCATGGGAAGATTACTTCATTTCTCTATGAAAGGAAGGGGTGGGGTAAGTGACCTTGGAGGTCCTCGACACACCCCATGTTGACCAGATGCAGGAAAGAACACAGAGTCAGCAAACTACAGCCTGAAGGCTGCATCCGGCCCCCCATCTATCTTTGTAAATAAAGTTTTATTGGAACACAGCCACCCTCATTCACTTATACATTATCTCCATGCCACCATGCAGAGTTGATGGAGACTGTATGGCCTGTAGTGCCTTAAGCATTTCTATCTGGCCCTCTAGAGAAAACACCATCCAATTCCTGGACTAGAGCACTGAAATTTGGCAATGACTGACTTTTATTGGGAGGTGGCAGTTTGGCAGAACTGATTTATTAAGCTTCAGTGGGATGCCCATTCATTTGCCATGATGTACAATATTTGCCTGAGTCTGTGTGGGTGAAAGTTGAAAATTCATGGAACAGCAGGCCGCCCATTGTGGGCCCAGAAACTCTCAGCCATGCAGGATTTCTACCCCCACTCCCCCGGGGCCCACCAGACAGAGTCAACAAAAAGAACAGGAATGGGGAAACAGGTTGAAGACTGACAGACAGGCGTTGTGGCGGGGGCCCAGCACTGCCCACCTTGGGCAATAGAGTGTGTGTCTGAGATTAGAGGGCAGGGGCTGGGGACAGCAGTCATTCAGGGGCTGAGAACCACGCAGGAAGGGAGTTCCATTGGTGCGGAGGCACAGAAGGGTCACCCGCACCCCCATAGCTACACTCCCTTCGATGCCTCGGCGGTGAGGATGTTCAAGGCCTCAGCTGGTCCACGGAGTGGTGCCACGTGGATTGGGAAAGGCCTGACACAGCTCAGGCTCAGGGCTCACCGAGTAGCTGTAGCCAGTCTCCAGTTCCTGTCTCTATGGCTGTGCGGGATGTGGTCCCCAGGGGCAGGGCTGTTGAGAGGAGCAGATGAAAGATCTGCTGCCCAGCACTTGGCTCAGGCCCTTCCATCTGAGCACCCAGGGCCCCTGCACCACTGGAGCCAGAACCGGGCCCAGCTTCCGTATAGTAGGCGATGCCCCAAAGCAGCCCCTGACTCTCTCCACACCCACCCACCTCAGGGAAATGTGCTCTGGTAGGTAGAGAACTGCTGAGGGTGTTTCTTGGATGTTCAAGATTTCACTGTGGTTTGAGGGATTATTTCTTCCCTTCAACGCCAAGAGAGGGAATTTAGCCACATCCACGATGGCCGATATAGCCTATCTGATCTGGGCAGCGTCTTGGGGCCCCAGCCCCCACTGCCTCCAGGACAGCGTGGCGAAGGCCCGCCTGAGTGGGTTTGTTCACGCCCCCATTCTTCTCCGATTTCTGTAAACTCCTGTTCATCATGCCAGAGAGCCTGGGTTCTGACCCCCGACCTGTGAGCCGGCAATCCAGAGCGGCGTAGGCCACGCCTCAAGTGTTCTGTCCCGTTCTTCTCCTTCTGCTCCCCGTGCTGTGTGGCCCAGCTGGGCTGGATGGGAACCCTGCCCCCTCCCAGGTGCCCGGCCTCTGCCCTTTGCTCCTCTGTAGCCCCTTTCTCTGCCAGCCCTCTCTGTTTCCACCTCCATGTTCCAACAAACTCAAAGCTGGCCGTGCATTGAGGGTGTTCTGCTGACATCTCAGCCCCTTCCCGGGGCTGGCAGGTGCACGCTGTCAGGATTCTGGCAGGAGGAGAGCATCCCTAGCAGAAGGGCCTTCTGGAAATAGCCCTTGCTGCCCACCACGCAGCCCTGGGGTGTTGGGCTCAGCATGGACGGCTGTAGGAAGCCCTGCACCTGGGGTCCTCTGGAAGCTGAACAGCAGTGCGAGTGTCTTCAGCAGCAGGGCAGGAAAGACGAGCTGAAGCAGGGATACCTCTTGGAGTCAACAGCTCACAGGCTCGCTGGTCCGTGACGAGGTTTATGGAGTGCCCACCACGTTGAAGACCCTGGGATCCCACATGCCTTGGAGAAGGTCTCAGCCGACTGCGTTATGTGGAGCCCTGGCCTCACCCTTCACTGTCGAGAACCACCCAGCAGCTGTCACCCGTTCAGCACATGCGCCCTGAGCCTCTCACATGAGCCAGGCACTCCTGAGGGCTGGGGACAGAGTTGCCCCTAGCAGAGGTGGGTTTGCCCCCTCGGGAGTGGACACACACTTGCACACCCACATGCACGTTCAACACACAGACACACACATACACGCTCAACACAGACACACACGTAAAAATGAGAGGGAGAGAGAGGAAACTGGAGGTCAAGAGAGAGGGGCTGGAAGCTTCGGGCTGTGTGTTCTGTGAAAGGGGCAACAGGACCTGGACAGAGCAAAGCCAGGACTTTGCTCTTTCCTCAAATCCGAAAGCCGGGTTGGCCCTGTCTCTGGAGGGCACTGGCATTCAGAGCCACCACCGTGCTGGTCTAGGACAACACAAAATGGCCTGGCCTGGCCCAGCCTCAGCTCAGAGGGATGGAGCGTGTTGGGCCGGCAGCACGGGCCAGTCAGGCCTCCCAGAGGAGACGCGGCAGCAGCTTCAAGGCTTTTCACTGCTCACTTTCCATTCTCTTTTCCTTTCCCTCTCTCACTTCCTCTCACTTCCTCCAGCCTCAGCCCTGCCGTGCCCGTCTCCTCAGATTGCCCTATTCTCCTCTCGGAGGCCCAAATGTCCCGTTGATCTTGATGTCTCACCCAATCTCACACCTATCTTGGAGAACCAAGGAAATTCCAGAGGCTGCAGTCTACTTTTGACAGTTCAGAGCAGGACAATCACTGTGGGGACAGCCTGGCCCTTGGGGAGGAGACAGAGAGGCTTTGTTCTCTCACCTTCTTGGCAAGCTGCAGAACTCTAGGTAACACATTCCAGGTCTTGAACTTTAGGGAACGAATGAGCCAAGAACCAGTTCAATATCAATGATGAAAGGGAGTTGAGTCCCTTCCTAGGTACCCAGGTCACTTCTCTCCTAGAGAGCTATGGGCTCATCAGACATTTGCTCAGCAAGCCTTCACTCAGGCAGCAAGAGGACAGAAGGGATATTCCCAACAGTGTGCTGCCTGCAGGATCACTTCTCTGTGACTGAGAGTACCTTTCGGGTGGCTGTGTGCTTGGGTCCGCCAGGTACAGGCTTTCTCTTTGCTGGTCAACGCGGACCACCTTATTCCGTAACTCTCATCCTAAAATTTTTCCATCTTTCTCTGCCCTAGCAATGCAGTCCACCAGGCCTGGTGGCGGCTGCTGTCAGGGGTGTGTTGAGGTGAGGCATCTGCCTTACCTTCTGTGGCAAAGCAGGAGGCAGGATGCTCTATTTATAATTTGGGGGATTTTTGAAAGCATAACTCTTTCATTATAAAAATGCCTTAAGCTTTCAGACAGCAATCAAACACAGCAATATCCGGTGTTGTTAAAGAAGGACCTGTGTGTTTTTAAAAACATTATCAAAGAGCATGAGTCTAAATGATGTTCACCGAAGGAACATGTTGACAATGTTTATGACTAAGAGGTGCAAATGTACGTATCAATAGGAAAGAACCAAATCATTCATAACTGTGGATTATTTAATGTTCCTAATATCAGAGTCTTCCTTGGTGAGATATTATTTTTTGACATGAGTTTATAGATGTGTTCTAATGCCTCTGGTATAACCAACAATTTACAACTCAACCAGACCTCTACTCTATGGAGCAATTCAGGATTTTTGCCTTTGAAATCCCCTCAGGAGACCTGAAAAACTAGTTTGCTGTGTCTTTCTTTAAGACTTAAAATAAACTAACATGGAACTGAAAGATGCTGAGGTTCATTTGCAAACCAGCCTCTTCTGCAGAACGTGTTTGTACATTCCACTGAGAAAGGCCTCTGCTATGCTCCTTGGACTGCTTTAAAATGCTCCAGAGTTTAAAGAAGAGCAGGTAGAACCTTTGCCACTTGGAAATGATACACAGTTCGCTGGAATGAGTGGGCATCCATTTTGCTCATATAAGTTCCTGGGGAGAAGAAGGAATCTCCCGTTTGTCATTCCCTGTGGTCTCCTGCACACTTGCATAACATTTGTGGACTGAGTGGCAGCTCTGGTGTTTTAAAAGCTCAGGAAACTATTGCATGTGTCGTGGAACAGGCCAATGATGGAGCAAGTCTTTAAGTTACTGGGAGCCAAGGCAGGACTGTCTAAAGCAGACAGGGCAGACACAGGGATTTGATGCATACCTGATTTTTAATGGCATTCCTGAAAAATCAGTGCCAGAAAGTATGATACCTAAAATAGGACAAGGGCAGCCACAAATTGGTATGCATCATGGCAAAGTATGACAAAGAACTTACTGAGTACTCTGTCCCATTTTCATAAAAGTTCTTGCAGGTCCTACATGTGAGATTATCCTGTGAAAGTTCATTTTTGTCTTTCCCAAGAACACTCTGGTCTCGAGCTGCACCCAGTGTGGCTGCCACCTGCCTCCGTCGTCCCTGAGTCCTGGAAAGGTGGCCAGCCCAAACTGGTATGTGCCGTTCTAGGTTTTGAAGACTTAGGAAAAGAATGTGACCCCACCACTGAGAGTTCTTGGTGTTAATTCTATGCTGAAACCTAATCTTTTAGGTTGTTCAGTTTCAAATATATAGTATTAAAATGAATTGCACCTGTGTTTTGTTTTGTTTTTTTTTTTTTTTTTTTTTTTTTTTTTTTTTTTTTTTTTACTTTCAACAACATGGCTACTAGGAAACCTCCATGTCACACACAGCTTGTGCTGGAAGCTGCCCTTGGTTGTCTGAGGACAGTGTCAGCCTAGAACAGAGAGGAGCACACAGCTCTCTCCAGGAGAGGCCACATCTGAGGGGCCACACTAGGCTCCAAAATGGTAGGTGCTCTAGGAGTTCACAGCAGAGGGAGCATGCTGGGACTCGGGAAGGCAGAGACAGCGTCCTGGGAGGGATGTTTCTTTTCAGCCTCATGAGTAGCTGGGATTACAGGCATGCTCCACCACACCTGGCTAATTTTGTAGAGATAGGGTTTCTTCATTTTGGTCAGGCTGGTCTCAAACTCCCAACCTCAGGTGATCCCCCCCACCCCACCGCCTTGGCCTCCCAAAGTGCTGGGATTACAGGCGTGAGCCACTGCACCTGGCCTCTTTTTCAGCTTTAAGAATGATGATGATCTAAGAAAATGGCCTGGAAGTGGTGGAGTAGGCAAGAAGGGCCCTTGCAGGTGAGCCATGAGCACAGTGATGAACGTGTGCACGGCTGAGCGTGAAACGCAGGGACTTAGCAGAGGCCTTGCTACACCCTGGGCACTCCGCACATCTGCTTCTAGGCTGAGTCCTCACAGTGAGCAGTGAGTTGCGCACCAGCCATCTCCCATATCACAGATCAGGAAGCTGGTGCTCAGCAAGGTGGACGGACCCAATTGAGGACGCCCTCTGAGAGGAAGGCGGGGTTCACCTCCGGCTGTCTGATTCCAGGGCTTAGGCTCTCAGCAATTAAGCCTTGAAATGGATATTGCTGACGGTTACATGAGGGCAAGCTGGGGGCCACCTCCCTACCTCTCCTCTAAGCCCCTCAAGGAGGGACGTTGTTTGATCTGTGTGGCCGTGCAGGCCCCGGCAGGCAGACATCTCAGAAGGACCTGCCGCGCTGGGCTTTGGCCACCATAGCGTCCAAGCATCATTTCTGTCTCTGCCGGCTGTCCTCACGCAGGGTGAGGACACAGAGCCAGCCGCAAAGTCCTGGAGCAGTGGCTGGCGACCGATGGAGAGGAGAGCACTCCTGCCTTGCCTGGAAGGGGCCAGGCCTCGCTAAGGACAGGCAGCGCCGCAGAGCTGGAGGGCCTGTCCCTGTGAGTGGCTCTGGGGGTGGGAATGTGTCCTTTTTTAGGGTGTGTCCACACGCAGTCGGGCCCAACACTGTGCTTTCCCAGCCAGGCTGGAACTGCCGAGCCGGGGCTCCCTGCAGAGACCGGCTGGGCTTCCAGAGAAAGTGACCATGTGGGGAGGGGTGGGGCAGGCGTCTGCTCTGTGCTCCCCACTGCCCTTCCAGTCCTGGCGGGTCCCAGGACGGCTCAGGGCCCACTCCCCACCGACATCCGCTCTGGCTCAGGCACAGCTGTCCCAGGCCACCAGGAGCAGGAACCCCTGAGGGGAGCCTCTTCCTGCAGCGCAGCAGGGAGCCCCCACTTCAGAGGAGGGTGTTTGCGACACTCTAAGGGTGTCAGCCGGTGGCAGCAGAGGGGTCCTGGGCCACCTGCGTGGTGTAGATTCTCCGGCATCGACCCCAGGGGTCGATGAGAAGGGGCTGAAGAGGGACGGAAGCTGCTTCCCCACTCAGTGGCAAGGTCAGCCCCCTGGGGACCAAGGAGGACCAGGTTGCCGGAAGCCTGAGAGGCACAATGGGCTGCAGGAGGGGAGCTGGGGCCCCACGTTCCCAACAAGGGTTCCCTCCCCAGGAGCAGGGACAGGTTGAGCCCTCCACCTACCCCCGGGACAAGCTGCGGACGCCTGACCTGTGACCCCGTGAAATAGAAAGAGGTGAAAGTGCAAAGTCACTTAGACCATCTCAGTTCCTTTTCTTTTCTTTCTATCAAGAAACATGGATGGAGTCCCTGGCAAGACCGCTGGGAGCATCCCACCCAGACCAGTGACCTCCCGCCGGGAACATCCCACCCCACACACTGCCTCCCGCTGGAAATGTCCCACCCCACCCACCGCCCACCACTGGGAATATCCTGCCCCGCCCACTACCCCCCCCAGGAGCCTCCCACCCTGCCCACTAACCCCGCCAGGAGCCTCCCACCCCACCCACTGCCTCCCCCACCTGAGCCTCCCACCCCGCCCACTGTCCCCCCAGGAATGTCCCGCCCTGCCTACTACCCACCCCCAGGAGCCTCCCACCCCACCCACTATCCCCCCAGGAGCCTCCCACCCCACCCACTGTCCCCCCAGGAATGTCCCGCCCCACCCACTGCCCCCCTCTAGAAACATCCCACCCCGCCCACTGCCCACCCCCCCCAGCATCCCACCCCACACACTGCCCCCTGCTGGGAGCGTCCTGCTTCACCCACTGCCCCACTGCCCCCAACCACCCCCACAGCTGGGAACGTCCCACCCCACCCACTGCCCCCCTACCCACGCTGGGAGCGTCCCACACCACCCACTGCTCTGCCCCCACTACTGGGAACGTTCCACCCCACACACTGTCCCCCATTCCCCCCGCCCCCCCCCAGGATGTTTCACCGCACCCACTGCCCCCCGCTGGGAGTGTCCCACCCGCTGCCCTCTGCAGACAAGCAGGAAAACGTGTTCTCTGCCCACCAGGGCACCCCGGATTTGGCCTCGTCCACTCCTCCAGCTGCTGTAGGAAGGCCTCGTGGATGGCAGAGCTCCTGGGCTTTGGGGCCGCATTGCAGCCTGATTACCCATCAGTCCCTCGTCTTAGATGAAGTAATGGAGTAAACTGTTCACCCGGCAGCACCCCAGGGAGGTAGCCGGGTGTGTCACTAGCGTAAGACTCTTCCAGAAAAGTATTGGAGTGGAGTGGACGGTGAGATGGGAAGGGGCCGCGGGCTCCCCGGGCTGGAGGAAGGCTATGCATTGCCGGTGGTGTTTTTGTTGTTGTCATTACTAAACAGCAGTTACTGCGTTCATGGCTGAGTTCTTACCAGGTGAGGATACTATCCTAGCTCAGTTACCTGGCATAACCCTTGCAACATTCATTTGAGACACTTACTATTAGCTCCATTTCACAAGTGCAGCAGGTAAGGCTTAGTGCAGGGCGGAAATGCGTCAGATCCCTTAGCTGGGAAACAGGCAGGATTGGCCTGAACCTAGGTCTGGACCACTCCAAAGCCTCCACCACTCCAAAGCACACTGCGGCCCCACTGAGGCTCTGGACCCAGATGGAGGAAGCTGGGAGCTGGGCTTGTGGAGGAGGTGGATGGAACCCTGAGGACAATTTTGTCCAGAAGGAGCTCTTGGCAGAATAACTGAGATCCAGGTATCGGCTCACTCACCTCCATCCCAGCTGCCAAGCCGCTTCCTCTCTGTCTCCAGTTGCCCAGCTGCGGGAGCGGTGATAATATCTACCCCAGAGGATATGCAGCCGTTCACTCTTACTGCACATAAACTGATGAAAGACCCTGCAGAAGTTCAAAGGCTCCAGAGCTATGTAATTACTGTGAAGCAAAACACCTTTTAGCAGCCCTGAATTAGCTTTCTCTCTGAAATGTCTATTTCTTCTCAGATGTGTGCTTTCTGCATCACAAGAGACTGGAATTTGGCCTTCGTGCCAGCAGCAAATGCAAGCTCTGTAAGGGCTGCGGGATAGTAGCTCACATCCTGCGGCATGTGGCCAAAACGCCTCACCTTGTGTATGCGACACTTCCCGGGTCTAGTGGGCCTGTTACATGTGCACTCGCAGAAGCCACCTTCGAAAGCTTGATGCCCAGAGTTTAGACATGAGCTAGAACTCAGAGTCCAGCGTGACCTAGAACAGCTCATTTGGTGCCTTTGGTCCCTACTCTCCTCACCTGAGAAACGAGGATGGCAGCTGGGGACCCATCTGAGGCCTCTCCAGCCTCAAGCCTGGGATCTGGGATTCTGAAGTGGCATCTGTTATCAGAGGTTGCAATGTTTGCCTGTTCTTGGCCCATAAGCAAAGACTTATAAACTGATCAAACTATCCTTTTAATTAAAAGAACTTAGTAGGAAAAAATTTCACTCACTCCCCCACTCTCCAGTTCCACTAGTGGCCGCAGAGTTGCTAAGAACTGGCTGCAGCCAGCACCTTGCGCACGGAGTGCGGCTTCCTGAGTCAGGCACCATTTCCTCACGTGTCTCAGGATCCGCACTGCAGAGCGGGCGTGTCCAGCATTGGAGGGAAAGATTTAGGCACATGGATAAGTTGATCCTTGCTGCTGGGATAAGAGAAGGTTTTGGAAAGAAACACGGTTTGAAGAGGGTCTTGAAGAAAACACTGGTGTTCTCCATGTGAACAAAAGGAATGAACTCCATTCCAGGCAGAAGCACGGGCATGTTAATCCCAGCTGTGTGTTCAGTACCATTGGACACAGGCAGTTTCTTTGCTCAGGTTAGGGTGATCACGAATCAGGACCCACTGTGGGTCAGGTATGAGAGCCAGGGAAGGAGGTGGCAGGGACCCCTGAGAGCCTGTGAATGAGGCAAACATTGGAGGTGGGGTCCTCAAGGAAAACCAGGGAAGGCGGGAAAAGCTGGACCTGAAGGAGGAGTCCTGTATACCTGGAAAGGATGTGGCAAGACCCCTCAGGACAGGGAGGAGGCATCAGATCATCAGCAAATGTCTAGGACAATGGAGTGTGCAATTTATTGGGGCAGTGTTGGGATTGTGTTCTGGCTGAAGTGTTTGTGTAAGGAAGCGATAGAGGACAAGTCCTAGAAGCAATGGCCTTCCCAGCTTAAGGGTAACATAGCCCTGAAGTTTTATGGACTGAAGCACAGCCAGGTCATTTGTTCAAAGGTTGATGGGGTTAGAAGCAAGCTGGAACCCAGGGTCTTTACCCCCAAGCCACTGCTCTTTGGGGCCAGATTATAGATTATGGGGGTACAATGTGATGCTATAATATATGTGTACCTTGCAGAAAGATTGAATCAAGACAATTAATATGTCCTTCACCTCAAATACTCATCACTTATTCCTTGTCTAACTGAAACTTCACACCCTTTGATCAACACTTACCCATTGACCCCAGTCCCCAGACTCTGGTAAACACACTTCTACTCTTCTTCTACAAGTTTGGCCTTTTTATCCTCTGCATAGGAGTGAGAACAAGTGGCATTTGTCTTTATGCTTATTTCACTTACCATAATGTCCTCCAGGTCCATGATGTCACAAATGACATAATCTTCCTCTTTTTTTAAAAGGCCAAATCGCGTATATACCACATTTTCTTTATCCATTCATTCATTGCCAGACACTTGGACTGATATGATAACTTGGCTATTGTAAATAGCACTCAATGAACATGGAAGTGTAGATAGCTCTTAAACATCCTGATTTCAAATCCTTTGGGTGTATACCCAGAAGTGGAATTGATGGATGGTACGGTGGCTCCCTTTTTAGTTTTTTTGAGGAAGCTCCATACTGTTTTCCATAACAGCTGTACTAATTCACACTTCGACCAACGATGTACAAGAATCCTCTTTTCTCCACATCCTCGTCAACACCTGTCTTTCATCTTTTTGATAACAATCATTCATGGTGAAGTGGTATCTTCTGGTTTTAATTTGCATTTTTCTAATGATTAATGATGTTGAGAATGTTTTATGTATCAGTTGACCACCTGTATATCTTCTTTTGAGAAATGTACACTTAGGTCCTTTGCCCATTTTTAGTGGGTTGTTACCTTGGTGTTGAGTACTTTGGGTTCCTTATATATTTTAGATATTTATCCCTTATCAGGTGTATGGCTTACAAGTATTTTCTCCCATTCTGTGGGTTAGCTCTTCACTCAGTTAATTATTTCCTTTACTGCGTAGAAGCTTTTTAGTTCAATGTAATCCCATTTGTCTATTTTGGTTTTATTGTCTGAGCTTTTGGGGTCAAATTCAAAAATCATTGTCCAGACTAATGTGATATAGGTTTTCCCCTATGTTTTCTTATAGTAGTTGTAGTTTCAGGCCTTACATTTAAGTGTGTAATCCATTTTGAGTTGGTTTTTGTTGAGATTGTGTTGTGGATAAAGTGTGAGAGATATATGGTGAGCAATAAGGGTCCAATTTCATTCTTCTGCATGTGGGTGTTGTTTCCCCAACATGCTCTGTTGAAGAGACTGTGCTTTTTCCATTGTGTATTCTGAGTACCTTTGTTGAAAATCAATTGACAATAAATCCATGGGTTCATATTGGGCCTCTATTCTCTTCCATTGGTTGACATGTCTGTTTTTATGTGGAAGGAATGTACCTCAGTGCAATAAAGGATATAACAAGCCAACAGCTAACATTTGCATTGAATGGTGAAAACTTAAAAGCTTTTCCTCTAAGATCGGGAACAAGACAAGGATGTCCACTCTCACCGCTGCTTTCCAATAAGCACTAGAAGCCCTAGCCAGAGCAATTAGGCAAGAGAAAGAAATAAAGGGCATCTAAATTGCAAAGGAAAAAGCCAAATTATGCTTGTTTGCAGGCAACATGATTTTATATGCTGAAAACCCTAAAGATTCCACACACAAAAAAAACCTGTTAGAACTAATAAGTACAGGAAAGTTGCAGGATACAAAATCTACATGCAGAATTTAGTACCATTTCCATATAGTAACAACAAACTATCCAAGAAAGAAATCAGGAAAACAAATCACATTTACAACAGCTCCAAAAATTAAAATGTTTAGAAATAAATTTAACAAAGGAGGTGAAAGATCCATGCACTAAAAATTATAAAGCTTTGGAGAAAGAGATTAAAGAAGATGTGAACATATGGAAAGATACATGTTCATGGATCGGAAGAGTTAATAATGTTGTTAAAACATCCATACTACCCAAAGCGATTTACAGATTCAGTGCAATCCCTATCAAAATTCCAATGTCATTTTTCACAGAAACAGAAAAATTCAATCCTAAAATTCATAGGAACAACTCCCCTGAAATCCTGAATAGCCAAGGCAATCTTGTGCAAAACAAACAAACAAACAAACAGCTGGAGGCATCACATTACCTGAGTTCAAACTCTAAAGCTGTAGTAATTAAAATAGCATGGTACTGGCCTAAAATTGAGATGTTTAACTTTTATCAATAATTGCTATTTGCGTACCCTTGAGTATGAGTTGCATCCTGCACTGAGCCCTAAGTGATGAAGATAATGATAATGATAGTTAACAACAGCAACATTTTCACCATTTGCATTAACTTCCTTTATGAGACAGGTATTACTCTCATTTCTATCTACAGGTGGGACCCAGACTGTTTCAGGGCTTCCCCACAGCCACACATCCAACAGTGGCTGGGCAGAATTCAGACTCAGGTCATCCAAATGCAGAGCCTGTGCCCTCTCTCAGTCAGTTACAGCGGCTGGGCAGGATTAGACTCAGGTCGTCCAAATGCAGAGCCTGTGCCCTCTCTCAGTCAGTTACAGCGGCTGGGCATGATTCAGACTCAGGTCATCCAAATGCAGAGGCTGTGCCCTCTCTCAGTCAGTTACAGGGTTTGCACATTGTGCCTTTTCTATTGTTTTAAAATTTAATGTATGATTTGCACACATTACTGCTGGTTCTCACATTGCCTCACAAGGTAGACATAATCATCCCAATTTTACAGATGAGCAGGCTGAGTCCCAGAGAGATGTGCTGCTTGCAAGACAGCTCAGTAGTGAGAGTCAGGACCTAGGGATTTGGATCCAGGCTGATCCAAAGTGCAGGGTCCTCCTTCTCTGTGGGCTTCCTATAGGCATCCCAAGGGAACCACTGAAGATTTCTAGCTGGAGAATACAATGGCCGAGGTAACATTTTGGATGTCCTTATCTGTGTGCTGGGGAGATGCACACTTCCCTCCGACACTGTCTGGGCAGATCCGGGATTTGCATTCTCTCTAACCCCCTAGCCCTGCGTCCAGAGGTACCAGGGATCCAATGAAAAGATCCCACAACACCCCTCCGATGATGATGATGATGATTGGTGATAATAATAATCTTTATGAACAACAGCCATAACTATAATGATAGATTCAAAAATGTGGATGAGGTTTTGCCTGGTGTATCTCCTTTCATCTCAGGATTTCAAAGTAACTTGCAAATATTAATTAAGCCCTGGGAGGTAAATATTATCATTTCAGTTTTCTGAAGGGGGAAACTGAGGTACTATGAGGTTTAAGTGCTTTGTGATGGACCACCTAGTGGCAGAAATCCAGTGAAGGGGTGATGTTTTTCCCAAATGCTCATATTTTCTTCAAATGTCTTTGGCTCAACATATTAGGATTAAGTTCCCTAAGTACCTATTTTGTATCTAGATGTGTATTAGGTTATGTGCACCATCTAAAATAAATATTGATGGTGCCTATCCTTTTATGGAGGGGAAATATTTATATACACCTGTAACACAGATAGTATGTAAGATATGCAATCACTTACCAAAGCGATTGTCCAAAGAAACAAGAGAGCAGAGGAAGGACACAGAGACGGTCTCTTAAGACAAGGCAGAGTTAGGGTCGGGGAGGTGCAGAGATGAGAGGACTTCTCAGGTAAATAAGAGAATAAGGCTGGTGGAGGGATGCCAAGGAGACAGGCTGCCCCGGGGGACACGGGCAAAGGGCGGAGAGCAGCAGATGTGCTTGGAGGGATGATGTCTGGCTGGAAACTCTTGACTTGGAGCTGTAAAATCTGGATTTGATGTGATGGGTAAAAGTGGTTTCTTGAAGGCTCAGAGACGAGCATCAGGAAGATGAGCGTGGCAGCCAGGTGAGTGGCCATGGGCCGGCGGTGGGAGTGCTCCCCTCCCCTCCAGTGCATGGCATAGGTGCCTTGTTTGTGGAGAATTTACAATCACTGTAATGCCAAGGGGGAGTGAGCCTGCCGTCCTTAGTACTGTGCGCCTGCAATTCTGAACACTGGCAATGACTTAAAGACCTCCACTAACAAAAGAACCTTTGTTTGAAACGATTACTGTGGTTATTGCTGACTTTTAGTGATATATATGTAAGATTCAAAGGAGTGCATTTTTGTCATTTATTCTTGTTTTTTGTTTGTCTTTTGAGACGGAGTCTCACTCTGTCACCCAGGCTGGAGTGCAGTGGTGCAATCTCAACTCACTGTAACCTCCACCTCCTGGGTTCAAGGGATTTTCTTGCCTCAGCCTCCCAAGTAGCTGGGATTATAGGCACGCACCACCACGCCCAGCTAATTGTTTTGTATTTTTAGTAGAGACAGGGTTTTGCCATCTCGGCCAGGCTGGTCTCGAACTCTCGACCTCAGGTGATCTACCTGCCTTGGCCTCCCAAAGTGCTGGGATTACAGGTGTGAGCCACTGTGCCCAGCTATCACTTATTCTTAATTAATCATTTTATTTACATGGAAGTTAATTTGGAGAATTGCCTTTCACAAGGTGGGCTCCTGACCCAATGGGCAGGTTTTTAATCGTTCAGAACCTTTGAGTTGGCTTTGGGTGAAGTCACATCTCCAACTTCTGCATTTAAATAGTCAATTCAGAATAAACAATCATGACATACCCATCAGAAAGACGAAGATACGAAACTTGAGTTTCAAACATTTGTAGTTTTCAATTTCATTTAAAATTTAAAACAGTGAAATGGCAAACCTGTGGAGGTAGAATATTTTTGTTTGGTAATTACAAATTGTTATTCAGACATGAGATATTTCCCTGAACTTGAATCATATATTTAAAATGAAAATGTGTTCTTTTTTTTCAAGATAGATTTTTTTTTATTATACTTTAAGTTTTATGGTACATGTGCACAACACGCAGGTTAGTTACATATGTATAAATGTGCCATGTTGGTGTGCTGCACCCATTAACTCGTCATTTAACATTAGGAATATCTCCTAATGCTATCCCTCCCCCCTCCCCCCACCCCACAACAGGCCCTGGTGTGTGATGTTCCCCTTCCTGTGTCCATGTGTTCTCATTGTTCAATTCCCACCTATGAGTGAGAACATGCGGTGTTTGGTTTTTTTGTCCTTGCGATAGTTTGCTGAGAATGATGGTTTCCAGCTTCATCTGTGTCCCTGCAAAGGACATGAACTCATCATTTTTTATGGCTGCATAGTATTCCATGGTGTATATGTGCCACATTTTGAAAATGTGTTCTTCTTTTAAAATTGTTACTTGCTTTGACTCTAAAGAACAAATCAAGGGAGTAAAGATTATTGCTGATTATCTGTGGTTACTTCTAAAAATAATCTGTTGTGCCGAGGAGGGAGGTGTTGAAATGGTCCACGTGAGGGTCAGAAGCACTGAAGAATTCCTGGCGGGAGGAGAGGCAGCCGGGAAGAAGGCTGGCGAGGAGGGTGTGGCATTAGAGGAAGCCTGGCGAGGAGGGCGAGGCATTAGAGGAAGGCGGGCGGGGAGGGCGTGGCATTAGAAGAAGGCCGGAGAGGAGGGTGTCGCATTACAGCTGGTGGGTGAAGGGGTGGGAGTCGCTCAAGGCAACAAGGAGAGAGAAAGGGAAACCCAGGTTGCTTTATGGTTAAGAGACATCCAGGGTCAGAAGAGGAGGGAGGCTCTTCGTGTAGTCCTACGTACAGCCTGGCAATTAAATTCTGAAAAGTCTTGTTCTGTAACTGTTTTGTTTCCTTCCTTCCTTCCTTCCTTCTTTTTTCTTTTCTTTTCTTTTCCCTTCCTCCCTCCCTCCCTTCCTTCCTTCCTTCCTTCCTTCTTTCTGAGATGGAGTCTCGCTCTGTCGCCCAGGCTGGAGTGCAGTGCAGTGCTCCGCCTCCCAGGTCAAGTGATTCTCCGGCTTCAGCCTCCCGAGTAGCTGGTAGTACAGGCATGTGCCACCATGCCCGGCTAATTTTTTGTATTTTTAATAGAGACAGGGTTTCGCCATGTTGGCCAGGCTGGTCTCAAACTCCTGACTTCAGGTGATCCACCCACCTCGGCCTCCCAAAGTGCTGGGATTACACGGGTGATCCCGGCCGTCTTGTTTTTTTCACAAGCTGCTGTCACTCCAAAATTTGGAAAGGAGCAGAGAACCGGGAAACAGGATAAGCACAGTGTGGAAAGTGGATCCTCAGGAAACCTGTGCCCCGTCATTTATGGAAGTGATATTTAGTTGACTTCAGTAGTACTTTCTGCATCCTTCCTAAAGGTGGCCAGGGAAGGCCTGAAGTGCTTAGAAGTCCAGGGAAAGAAGGAGCCCCACGGCAGGGAGATGTGGAAGGAGCTACGTGAGAAATATCGCCAGGCACATCGTCTTGGGCGCCCACCGTCAAACCTCTGCCCTGCCTGCCCAGCCCTCCAGACAAGCACGGGTCCTGCTGTGTTCTTATGACTGGTTTGGGCCCACGTTCAGTGAGGCCAACAGGCTTGGGAGATGTTTGTGGAGTGTCTGGGAGCCGAGGCCAGGACCAGGGTGGGCTTTGGGTCTCTACAGCCCTTCCATGCTATTCAAATCACACAGTGTGTCTCCCTCAGGGACCGTGTGGCTAAGTCCTAGAGGTGAAGGCCCCTTATGAGAAGAGCGAATTTTCTGCAGAGTGAGTTGGGCTTTTTTTTTTTTTTTTTTCACTTAGAAAACACAGAAATGCATGGTCTGGGGTCACCCAGGGCTGTATGTCCATACAGGTGTTGGCATGCCCCCTCGGCCCATGGGCCTCATTGTCCCCCCAGCCTGTCTGCTCTTGCTTCAGGTGCTTCCCACATCCTCAGCTCTGAGCCTCCCCACGCAACTCAGCCCAGCAGATGTGTGAATGGGTGCCCAGGATATTAGCTAATAGTTTAACATCAGGGCATTCCGCACTGGAAGAGGAAATTATCTGCCATCAAAGAGTGCCCAAGGTCACAAAGAAAGGTGGAAGGAGGGAGAAGCCATAGCTGGTGGGCCTGGTGTTCTCGGGGAGACACATGCTCGCATACGTGTGCACATGCACAGGCAGCCTGCTCCGCTTCCCCAGAGAGTCTAACCAAATGATCCATCCCCATGCTGCAGGAGTGGCCGCTTGGCCCACACACCTGGGAAGAAGAGCTGTAGCCTCCTGGAGAACCTGCCTGTCGGAACCAGGCAGCGCCTGAGTTCCGTCCTCCCAGGGGCCCGCCATCTCTCCTGAGCACCCCAGCCAAGGGCAGGGTGAGGCAGCCAGCTGATCCCCTCGGTAGGCTCGCTGATAGCATCTAGAGGGCTTGCTTTTCCAATGTTAATAAGCGGTTGCTACAGGTAATCAGCAGTCACCTGATGATATTCAAGGCTTATTTCAAAGCCACATGCAGGGTTGTTGTTGTTTGGGGTTGTTCAAAATCATTCAAACAGCCCAAATCGTACTAATCCCATTCTTATCTGGTGATCAAATAGAAGCCGACTCGGTGATTGGAAAAGCAACTGGACACAGTCAGCTTGGAGAGGGGTGCTCCTGCACGCTGGGGGCCTGGAAAGATGAGGGGATCTAGGGAGGCCGGGCCGAGGCCTGGCTCCGCCTCACCTGACACTCAGCCTTAGACAATGACACAGGTATTTTATGCCCCATCCTGACATTTGCTCCCCCTACACTAACACACAGAAATGATCGTGAGGAACATTCCCCCCAACACGTCAAGGCCACTGTCCTTGCCAGTCCAGGGCTCCAATACCCCAACGTATAGTCCATTAAAGCCTCCCCAGGGCAGAAACAATTAATGATCTAATGATTAATGATGGCATTGCACATAGGAAACGCTGAACACATTGTGTGTTTGAAAGAATAGGTGAACAGATAAACAAAGGTGCAAACGAATTCCTACTGTCTGGGGCCCGAGGCGAGAAGACAGAAGGCTGCAGGCCAGGATGGAGGCTGCGTCTGGGTCGGGACTAGGCTCTCACTCCTGGCATTTCTGCCCACACTCTCCTGTCTCCTGACAATCTCAGAAACACAGACATGAATATAGAGACCTCCATGGACCAGCAACGACAACATGGGCTGGCCCTGGAGGGGTCCCCCTGTGTCATCAGGGATACCCACTGGGGACTCTGCCTGCGAGGCCAGGCATCTCCAGGTGGCATTGTGTTCTTGTTGGAGACGCACATCTAGAGAGGGAAGCAGTGGCTGCACCCAGTCAGCACTGTGGCCACCAGAATAATGCAGAGATATGTAGACACGTGTGACACCTACTATTGCTGTGGATTTTGCAAAAAAAAAAAATGTATTTTTCTTCTATAGAAAATCCCATCTTCCCTTGTCGTGGATAACTCAGGGTTCCTGAAGCGGGAAATGCCTCAAGAGAACATGCTCTTGGATCACGCTGTTTCTGCCTCTAATCTTGTCCTCAGGTACTGCAGACAGATAGAAACAAAGTGGTTTTGCCCAAGAACCCATGCTTGGTGACCTGACCTAGAGCCCAGCTCCCTCGTCTCTGCCGGGTGGGGCAGGAGTTGAGTGCCTCATGAGGCTCTTCTGCCATTTTGCGAGATCTCCCATCTCCTGTCACACACAATGAGCCCCTCCAACCATAATACACTTCCAAAGAGGCAGGCCACCTTCACCTCCCCCCCTCGGCACCTCCACCCTTGCACAAGCCATTTGCCTGTCATCTCAGTAAACTCTGCTGCCCTGGCCTCCACCAGTCCCTCATTCCAAATGCCAGAGCCCTGGGTCGCCAGCTTGCTCAGGAATTTCTCAGGTGATGCAGAGAACAGTGAGTCCTGGAAGTCAACCAGCTGAGAACTTGCTGCTCACCGTCTCCTCCTGAGACAGAGGAAGGGGTAGCTGTACTTGGAGGTTGCCCCACAAGCCGTCCCCACGGGCATTTGCTCACCTGAGTACACAGGTGCTCTTCCCAAGGGCCCCACCACAGCCTCCAGACCTCCCCCAGGACACCCTGTGGCATCCGGCTCTCCAGAGGCTGCCTCCTTGCACAGCGATGCCTTTGACTGTGCCCGGTGGTCTCCCTCCATCCCGCTCTCCCCTTCCGTCTTTGCTCACACTCCTGCCCGGCTTGCAGCAGAGCCCGGTTCCTCAGGTAACATCTTCCTTTCTGTGCTCTTCTCCTGCCCCAGCCGCACCTGCCTGGCTTTCCCCTTCTGCGTGCTGGTAGCATCCAGGTCCCACACGGGATGCCAGCAGTGCTCGCCGGGCGGCTGGAGGTGCCAGGGTGGTCATTCATTGCCACGTAATCATTGCTCACCTATCTAAGGGAACACGCACTCCCCTGCTCCTCTTGGCATTGTCCCCACTCCTCCCTAGCGCCCACCTCTGTATCACTATGGGCCAGTGAACCAGTGGCACCGAGATGTGGCCAGGGGCTCATCTCTGGAGTGGGAGGTGGGTTGCAGGCCACGTTATGCCTTAGCCTCTGGGCTAAGGCCCTGCAAATCCTCCGAGGAAATGAAAATATCCCGTGGGGCCGGAAGGGGGAGCTCATTAGGCCGTGATCTGCCAGTAAGTGACCAAATGAATTCGTCAGCCCAGCCCTGGCAGAGGCAAGATCCCTGAGGCATAGGCGGGGGAGGGGAGTGGAATCAGGACAACTCCAGGTGGAGGGGGCCTGGGAAGAAGGAGTGAGTTGGCAGCAGAGCTGGGCAGTGGGGGGCAGCGAGAGAGCATTGGATCCCCAGCCAGGAGCCCACCTGGGAGGAGAGAGGAGACAGAGGCGAGCCGTGCACCCCAGGGTGGCCACAACCAGCCTGGAGCTTGGGAGCAAATTGCTTTGCAGTGAGCCCAAATTAAAGCATCCATTATAGTTTCTGCTCTCAAGAAATCAGTTGATTTCCCCTCTGTTTAATCAATCAGAGACATCCACAAATGGCAATCTACGGGCCTCTCTGTGTCTAGCTCCTGTCTGGCTCTCTGCCCGGCACTCATCTGCATCCTAATCCAAGCAATTCACCCTCCTCCTCACGGCCCAGCTCAGATCTCAGGACCATTGTTCATCTCTCAGCCATTCTCAGGCCACAGGCAACAGCAGACTCAGATGTTTCTCGTCCCCACACCTCCATTTAACCAGCTTCGGCATGGCTGCCCCTGGAAGGTGAAGGCCATGGAGACATAGAAGGAAGGAGTGTGGAAACAACCTCTCTCTGTCTCCACAGCACACACATATCACAGCCAGGGGCCTGGGAACACGCCCAGGTCAGTCCCACGTAATCCAGCCCTGCAACTACACACATGCATTGTGTCTGCACCTGACCGTGTCCACACCTGTACTATGTTCAACCTGCATGGTGCCAAAACCTACACTGTGTCTACACCTGCCCTGTGTCCAGAATGCACTGCATTCACACCACACTGTGGCCACCCTGTACGGTCTATACTTGCATTGTGTTGACACCTGTACTGGGTCTACACCTGCGCCATGTCTACATCTGCACTGTGTCCACACCTGGACTATGTCTATACCCACACCTGTGAGGTTCTCACTTGTCCTACGCCTACACCTGCACCGTGTCCACACCTGTGACATCCCCACTTGTTCTACGTCTACACCCGCACCACGTCCACACCTGTGACGTCCCCACTTGTTCTATGTCTACACCCGCATTGTGTCCACACCTGTGACGTCCCCACTTGTTCTACGTCTACACCCGCACCACGTCCACACCTGTGACGTCCCCACTTGTTCTACGTCTACACCCGCACCACGTCCACACCTGTGACGTCCCCACTTGTTCTACGTCTACACCCGCACCACGTCCACACCTGTGACGTCCCCACTTGTTCTATGTCTACACCCGCACCACTTTTTTTTTTTTTTTTTTTTTTTTTTTTTTTTTTTTTTTTTCTACGTCTACACCCGCACCACGTCCACACCTGTGACGTCCCCACTTGTTCTACGTCTACACCCGCACCACGTCCACACCTGTGACGTCCCCACTTGTTCTACGTCTACACCCGCACCACGTCCACACCTGTGACGTCCCCACTTGTTCTACGTCTACACCCGCACCACGTCCACACCTGTGACGTCCCCACTTGTTCTACGTCTACACCCGCACCACGTCCACACCTGTGACGTCCCCACTTGTTCTACGTCTACACCCGCACCACGTCCACACCTGTGACGTCCCCACTTGTTCTACGTCTACACCCGCACCACGTCCACACCTGTGACGTCCCCACTTGTTCTACGTCTACACCCGCACCACGTCCACACCTGTGACGTCCCCACTTGTTCTACGTCTACACCCGCACCACGTCCACACCTGTGACGTCCCCACTTGTTCTACGTCTACACCCGCATTGTGTCCACACCTGTGACGTCCCCACTTGTTCTACGTCTACACCCGCACCACGTCCACACCTGTGACGTCCCCACTTGTTCTACGTCTACACCCGCATTGTGTCCACACCTGTGACGTCCCCACTTGTTCTACGTCTACACCCGCACCACGTCCACACCTGTGACGTCCCCACTTGTTCTACGTCTACACCCGCACCACGTCCACACCTGTGACGTCCCCACTTGTTCTACGTCTACACCCGCACCACGTCCACACCTGTGACGTCCCCACTTGTTCTACGTCTACACCCGCACCACGTCCACACCTGTGACGTCCCCACTTGTTCTACGTCTACACCCGCACCACGTCCACACCTGTGACGTCCCCACTTGTTCTACGTCTACACCCGCACCACGTCCACACCTGTGACGTCCCCACTTGTTCTACGTCTACACCCGCACCACGTCCACACCTGTGACGTCCCCACTTGTTCTACGTCTACACCCGCACCACGTCCACACCTGTGACGTCCCCACTTGTTCTACGTCTACACCCGCACCACGTCCACACCTGTGACGTCCCCACTTGTTCTACGTCTACACCCGCACCACGTCCACACCTGTGACGTCCCCACTTGTTCTACGTCTACACCCGCACCACGTCCACACCTGTGACGTCCCCACTTGTTCTACGTCTACACCCGCACCACGTCCACACCTGTGACGTCCCCACTTGTTCTACGTCTACACCCGCACCACGTCCACACCTGTGACGTCCCCACTTGTTCTACGTCTACACCCGCACCACGTCCACACCTGTGACGTCCCCACTTGTTCTACGTCTACACCCGCACCACGTCCACACCTGTGACGTCCCCACTTGTTCTACGTCTACACCCGCACCACGTCCACACCTGTGACGTCCCCACTTGTTCTACGTCTACACCCGCACCACGTCCACACCTGTGACGTCCCCACTTGTTCTACGTCTACACCCGCACCACGTCCACACCTGTGACGTCCCCACTTGTTCTACGTCTACACCCGCACCACGTCCACACCTGTGACGTCCCCACTTGTTCTATGTCTACACCCGCATTGTGTCCACACCTGTGATGTCCCCTCGGAACCTGGCACCCACAGACAACACCCTGGTGTGGTGCATGGGGATGTATGGGGTCCAGCCGTTCAGGAACAAAATTCTAGAAATTCCTGCACAACTGGGGTCACTGTTTCTCAGCTGACTCCCTAGGGTCTCTCCCGTTGAGGTCATCGGATCCTATCTTTTGCTGTCTTGTTTTACCCAAAGTTGTATTCTGTTAGCCTACTCTGATGTTTTTCTAGACTGCTGCGGGGGGGACGGGGGGTTCTGCCATTTGTGTGGTGCTCACAGCTGGGCCCTGGGGATGGGACGAGAAGGTGCCAGGGGCATGCAGCCTCCTGGCATATGGGCAGCCCGGGAATGAACCTGGTCCCTCCTACAGGCCTGGCTGCCCTGAAGCCAGCACTCACTCACATTGCATCTCTCCATTGCTCTTGGTTTATCCATGTGTCTTCTCCCCAGTTTTATGGCAGGCTTCTCTGGAGGGAGAAGCGGAAGGGAAGAGTGGGAAGCCGACAGACAGGTTCAGAGGTTGGTCCTTCCACCTATTCCCTGTTAGTCCTAAATGGGAATAAAATATCAACTTCTTAGAATTAGAATAAGAATTAGCTGAAAGAAATGAAGGCAAAGTGCAAAACTCCTAGCTTTCAGTGAGTGGAAAATGAATGTGCTCTTTCAAGTTCCAGAAAGAGAGTGGAGAGTGGAGCCTTGTTTCTATGTCATGCCGTTCATGGCTCCCAGGGCAGAGCGGCATGGTTCAGTTGCTGTATGAGCCTGTTTTCATGCTGCTGATAAAGACATACCCGAGATGGGGCAATTGACAAAAGAAAGAGGTTTAATTGAACTTACAGTTCTATGTGGCTGGGGAGGCCTCACAATCATGGTGGAAGGCAAGGAGGAGCAAGCCACATCTTATATGGATGGCAGCAGGCAAAGAGAGAGAGCTTGTGCAGGGGAACTCTTCTTTATAAAACCATCACATCTCATGGGACTTATTCACTATCAAGAGAACAGCACAGGAAAGACCTGCCCCCATGATTCAATTACCTCCCACCGGGTCCCTCCCACAACACGTGGGAATTCAAGATGAGATTTGGGTGGGAACACAGCTAAAACATATTAGTTGCTATCTAATGGCCACCAGGTTTGGATGGAGTTAGCTAGTCCCAAGAATTGATTGAAGTCTGCTCTGACAGAGTTGCCAGATCTTGCCAATAAAAATAAAGAACACCCAGTTAGATTTGAAATTCAGATCAACAACAAATACTTTTAAGTATAAGTATGTCCCAAATATTGCATGGGAGATACTTAGACTAAAAAAAAATTCATTGTTGATCTAAAATTCAAATTTAACTTGGCTCTCTCTACCTGGCAACCCTGAGTGGAAGGGGTTTCAGAATCACATTTATGGGAGGATGGAAGGAGAAAGTGCTTTCAGAAGATCTGTGTTTCTTCCTGTTAGAAAGCCTGGCTGGAAAACCTCCCGGATTTACTGAAATATGTGAGCAGGAAAACCTACCGGATTTACTGAAATATGTGAGCAGAAAAACCTACCGGATTTACTGAAATATGTGAGTCCTGATTTTTATGGGCATTGGCCTCTCAACTTGTTGACTTAGAGTCGAAGCTCCTAAGCAGGGAAGACGTGGAAACACTCCGGAGGTCTGTGGAGGACCACAGAGACAGCTTCCTGTACTCAGCCTTGATTCCCTGGAGCAAGTCCATCAGAAACTGGAAAGAGCTGATGATCATTTTTCAATTTAGGTCAATGGATGTGAATTTTTATTGTCATTTTTATTTCTGAAATTTGAGGCATCTTATCAATGTGGTAATAACATTTCTTATTGCAGATCTGAGCTGACCTGAACTTACTGCATTGTATCCAAAGGGCAGAAATGAGTTTTCTAAGACTTTGTGGAAGTCACTATCAATTTGTTTTCCCTGGAGTCATGCTTTAGAAACACTTCTGAAAGCCAGGTTCTGTTTCTCCCTCGTGGACAAGTGACAACTCCCTTCTTCTCATAGTGGCTCTTAGGGATTCTGGATCAACAGGCAAAGTATGTATGATTATCATTGTCTTCCCCACTACTTCTCACGCCTCCTTCTATGCAGCAAAAACACTCAAAGATAATGCCACGAATTACAAGGTAAGGCAGGCCCGAAGAATTTTTTCTTGGTAATAAGTTATCCATTAAATACCACTGAAGCTGTTCTTGTTGTAAAACGCATGTCCACATCATCACAAATACTTTTTATAAAGTACTAGTAGTAAGACATTAAAAATGACAAAAATTCCTTTAATCTATAACAAAATTAATTTGCCTCACAATGAAATAAATACTGCCCAGACTGGTCTCTCCAGCTAGAGGCTACTACGTGAGTCAGGAAGACCATGGCTTTCTAATAAAGCATCAGTAAGAATTGGACCATTTCGCCTTCTCTCCTTCTCTTCAGTGAAGACGAGTGCTCTTCTCATGATTTATAACAATGGAGGATGTGACAGAACATCTCCTTTTGAGAAAAATGAACAAGCACTCTAAGTTTTACAAGCTGAAATGTGTCCATGAATCAGCCAACAACCACTGCTTTATAGAGCCAGAGAGAAAGGGAGAGAGAGAAAGAGAAAGAAGAGCTAGAATGGTTTAGGATTTAGAAGTCTGAGTCCTCTGCTGTCCCATCCAAAATCCAGGTCAAATGCAGTGTCATATCAGTCCCTACGTCCATCACCCCATGGGTGTGTACCAGGGACATGTGCAATGCAGAACAGAGATCACTGAGAAGCATTTTCTTTCGGACAACTTAAAATCTTGAAGGAGGAGGCGGTGCACATACAGGAAACACGGCAGGGGGTAGAGCACGTCAGTCACCTGCAGCTAAGTCATTAAGTCACCATGGCGAGCACTCCAAGCAGGAGGAGGAGGCAGAGAGTGACAGGTGATTTGGGGGTAGCTCTTCCACTTTCCCAAGATTTCCATGAGCGTCGGGCAGGGACAGTAAACACTGAAGTTTTTTGTTAACTTTATCCTAATAACAAAATATGATCTCCTGCAGGTGCATTGAGAATTTATTTATTCCAGACAGAAAGGTCAATTATATCCAATTTCTCATGCAGAGTTTTTAGGGACCCTATGTTCAACCTTTCATCTGACCTAATACTTCTGATGCTAAGACACATCCCCAAAAGATGTAGTGGCTCATATAAGCAATTTTTTAAAGATTGGTTTTTGTTGTTGTTGTTTGTTTTTCTTTACTGGGGTAAAAAACACATATAAATTTTACCATCATAACCATTTTTAAATGTACATTTCGAGGATGGGAGTGGTGGCTCACACCTATAATTCCAGTCCTTTGGGAGGCCGAGGCAGGTGGATCACCTGAGGTTAGGAATTCAAGACCAGCTTGGCCAACATGAGGAAACCCTGTCTCTACTAAAAATATAAAAATTAGCCAGGTGTGGTGGCGGGCGCCTGTAGTCCCAGCTACTCATGGAGGCTGAGGCAGGAGAATCGCTTGAACCCAGGAGGCAGAGGTTGCAGTGAGCTGAGATCACGCCACTGCATTCCAGCCTGGGTGACAGAGCGAGACTCGGTCTAAAAAAAATAATAAATAAATAAATAAAGTACAGTTCAGTCGCGTGAAGCATATTCACATTGCTGTGTAATGGGTCTCCAGAACCTTTTCATCCTGCAAATCCGAAATGCTGGCCCCATCGAACAACACCTCCTCTCGCCCCCGCAGCCATGACAGTAATTTGGAAGGGGGTTCACCGTCAAGGAGGGGGCGTCAAGGATGGGGCAAGGAGCAGCTTGAGCATGTACAGTTTGGAAAAGCCTCCCTAGGATTCTGATGGGCCCCTTGAAAGGCGCCTCTGGGAGTATCTGACTTAAAGGCACATTCATTTAAACAGACGGAAAGTGCAGTGTGATTGTGAGGCACAGACGTATGCTGGAAACCACAGTCTTTTGATCCATTCAAACAGCAGGAGCCTTGGCCCTGCCAAACACAAGCAGTGTGATTAGAGGAAGCGCTTAAGCACGGAGAGCCTCACTTTCCTCACCTGTTGGGGGAATAAAGCAATAGTAACTTGCAGGGCTTCATAGGGTTTAAATAAGATTCTCTGTAAACCACGCAGCATGCTGTGTGGCGTGTATTAGATGCTCAGTAAATGGCAGCAAGGACTACTGCAGTCCGTGCCTGAGGCTTCCTTCCTTTAATTTGGATGTGATAAATTCTGGACGACATCACCCAGCTGTCATTTAAAGATGTAAGTGGAATAAACTGAGAACCTGCAATGACATTAACTGTCTCTCGTTCTCATATGCATGTTAGAATTATCTGGAATTTAAAAAAAACACAGAGGCCAAGGCCTCAACTGGATCAAATGTGTCAGTATCTGCAGGCATGGGATGTCCTAGGTCTAAGCATTTTTCAAAAGCCTCCTGGGTGTTTGTTACTGTGAAACCAAAGTCAAGAACCCTAGATTATGGGAGCAATGAAAAATCTAAGATGAAATCAGAAGGGAGAGACGTGGCTCTGGGAAGGAGATTTTGCGATGCTCACAGCATGTCTCCAGGTGGCCCTCAAGAGAAAATATTGGCCCATTGGTGAGCCCTGGAGGAAGCACGAATCAGGAGAATTCAGAACCACGGGGTTCTGGCAAGAACAGTGGATATGAACAACACAGGCGTGGGGAAGGCCCGTGAAAGCAGGAAGATGAGCTCTGGAGAGAGAAGTCCTTGGAGCTGGAACAATCCTTCCTGTGCCTTCAATGGTTTGTTGTCTCTGTGTTGGTTGGTCTGCCCTTGGTCCTGGTTAATGGGCTTCACTCGGTGAAAAGAAGAGCTGAGACTATCGATGAACCAGACCTGGAGTCCACATCCTGCCACTCCCTCCAATGGGCCAGGCTTCAGTTCCTCACCTGTTGAACTCGTGGAAGGAATTAGATACTCAGCATGGAAACATTTCCTAGGTTTTGAAACCTCCATAAACTGGTATTGTGTGTGCGCGCTCGAGGGCCCTTGGTGTCCGTCCTGATGGTCTGGAAGCTCTGCCTCAGGATGCCGAGCGTGAGGAGCCCAGTGAAGGGGGCACAGGGAGGCCATGAGCCCCTAAGAGGCCCCACATGTGCAGCCAGGAGGGTGAAACTTCTGTGCAAAGCCAACCTCATAGAGCTTTGCACACACCCCACACAGCACACAAGGCTGTCCTGCAATAAGACCAGCAGGCACACAACGAAATGACCAAGGTGAACAGACTCTGCGTGAGGGGTGCACCTTGCCTATGATGGAGACACAGCCAGGCAGGGCACTCACTGGTCCTGGCTGGAGAGGGAGGAGGGCAGGTGTGTTCACCCCAGGAGAGAAGAGCCGTCTCCAGCCCGTGGTGCACAATGCAAACCAGCAGCACGGCAGGAAGGCCTCCACGTGTGGGCAGTTTTCTCGGGAACTCATTCGGGTAACTTATCTTTTTATTCACTGCAAATCCCAGGCCTGTGCCTTTTCCCTCTCAAGAACATTAAGTTCTAATCCCTTCCAAATCCTTTCCATAAAAAGTGTGATACTGTTAAGAGTTCTATAATGTCATCTTCCTGGGGATTCGGATTTTCACTAGGAAAGTTTTCAGCTACAGAAATAAAGCTTTTAAAATACAAGCTCAAGCAAAGCAAGCAGGCAGACAAGTGGCCCAAAATACAGGTGGGTTTTCCAGTTCTCCACGGTGACTCAGCAGATGCAGGGAACCCCTCACAGTGTCCACGACCCAGGCCCAAGGTGATACGGAAGGTGCAGGGCCCCCCTTATAGTGTCCACAGCCCAGGCCCACGGTGATACGGCAGGTGCAGGGCCCCCCTCATAGTGTCCACAGCCCAGGCCCACGGTGATACGGCAGGGGCAGGGTCCCCCTCATAGTGTCCACAGCCCAGGCCCATGGTGATACGGCAGGGGCAGGGTCCCCCTCATAGTGTCCACAGCCCAGGCCCACGGTGGTATGGCAGGTGCAGGGCCCCCCTCACAGTGTCCTTGGCCACCTCCATAGAGGAGAAGGCAGGAAGCATGAGCACACGGCAATCTGACTTTCTTTGGCCCCTCCTACGTGTACCTCCTTCCACACACTCCGGTATCATATTTGCAGGGCTCCATCAAGCTGAGGGCTTCATGGGCAGACCCCTAACTCCCTGTGACCTACACGGCTGGCTGGAGCCCCGTGTTTGGCTGTGACCTCTGGCTGGCCTTCCAAGTCTGATGTGGCAGGTCTTTCCTCAGTAACTGAAAGGCCATAAATGCAGCTACTCTGCAGGAAGCCGCAGACCAACTGGAAATGGCAGTGGGGGCTGATGGAGACTGAGAGCTTATTCAATTTTGGGTAAAAATCTTTGCAAATTACCTGCATTCTCACTTTTTTTTTCTTTTTAGAGGAGTCTAGTGACTAAAATCAAATACCTTAGGTTGAACCATTGTGGAGCACTCATATTTGACCATCTTTGACCACAAAAATGGCAATTCCATATACTTAATTTCTGCAATGAAGGCTCTTAAAGTTCCTTGGGTCACCATCTATGATTTCAACTCTCCTTATAAAATGTTAGGGAGTGGCTAATTTTACATGAGGCTCTGAGAAGCTTTGTGACTTACCCAAGACCAGGAGGGACTTGTGCCCTGACATACAGAAGGGAAGGCTGAGCTGGAAAGAGTGGCTGCATCGTATTCTTTAGATACAATATTTTGTAGCACCAGCCTCTTAGTCATTTCAGAGCTGGGAAAAATGTAGTTTGGACTTTGGACTTCTGATAAATCGCATTCCCACTAATCAGGCTTTGGCTGTGGTGACTCCTGCGGTAAGCTGGGGTGGCCTCTGCCTCACTGTGCCTGGTGAAAAGCGCCTTCAGGATTTGAGAGTCATGGCACTAACTAACCTGACACCCCAGTTCAGAAGCCCAGAGATTCCAGTAAGTTTCTCGATCTCCCCAGTGAATTCTTCCCGTGGGATGGAGAGAGTGCCATGTCACTCCAATCCTCCTATTTAATGTCCAACCATGAATCGTTTTTACATCTTTAGTGTAATTAAGACCCTTAATCCCACTTAATACCCTGGCCCCTGTCACTGGACAGCGTCTATGTGCTTGGAATGGGCCATGAGGAATTGTCTGTCATATTTAAGTTTTGCTAAGTGAACTTTTATTGAAAGTGGCTTTAAACAGTTTCAGTCTTCTGCAATAGTTTTCAGTGACTTGTGTGAATGCCAGAAAGTAATAAGCTAATGTTTCAAGATAATAGAAATGAGGAAGATTTGTTTTGTTTGAGGGTTTGGTGATTTTTCCCCTGAGGTGTATGAAAAAGATGCCCTTCTCCACTTCTTTAAGGCCAAGGAAGAATCCCATATTCACGGAGGGTGGTCAGCCTGTGACCACTAGAAAGGCACACAGTAACATTTTCTCTGGGTCTTTGAAATTCTTAACAGTCAGATTCGCAGTGCAGCTTGATTTCACCTCTAGTTGGTTTTTTTTTCTTTTAAGAATTTTGCTATTCTTAAAAGCAGAATTTAAGCAGAATGGCAAAGGTGCTGACCGGGAGGGACTGGGATGACCAGAGGCAGGCACAGCTCCCTTGAGAGCATCTCAGCTGACTGTCACCCATTCCTGGCATCCTTCCCACCTGCCAGAGCAAGCTGCAGCACAGCTTTCTATTTCTCCCGGCTCCCAGCCCTCCCGGAGCCCCATGTGCTGCTCTTCACGGTCTCAACCCCTCTTTGGAACAATTAATAAGAAGAATCCACCACCTCTGACTCTTCCTTTCATATGCCTTCCCCTTCTCATTTCCAAGGTCGTCCCATAGGAGAGAACCTGTTGCCATGTCCTTCAGCTGGCTCCCCCACACCGCAGCCCATGTGAGCTGGTGTTTATGCCGAGTTCATGTGGGTCCTGATCCCAACTTTCCTTGCTGCTCCTCTCCAACTTATCGAAATCCCAGTCACCCTTCAGGGGCCATCTTGGTTTCCTGTTCTTCCTAGAGGCCTTCCCCGGCCCTCCCAGCCACAGCAATCTCTTCTCTACTCCTTCTACCCATAGAACTCCCTAACTATGACATCCACGGAACCTGGGTTGTTCCACGGGGCATCCTAATCTGCTTGCGCTGCTGTAACAAAGTACCCCAAACTGGGTGGCTTAAACCGAAAACACGTATGTCTCACAGTTCTGGAGGCAGGCGAGTCCTAGATGAAGACACTGGTAGATCCAATGTCTGGCAAGTACTCTTCCAGTTTTGCATACGGCTCTTGACCTCCTTTAAACCTACCAATCCCAGAGGCCTCACCTCCTTATGCATCTCCCTGGGGGTTAGAGTTTCAATAGATGAATTTTGGGAGAACAAAATGTGCAGTCCGTACCATGGGGTTCATGATTTTTTTAATGTGTGTATATTTCCCTAATTAGACCGCATGCCAAAAAGGAGGTACCCAATCAAAGTGCGTTAATGAAAAGGCAAATTGAACCGAAAACATTTAAAATCAATTTTTTTTTGCAAATTTGAAACACACCATGCATTATTATAAACTACAGTCATCAGGCTATGCAATGCTTCACTAAAACTTGTTCTTTTTGTCTGACTGACACTGTGGACCTATTGACCAGTGTCTCCCCAGTCCCCATTCTGCTCCCCACAGCCACAGCCCCTGGTAACCACCCTCCTACTCCCGGCTTCTACGAGTTCGGCACTTTCAGATTCCACACCCAGGTGAGATCACGTGATATTTGTCTCTCTGTGCCTGGCTTTTAAACTTAGCGAAATGTCCTCCAGGTTCATCTGGTGCTGGATATGTTAATTAGCTTGACTTAATCATTCTGCAACGAAAGCATAGTTCAGAACCTCACATTGTACCCCATAACTATATATAATTATTATTTGTCAATTAACAATTTTTCAAAGATAGAATTGGGCACAGCAAAGCAAGGTAAAGCTCTAGGTCACATTTTATTGTTGTGAGAAGAGCCTGGGCTCCTGGAAGAATCGGCACCACCCCTTCTGGTCTAAGTGCCACCTGTGCGGGGAGCCGGGAACCCAGAAGGGAACATGGATTCCTGTGTCCACGGGCAAAATGATGTTTCCCAAGGAGTGAAAGAGGTAGGAAGGAGCATTGAAAGCCCATCTTCCTTAATAAGCAGCCTAAAAATAGAATGAAGATAAAAGCAGTATTCAAACGCATACAGTGTCATACAGTATGCAAGTCTGCTGTCGGCGTGCTTTTCCATAACACTGTATCCCTCCCTCCATGTTCTACACACCTCTGCTCCTAAATTGATCACTGAAATGCAATCGAGAAAAATCTATTAGAACAAATCTGAGGCAAAATATCATGGGCTTGAAATAATGAGAGAGAAAAAAACTGTATTTATTTTTGAGTGAGCATTTTCAAGGTAGACTTTTCCTAAGTTGGGGGGAGAATTTTGAAAATATTAAGCTAAAAGGAAGCATCCCCCTCGTAAGATCCAGTATAAATTAAGAAACTGAATTGCACTGACGCCCCAAATGGAGAAACCTGGTTTGGGGATCCAGATGAGAAAGCCCCCGGGCTTCAATGGGATCACAGACGGAAGAGCCCGACCTCACTCTTTGCTGATCAGTTGGTCCCTGTAGTTGCATCCAGTGTGGGCTGTCACACATAAAAGGCGCAGGATACATTGCAACGTCCCCAGAGGTGACAAGGCTGCAAGAGGTTGTGGACCGTGTCACATAGGGATGAGCTCCATGGACTGACAGGTTTTATTTGTCCTGAAGAAAAGCAGCTAGTAGTTGTCTTCATCATTTAGGAAATGCTGTGAGCTGCCTCCAGGGCTGGAGCTCCAGGGTCGGAGCTCCAGGGTCCAGGCTCCATGGAGAGAAGGGGCAGGAAAGCAGGGGGAGGAGTTGCACAGTCCTTCTAAGGCCTCCCAAGAGCGGGGTCCAACTCCCGGGAGGACGTGCCAGAGTCAGGGGACCCCAAACCCAGCCGTGGTGGAAGAGAATCCAGGGCTGGGCTGACTCCTCCAGTCCTTCCCCACCCCAGAGCTCGTGAAATAAAGAATAATGAGGATGTGGGAGGCGGGGATACACGGCCCCATCCTTTCCCTCTGCCAGAGGCCTGTCCTCCTGAACAAGGTGCCCATCTGGGCTGAGGGGTCCTCCGGGAGTGAGGTCGGGAGCACCCCTTCCTGCTAGGCTGGGGCAGACTGTGAGCCAGGAGAGCCTGTCCTCCTGAACAAGGTGCCCATCTGGGCTGAGGGGTCCTCCGGGAGTGAGGGCCAGAGTGCCCCTTCCTGCTGGGCTGGGACAGGTGGTGAGCCAGGCGTCCCATCTCCTGCTGGCTCCCATCTGCCCCTGGCACTGCTTCCTGCCTCTGGGGACCCTTCCTTCAGCAGTTCTGCAAGTGCCCAGGACCCCTGCTCCCTGGGGCCCTCCTTTCAGGCCACGTGTGCAGTGAGAGGTCCCTGAAGGTCCCAGATGCAGCTTTCAGGGTGACAGGGACGATTTGACACCAGATGTGCCTTCAGTACTCTCCTTTTCTGAGGTGGGTGTTGGTCAAAATTGTTCTAGTAAGCAGGCGTCTTCCAACATGCCCGCCCCCTCCGAGGATCTGGGAGACTGGTGTCCCCGCCATGGAGAGGGAACTGGGAACGGCGAGGGAGGAGACAGCCCCCTTCCTGAGCCTCCGAGGTCCTCACTGCAAGGCAAGGTACCCAAGCAGGGCTGCCGGGGCCTGCCGCTCACATCCCCGCAGGGCAGCCAGGGCACGGGGTGGTCACCTCGGGACGACGCAATGAGGAGAGGAGCACGGAAGCGCAGACGGAGGCCGGCCAGGCCCAGCATGCTCGGGATTTTATATCCGCTCTTCCACTAACCGGGTCTGTGGTCGCGAGCAAGTCGGTCCATTGAATGATAAAATTCTAGAAGGTGCGCTCTGAAAATCATGCAGCTCTTACATCTTCTTTTCACATATTTGGCCTGTATTTGTCTTGTTGGGAAACCACAGTGTCATACTTAGAATTACAGAAGCTCAGAGCTGGAGGAATCTAGCCATGAACTAATACCCCTGGAAAGCATAACAACCTCCTTTAGAGCAAGGGTAGGAAGCGAATGTACCGTCACATTTTTATTTTTTATGAATAAATGTGTGGTCAGGATGGATGAGTTAACTTAATTCATTCATTAAATGGGACACATGATCATAGAGAGACTGTTTCCTCTTCACTCAACATTCTCCAAACTACCACAAAGTCAGAACATTACTTTGAATACAGGGTCTTAAAAACAAAAATTCCATTTTTTACATCATACCGTTCCAAGTGCATGATAGTTTTCTTTCACTGTTTTAATCTTAAATTTCAAAGCAAGATATGCTTAGAACATTAGAGGGTGTTTATACAAAATGTGCATTGCTGAGTAATCAACGCACGCTCGAGAATGCTGTTACATGTTTAATACAACTTTTGTTTTAGTTGAGTTTCTTAAGCTGATTAGTAAGGATGACAGGATTTTAATTGGGGTCCTCATTTTCTTTTAATCTTTGGAAGACATCAGGGTTTTTTTTTTCAGCCCACATAGTTAATCAGTCATGAAAATCTTCCCAAGAAGAGCTTTGTTCTTAATTATTCATAGAGAGCATTATCCGGTTCTGGTCAAGACAGGTTAGCATTCCAAACAAAAGATATCTTAATGATGTCAAAATAATGTGCACATTTCTCACCTTTGGGCCAGAGAAAATGGAAGAGTATCTTTTTTTTTTTTTTTTCCCAAATAGCCAATCTTTCCAAAGTATTCAGCCCTAACTTCATTATACATTGGACTTGCACAAATCCTTACAAGTGTGGGTGCCTTTGACAAGAGCTTCCTGCCTGGGCCTCAGAGTGGCAGTGGGAATGGGACTCTCCATCACGGCAGGAATGCATTTATGATCATGCATTGCTTAAGTCTGTTTTTATTTCTCGTTTTATGGAAAATGCAGCAGTAATCCCTTTAGAATTCCCCTCAGCTTAAATCTCAGAGACCGTTCTCGGCCGCCTCTTAATGTCTCAAGAGTACTTCAAGTCGTGTAAGCCCCATATTCAACAGGTAAAGCCCACTTTGTTCTATAGAGATGGCTGGAAATAATGTGAAATTAAAGATTTAATCTTCTGGGGGCAACGCAGCCTTTCCATAGTTTGTCACAAAGAAACTAAAAAGTCTAGCACCTTTTCAGTAAGTAGAAAAGTCCTTGATTGGCAGGGCCTGCTGCATTGATCCCCAAAAGTATGTTGCTAAAAATTTTATTAATACAATTAGGCAAAGAGACGACTGCACAGTCTTAAATGTTGGGGGAGATTTCATTTCATGATGAAGTTTGCTTCTATTATTAACCTAATTGACAGGATTTATGTGCAGGAAAAAAAAAAGGAATCAAGCTTTGGTGACAAATTAAGTCCCTCTTTTTCTATTCATAAGAAAACTCCGACTCCACCAACACGAATTAGAAGTGGCAGTCAGAGGACATTGCTATGAGAGGAAGGAGTTCGAGGAGCAGAGATTATCCCAGCCTGAATGTGCCCTTCGTTGATTTCATGATGGTGTGTTGTATTTTACTTCTAAGCAGAATACTTTTTAACCTGGTCTATAGTTTGATTTAATTTCCCATATTGAGATTTTTTTTTGGAAGCATGATAGGAAAATGAAAAAATATCTACTCACTTGTTTTTGCAACCTGGCCCACAAGCATGCTTTCCAGAATTTCACCCAAGCATTCTTGGGCCTGGGCACCTCTGAAATTGTGCCACAGCCATCACTACCAAAACTGCTCTGCTGGGACTGAGCTGCTCTGGAAGAGGGGAGGTGTGGAGGGTCATTCAGAGACGTCTCTCATCCGGGCTCTGAAGTTCTGAATTTGGCCCATCATCTCAGAAAACTTCAGATGCAAATATTTTTATTCTCAACACCCATGATGCAGTAGCAGGCTCGTTTGGGGGAATGAACTGGGACACATGATCTTCATGTGCACACACTGTCCACGGTGGGCAGCCGATGTTGATGCAGTTGAGTCCAGTGCAGCCTCCCAGTGTACTCCCCCAGACAGCAAACTGGCAGCTCAGAATGAAACCATCTAAATACTCAGCCTTTGGGTTTAAATCCTGAGTGCTAAACCAAACACAGGATCTACACAGCCACAGACCCTTTGCAGATAAAGTCCACTGCAGCCGCCTGCCTTGCCAGTGGAAGCTGGTACTTTCAATCGGTCAACAAGCACACAGAGGGCGTCATTAGTTCATTTCAGCAAATTATTTTCATTGCTGTTTCTGTTATCTGTGTAACAAACCACGATCCACACATAGTGGCATAAAACAACAACTTATGACTCCTCTCAGTTTTGTAGTCTGGACTGCGCTTAGCCTGGTGTTTCCACTGCTCTAGCAGCTGGGGCAACATTGTCAGAGGTGTATCCTCACTCGCTCGTTCAGCACCTAAGACGGCTGCAACAGCTGCAACCGCAGGGGCTGGCTGAGCACTAACTCCCCATCACCCCACCCCCCACCTGCCTCTTTCTCCTCTCTCTGTCTTGCCCCTGTCTCTGGGTGTCTCTCATATTCCCTCCACGTCTCTGTCTCTCACCCCCTCCTTCCCCTTCTCTCTGCCTCAGTTTCTGTTTCTGTCTCTGTCTCTCTCTCTCTCTCTCTCTCTCTCTCTCTCTCTCTCTATCTCCATGAAACCAATCCACATGCCCCACTCGGGCTTGCATTAGTTTTTTTGGGCTATCGTAACCAAGAACCACCAACTGACTGACTTAAAACAATGGAAATTCATGTTCTTGCAGTTGCGGAGGCAGAAGCCTGAGGTCAAAGTGTGGCAATCACGCCCTCCTGGCTGCTGGGCTGCCAGAGTCCTCGCGTTCCTGACTGCAGCTGCACCACTTCCATCTCTGTCTCCATTATCCCCTGTCCATCTTCCCTCTGCCTGTGTCACTTCTCTTCCTATAAGGACACTCGTCATGTTGGATTAAGGGCCCACTCTACTCCAGCATGACCTCATCTTAATGTACATCTTAATTACATCTTCAAAGACCCTATTTCCAAATAAAGGCAAACTCGCAGATACCAGGGGTTTACATTTGAACATAACTTTCATGGGGGACACCACTCCACTGTGCTTCCTCACAGCACAACGTCCTTGTGGCAGAGGGACTTCAACACAGCCTTGGCCCACAGGAGGGACCTCCATGCATAGGAAGCAGCAGGATCCCCCATGCAAAGGCCCAGCCTCATGTCCATCACACTCCACGGAGGCACAGCCCTTCCCAGACCCAAGGGGAAAGCAGAGGCCTCCCTCTGGGTGGGGACATGAGCAAAGAATTTGCCCCACTGCTAATTAGCCACAGTCACTTGTTATGAGGCAGGTCCCAGAGACACAAAGATGTGAGAGCCTCAGCCCCCTGTGTCTAACCACGTGGACATGACAAACATTCACTCACCCTCTGGCTCCAGCCACCACAATTCAAGCATCTTAAAGAGCATGAAATGATGGCTTCCATCATGCTTTTTGCTGTGAGCTACGTTTGAGTTGTGTTGAGATAAGCTCAGAACTTCAACAGATGTTGCTACCCTATGAGGTGCCATGGAGAGAACCAGCACAGAAAACCAGTCCTTTCTCCTAGAGACACTTAAACAAGACAAAAGGAGAGAGAACCCATACCTGCAAATGCTCATGCAACAAACGTGACTGGCCATTCTGCCAAAAGATGCATTTGCTGCAGAAAAAATGAGTCCCGTCCTTCAGCTTCAAAGTGTTCACCACGTGACCTACAGGACAATCTGAGAGCATTGCAAAGACCATGTACGGTAACAACCATAGCAAAGTGCTAACCTGACAAAATAAAATGCCAAGATATGTGACACCGGCTGAAGGACCATGGCAAGCCAGCAATTGAAGGGACAGGTGCATGAAGATGATGGCCAGTCGATAGAGCAGAGATCATGTCCATCAGCATCAAGGCAGCATGCAATTCCTCCCTCGGCTCAGACTGCTTGAAAATGTGGAGGCACCATAGAAATCATCAATAATTCCATATGTCTATGTACACAAAATGCAAAACAACTTTTGGAAATGGAAAAATTGGGTCATACCAATCACAACATCTAATTTAAACAGCACCATCAGAAAATGAAGTTAACAGTAGAAGCGAATGATCCCAGTAACTAAAATGTACTCAATTTACAAACGGGGTGCAGTAGGAGGGGTGCACTGGTTGGACAGATGACTGTCAGATGCACTCAGGTGATGTCCTCCGAGGCTTCTGGAAAGGCTCTGGAACTTGGTGTACTGTTTGTGCACCACCTTGCCCAGATGAATTTCTTATCACTCTAGAGCAGTAACAAGTAAGAGTGTGAATTTCCATTTGGCTAAATGGAAGCTATCCCCGTGATAAACTGTACTCCTCCCTTAACTGAAGGGGCCACTGCCGTCAACAATACTCTCAGGGGCTCCCTTCCTCCCTCCTCCATCAGCACATTCAGGGACCCTCACCCACAGGCAGCCAGGATGGACATAGGAGGAATGCTGGGTACTTGGGGTAAGGTGGTGGTTCCCAGAATGTGGTACGGTCCAGTATCATCCACGTCACCTGGGAGCCTGTCAGCAGTGCAAATTCTCCCTCCTTCCCACCCACTTTGGGTGAGGGGCTGCCATCTGTGCATTCTGGAGCCTCCCTGGGATGCTGAGGTGCTCATGTCTGAGGACCACTGGGGTCAGGCACTGTTTTCAGAAGGCCTGTAACTGTGATGACATCAGCTGGAAGGAGCCACTGCAGGGGTTAGTCAGGCATACCTGAACCTTAACATGGTTAAGAGTCAGCCTAGAACCCAGTGTAGGAGATGAACCCAAAAGAAACCACAAGAGGAGGAATGTGGCCATCTGAAAGCAGCATTCAGCTTCCACACAGGACCACAGTGAGAAAGGTGAGGGCCCTCAGAGCAAACCTGTTTCTCATAAAGCCCAGTTATGCTCATGACTTGGGACAACTTGGGGATTTCTGGATCAAAACTTGTTTTGGGGAAGGAAGCCAAAGCAAAGTCCCAGTGATGGCTGGAAGGAACAGGTAAGAAAGGCCGTGCCTATCCTATAAACTGGTGGAGCTCAGAAAGCAATGGCATTAGAGGAGGTACACCCTGGCGGCTGGCTGACGCAGTGACCAATAGGAACAAACCACTTCTCTCTCATTGCTCTGCCATTAGAGATGCTGACAAGGCCAGGTGTGCATGTCTCAGCCTCCCATAAAGCTAGTGTACGTGGGCCATGCGTCGTGGTCAGCAACCCAGAGAAGGAGCTGCAGACAGGCATCCGGGAAGCTCGTGCATCTTTAATAGATGGAACTGAGAGGAAGAACATGGAAACTCTCCCTCTCTCTCTTTTCTTTGTACAATTGTGGCAGCCTCTTTGCATCAATGAATTGATGAAGAGGAGGTTGGAAAGTTGGATATTGATCCTTCATGGCATAAGAAGCTGTGATAATCGCCCCAGACTTCATACCAAGGGAGAGAAGTAAAAGGTCGTATTGCCCATGCCACCACTCTTTGAATTTACTTGCAGCCAAAAGCCTTCCTAACTGATAAAATATCATCAAATTATTTTTTCTTTAAAAAATGCTTAATTTGTGAAGAATTTGAGACGTGTATAATTTGCTTTTTCCCCAGAATAGTATCACTTAAATAGCTTTCCTTGACTAGTTTGCTTCAAGGTACCTCAAGGGAGCATAACAGGCACATTATGGTTAGATATAGTAAGGATCACCTTTATTCTGAAATGCCATCTTAGGAGTATTTACAAATAAATAAGGGCTTACTTTTGCTGACACATTTGCAAGGATTGGCCCAGAAAGATTGAGGTTTTGTTGTGCTGGTCTATTTAATTCGATCACAGTTCACATTGTTCTTGTATTGCTAATGCCACTGCTCTGAATTTACTTGCAGCCGAAAACCTTCCTAACTGATAAAACATCATTGAATTATTTTTCTTTAAAAAATGCTTTAATTATTCAAGAATTGAGAAGTGTATAATTTACTTTTTTCCCCAGAACAGTATCACTTAAATTAGTTTTACTTCACTTCAAGATACCTCAAGTGAGTGAAACAGGCACGTTATGGTTAGATCTTCTTACAGTCAGGGTCACCTTTCTTCTGAAATGCCATCTTAGGAGTATTTCCAAAAGTGCTTAGTTTTGCTGACACATTTGCAAGGACTGGTCCAGAAAAGTTTGAGATTTTGTTGCACTAGTCTATTTAATTCACTCACAGGTTGAGATTTTGTTGCACTGGTCTATTTAATTCACTCACAGTTCACATTGGCCTTCTACTTTTCCACCTTTATAGGCTCATTCCATTCTTTAAGCCACTCTCCTGAGGATAAAAAAATGAGCTGCCTTTTGTGAAGCATTTGCTGTGAGCCAGAACTGGATCTGCTGTGCAAGGCCCCTGTGTGCACTCAGGGCAGTCGCATGAGGAAGATGGTATCATTACACCTGTTTTGAGGAAACTGAGGCTTCGAGTTTGGTCACTTGCTATAAAGCACAGTTAGGAAGCAGAGATGCTGGGGTACAAGTCCAGATCAGGCTGACTACACTCATATTTTTAGCCACAGCACTATTCTGTCTCTCTAGAAGACACATCTCTCGATATCAAAATTATAAGTTGCTCATGTGAGCAAAGTGCCTTACCTTTTGATCCAACAGTTTTCCAGGCTGAATTAGACTCATTTCTTGTCTGTCTTAATTTGCATTTCCCCAGTAGCCGATACTGAGAAAACAATTTCAGTGAAGTGCTTTGTTTGGTATAGGATCCCATGAAACATTGTTGGGAGAAGTGAAACTGAGGAAGGAAGGCAGCCAGTAGAGGATATGATACGTTCTCAAAGGATCACTGTGGGCACACAGAGTCCAGTCCTACCAGGGACTCAAGGCCAGCATGTAGCACACACCTTAGAGTTACAGACCTGAGGAGGAGGGAGCTGGAGTATTTATGCACCAACTTCTGTCAGGCATTGGTTGAAAATTACTCTTGGGGACATTAATTCCTTGCACTCTGGTGTGCCACATGCACAAGTAGCATGGGATTCAGCAGTCAAAGGAGGCGTCAGACAAAGGCACGGAGGCAGGCAGGATGGGGCAGGAGCTGGGGTGGCATCACTGATGTGGTGGGTGAGGAACAGGGATGAGCACCAACGGTATCTGCTATGTGGATATTCCACACAATCCAAGTCCGAATCATGTTTAGTTTTATCGAAGCATTTTATGTCCATAGTTTTAAAAAGTTGCCCTGTAGCCCTCCCTCTAGATGACTCTCTAAGCTTCCTCTTCAGCACACCCTTCCCTGCTCCAAACGTACAGCAACTATAGATACAACTAGAAAGAGGAAATTTTAAAGCATAGTCAAAAAACAAGAAAGCGTGAATACATATTGAAAAACTGCCCTAAAAATATCTGTAAATAGAATATGTGAAAAGAAGTAGGCACCATGACCAATTAGGATTTATTCCAAGAATGCAAGACTGGTTCAATATTTAAAATCAATCAAGGTAATCCACCATATTAACAAGCTAAAGAAAATTCACAGGATCATATCAATAAATTCAGAAAAAAGCATTTGATAAAACTTAATGCCTTTTCATAATAGAATCTCTCAGAAAAAAAAGAAGAGATAATTTATTTAACTTGATAAGGGCATCTATAAAAAAAAAAACCTGCAGCTAATATTATACTTAATGGTGAAACACTGAATGTTTTCCTCCTAAGATTGGGAACAAGGCAAGGACAGCCTCTCTCACCACTTTTATTCAACATAGTGCTGGAAGCTCCAGCCACTGCAAGAGAAGGAAATAAAAGGCAAACATTGAAAAAGAAGATATAAGACAGTGCCTATTTACAGGCAGCATGATTATATACATTTTTAAAAATCTAAGACAGCTTGGAAAAAAAACTAAAATTAATGAGTTCAGCAAGTTCACAGGATATAAGATAAACATTCAAAACCAATTGTATTTCTATAGAATATCAATGAATGCATGAATACCAATATTAAAAATACAGTACCATTTAGAACGGCTCAACATACTAAATACATATAAGAAAATCTATTGAAACATGCACAGGGCTTGGGTGCTGCAGGGTATACCATGTTCCTGGACAGGAAGACTCAACATAATAAAAAAATGTCAAGTCTCTCCAAATTGACAAAGTCTTACACAATTCCTATCAAAATTTCAGCAAGTTTTTTTTTAAAGATACAAGCAAGATTATTCTAAACTTACATAGAAATGTAGATGAGATAGAACAGCTAAAACAATATGAATCAGTCTACTGATTTCCAGATGTACTATACAGCTACTGTATCAGGGGCATGTGTTTTGGCAGAGGGACAGATAGATAGCTCAATTGAATAGAACGGAAAACACAGAAATAGACCCATACAAACAGGCCTAACTGACTTTGGACAAAGGTGCAAAAGAAGTTTATTGCAGGAAGAGTGGCCTTTTCCACAAATGGTGCTGGAGAAATTGTGAATATATAGGAAAAAAAGTAAACCTCAACCCAATCCTCACACTTTATATTAAAAAAATCATAAATTAAAATGCAAACTGTAAAATTATAGAAAAAAGTACAGAAGAATATCTTCAGGGTCTAGTCCTAGGCAAAGTGTTCTTGAACTTGACACCAGAAGCATAATCCACAACAGAAAAAAATGATAAACTGGACTTCATAAAAGTAGATCACTTTTGCTCTCTAAAAGATAAGCTACAGACAGGAGAAAATATTTGCAAACCCTATCTGAAGAAGGACTAGTACCTACAATATATAAAAATTGTCAAGACTCAACAGTGAGGAAAAAAAAGTGAGAAAAGAAAATGGAGAACAAAAAGGAAGAGACATTTCATTGAACAGGATATACAGTTGGCAAATAGACCCATAAAAAGATGTTCAACATCATTAGCCGTTTGGAAATGCAAAGTAAAACCACCACACGCCTATTAGAATGGTGATATGGCTTTGCTCTGTGTCTGCACCTAAATCTCATTAATGATGTTGAACATTTTTTCATATGTTTCTTGGCCATTTGTATATCTTCTTTTGAGAATTGTCCATTCATGTCCTTAGCCCACTTTTTGAAGGGATTATTTGTTTTTTTTTCTTGCTAATTTGTTTGAGTTTGTTGTAAATTCTGGATATTAGTCCTTTGTTAGATGTATAGACTGTGAAGATTTTTCTCCTATTCTGTGGGTTGTCTGTTTACTCTGCTGACTGTTCCTTTTGCCACGCAAAAGCTCTTTGGTTTAATTAAGTCTCAGCTATTTATCTTTGTTTTTATTGCATTTGCTTTTGGGTTCTTGGTCATAAAATCCTTGCCTAAGTCAATGTCTAGCAGGGTTTTTCCAACGTTATCTTCCAGAATTTTTATAGTTTCAGGTCTTAGATTTAAGTCCTTGATCCATCTTGAGTTGATTTTTGTATATGGTGAGAGATGAGAATCCAGTTTCATTCTCCTACACGTGGCTTGCCAATTATCCTAGCACAATTTGTTGAATAGTGTGTCCATTCCCCACTTTATGTTTTTATTTGCTTTGTCAAAGATCAGTTGCCTGTAAGTATTTGGGTTTATTTCTGGGTTCTCTATTCTGTTTCCTTGATCTGTATGACTATTTTTATACCAGTACCATGCTGTTTTGGTGACTATGGCCTTACAGTATAGTTTGAAATCAGGTAATGTGATAGGTCCAGATTATTTATTTATTTATTTTTGCTTAGTCTTGCTTTGGCTATGCAGGCTCTTTTTTGGTTCCATATGAATTTAGGATTGTTTTTTCTAGTTCTGCGAAGAATGATGGTAGTATTTTGATTGGAATTGCATTGAATTTGTAGATTGCTTTTGGCTGTATGGTCATTTTTACAATATTGATTCTACCCATCCATGAGCATGGGATGTGTTTCCATTTGTTTGTGTCATCTATGATTTCTTTCAGCTGTGTTTTGTAGTTTTCCTTGTAGAGGTCTTTCACCCTCCTTGGTTAGGTATATTCCTAAATATTTTATTTTATTTTATTTTATTTTATTTTATTTTATTTTATTTTATTTTTTTGCAGCTATTGTAAAAGGGATTGAGTTATTGATTTGATTCTCATCTTGGTCGCTGCTGTTGGTATATAGAAGAGCTACTGATTTGTGTACATCAATTTTGGAAACAGAAACTTTGCTAAATTATTTTATCAGTTCTAGGAGCTTTCTGGAAGAGTCTTTAGGGTTTTAGGTAAATAACCATATCGTCAGCAAACAGCAACAGTTTGATTTCCTCTTTACCGACTTGGATGCCTTTTATTTCTTTCTCTCGTCTGATTGCTCTGGGGAGGACTTCCAGTTCTATGTCGAAGAGAAGGGGTGAGGGTGGGCATCCTTGATTTTACAAGTTCATAGGTGGAAGGGACTTGACTTGTCTCAGATGAGGCTTTGAACTTGGACTTTTATGTTAATGCTGGAATGACTTAAGACGTTGGGGGATTGTTGGAAAGGCATGATTGGCTTTCAAATGTATAAAAGACATAAGATTTGGGAGGGGCCAGAGGTGGAATGATATGGTTTGGCTCTGTGACCCCACCCAGATCTCATCTTGAACTGTAATCCTTGTGTCAAGGGAAGGATATGTAATCCCCACATGTTCAGGGAGGGAAGAGATTGGATTATGGGGGTGGCTCTTCCATGCTATTCTCATGACAGTGAGTGATTCTCATGAGATCTGATGGTTTTATAAATGGTAGTTTACCCTGCACTCTCACACCCTCTCTGTCTTCTGCCACCATGTAAGACGTGCCTGCTTCCCCTTCTGCCATGATTGTAAGTTTCCTGAGGCCTCCTCAGCCATGCAGAACTGTAAGTCAATTAAACTTCTTTGTTTGCAAATTACCCAGTCTCAGGTAGTATCTTTATAGTGGTGTGAGAACAGACTAATACAAACAGAATGAAAAATGATGACAACACTAGATGCTGGCAAGAGTGGAGAAACTGGATCACTCACACGTCGCTGGAGGGGAAAGCTGCACAGACTCTCTGGAAAATGGTTGGCAGTTTCCTAGAAAACTAACCATGCAATTATCATACAACCCAGAGATTGCACTCCTGGCCATTTATCACAGAGAAATGAAAAAGCATATTCACATAAAACCTGTGCACAAATATTTATGGAAGCTTTGTTAATAACCCCAACTAAGAGTCAACCCAGATGCCCTTCATCAGGTGAATGGTTAAACTAACTGTGGTGCCTCCCTGCCACTGAGTGACAAAGAAGAGCAAGCTATTGATACATGCAAAAACCTGCATGAGTCTTCAGAGAATTATGCTAAGTGAGAATAAGCCAGTCCCAAAAGTTTACAGGGTGACATACTGTATGATTCCACTTGTATAAACTTCTTCAAGTGACAAAATCATTGAAATGGAGATTAGATGAGTTGCTGAGGGTTACAGAGAGGGCGAGGTGGGAAGAAAGTGGTTTAACTGTAAAAGGTCAACACGAGGATCCTTTTGTGGTGGAGGTGTTCTGAAGCTTGATCATACCAATGTCAGTGTCTTGGTTTGTGATGGTGTACTATAGTTCTGCAAGATATGACCACTGGGGAGAAACTGGATAAAGTGCACACACGGTCTCTCTGTGTTGTTTATACATATGAAACTACAATTATCTCAAATAAAAAGTTTAATTAGAACAAAAGCTTGTAGCACAGTGACGGGACAAAGGTCCAAAGTTTTGAGGTTCGGAAGTTTGCAGAGGTGTCCGTAGTTGGGTTTCTAAGGGGTAACAGGGTTACGTTCCCCAGGCAATGTCATAGACCAGATCTGGGATCACCATTAAATACTGGGAGTTCTAGGACGGAAAGCTAAATACAAGCCTCTGTGGAGCCCTGCGTTGAGCTGTGGTTCAGAGAAAGCTGCAGGCCTAAGGGAGAGGTGAATCCAGACGCATCATAGACCAGGAACTGAGACAAGCTACCTGTGATATCCCCAGCATCAGCACAGGGCAAGGACCCCAAGCATTTTGTGAGTTGGCTCTGGACTAGGGACCCAAGAAACAGCTGAAAAGGCACGGGACAGAGAGGAATGGGTTCAGAAGAGACGAAAAAGACAGAGAGAAACTAGAGTATTCCACTCAACCTGGGACTACCATACATGAAGAAAAGTAATGTAGAAAACAACCAGCATAGCCCCCAGAGCACAAATTCCCACCAGATGAAAGAAAAATAATACAACAATTCAGAAGGACCCAGAGAAATTAAGCAATAACAGGCTGAAATTAAATAATAACAGACATAAACAACAAATCAGGATGAGCTGTTACAAATTAATGATAGTCATTTAACTTCATAGATGGAATGTACTTCATAGATGGAATGTACTCTATCCTAGGCACAAACTAATAAACTTATGTTCTTCAGTTAGAACTCAAGAATTCACCAGAGTGCAGGGCAGACCCGCAAAATAAGCACATGGAAAGCAACTAAGAACACGCAGGGTCTTTATAGCAGCATGATTTATAATCCTTTGGGTATATACCCAGGTGGGGGGAGTGGGGAGGGATAGCATTAGGAGATATACCTAATGCTAAATGACGAGTTAATGGGTGCAGCACACCAAAATGGCACATGTATACATATGTAACAAACCTGCATGTTGTGCATATGTACCCTAAAACTTAAAGTATAATAATAATGAAATAAAAAAAAAAGAACATGCAGGGAGAGAATTTCCAATCTAGGTCAAAAAGGAATTCCAAAAGAAAAGAAAAGAACAAATCATGAAGAAGCAATATTTGGATGACTGGAAACTTTCCAGGATTGTAAAAAGACCTTAGTCCTCACACTGAAAATAAATGCACTCAGAAGACAAAGACGCTTAAATAAGAATGAGCTGACATCTAAAGACGTCATAACGAAACTGTAAAACATTAATAATAAAGAATAAAAACAGCATAAAGACTATGCACTATTTACCATATATCTGCAAAATACAACGTTTGAAAGCATAAATATAGAATAAAGAACTTAGCATCTTAGAAGCCACTAGTGAGAAAATAAGAGATTATCAAACGGAACAATAATTACAGCAAGCGCAAATAGTCAGCAACCAAAGATAGTGGAAGGTCAGGACAAAACGCCTTCAGAATTCTGGGGAGAGCAACACACAGCCTGGAGTTCTGCACCCAGAAATTCCAGTGATGGCTGAAGCCGGGCAGCAGCTGTTGCCTGCAGACAGGGCAAGGTCCAGACCGCCCCAACAACCCACACCTTTTTTCATGCAGTACGAGCCCTCCCTGGCTGCTGGGAGCATTTGCCGGCATGGCCCCTGGAGCAGACAGAGAAGCCGGGTCCAGAGCAGTTCAGTGACTGACCCATGCAGATGCAGGGAGGACCAGGGCATGAGGACCAGGGCGTGCGTGTGCTCGGGCCTGCACTGAGAAACCGTCGGTGTTGTAAGTGCAAAGTTGCGTTTCCTCTGCCTGTTTAGGGCTCTCCTCTGGAGTCCTCACCTAAGACTTCATGGACTCACCTCGGAATGCCTGTACTCTATGTAACAGGAGTTTTGAAAGCACAGAGGCCTTTGGTCTCAGAGATAGCGACTGCTGTCATTACCAACTTAGTGAGGGACTGACAGTGGAGGCGATGCCTGTTTGTTAAAGTCCTTGCCCTGAAGGTTCATCCTAGAGGCTCTCTGGGGGCTGGTTGTTGTCCCTGTTGGCTACATATCCTGAATTTAGTGACAGGACAGTCTCCTTGTTCAAATTTCCCATGTGGTTGCTGCTTTTTTCTTGGACAGATTTTCTGGGCATTGGTCGGTTTATCTTCATTTGCTTTTGAAACTTGGACTTGAACACAAAACCATTTGAGGCTCATGGGAGGCTGTCAGATCTAGGATTTCAGGAGAGGATGCTGAGTTTTAGTATTTTAAAATGCTGGCTGTTGACATTCAGCCCTGTTCATTAATTTCAGAAAACATGGAAAACTCCAATTCTCCTCCTGAAGACTATGATTGAAAATGCAGCTGAATGTGAAGTCAGCTACTTCTTGTCTGTATGGACTCAGGCACCTTGAGAACACTGAGCAACCAGAACTGGAAGAAACGGGAATACAAAGTGGGAGGAGTGGCCAGAAAGCAGGCAGAATCCACGACTCCCCGATTGTGCAGCCACCAACTGTTCCTAATGAAGAGGCGAAGATCATGTGTTTAGAATTTAAACAAAAACCAATCAAAAATAGCCATTGTGATTCTAGGACGCTTAATCATTCTTAGGACCAGTTTCCCTATGAAAAAGAAAACGGACTACAATGTCACACAGAAACTTTACAAATAACGAAACACCTGCACTGTGGGCTTTGTCGTTTTGGGGTGAACATTCTCTTATCATGGCAGGGTGGAAACAGAAAGCACTTCTCCACAAACCTCAAAATAATGTTTTAAACACGAATCAGGCTTGCCGCAAACACCCATTTAAACCATCAGCGAGCTGAGCTGTTTTACTTCTACACTTGTTTCCATATTTATTTGTTTCTACATTTGACACGAAGACTTTTTAGATATAAACTACCAATACGAAATGCTTCACCTTGGTGAGCTAGCCTGAGAACCTAGCCAGGGCTAGCATTTTCCGTGAGAAAATGTTTCCTAAATGACAAGCCACTGACATGCAAATCAATATTTGGAGCCCAATAGATTTGTAACTTGGAGATGGGTGTAACAATTTTGTTCCCGAAGTTGTTAACAGATGCAAAGAATGGAAACCATTTACTCGCCTGAAAAAAGGAACAGAAGAACTTAGTAATTAATTATTATTAATAGTTACTATTGCTTATAAATAAATATGCTTCCTTTTGGCACACATTTCTGGTGGCAGAGCTGTGAAGTCACAACTGAGGAGGCCAACTGGGCCTCTCTCTTCATTCCTACAATGAGTGCTGGGCAGGGAGACCTCCCCCACCCACCTGACCCTGGTTCCCTTAGGGAGACAGCCCAGAAAGTTGTTTCAAGGCTGTGGTGCGGTTTTTCTTTGTTTGTTTGTTTGTTTGTTTTGAGACAGAGTCATGCTCTATCACCCAGGCTGGAATGCAATGGTGCGACCTTGGCTCACTGCAGTCTTTGCCTCCTGGGTTCAAGCAATTCTGACTCAGCCTCCCAAGTAGCTGGGATTACAGACATGCACCACCAAGCCTGGCCAGCTGCGGTGTTCTCTTTGCAGCGAGCCAGGTAAGAAGTGAACCAGGGCTCCCTACTACTTGGCATCTAATGTGCCTGCGTCCATGCGGGCCGGGGCAGGTGCCGCGCCTCCTCTCACTCATTCCCAGCACCGGGTCAGCTGCTTCAACCCGAGCCCGTTGTCCTCCTGTTCTAAGGATGAAGACTTCCATCGTGTTTTCCTTCGGGGGGTTGGCTACCCCAGGGTGCACGGAGTGCGTAATCTTAAAGGCCAAACCTGAGCAGAAAGTGACTCGTGCCTGGACTTGATGAATAAGGGGCGAGGCCAAGTTCCCGGTGCCAGGAATTCGCAACTGGCCTTGGAATCCTCCCCCAGCTGGGAGAACGAGTCTCCATGAGATGACTCTAAAGGGAAGTCAATTAATCTCAAAGTGGGGAGGCAACGGCGAAACGGGAAAAGGCCAAGGCGGGGAGATCTGTCGCTTGACAGGAATCTACCATGGGACCCTCACTGCCCAGAAACGCTGTTAGGATGTGCATGTCTCTGTCTCCACTGCTCACTCCTGCGGGCCCCACGGGCCTGCGTGCGGCCTTCTGTGGTTTACCCTTTCCCTCTCTGCTCCTGTTCTTCCTGTCTGACCTCCCATCCCGACGACCCCCCAGCCTCTGTCACATCCACGGCCTCGAGCACAGGCTTTTCCTTCTTAATTCCCACCAAGGTCTAGACATTTACTACATCACTTTTCCCAGGAGTATTTTCATTTTAAAAGAGAACACACGCCGGGCACCGTGGCTCGTGCCTGTAATCCCAGCACTTTGGGAGGCCAAGGCAGGCGGATCACCTAAGGTCTGGAGTTCCAGACCAGCCTCGCCAACGTGGCGAAACCCCGTTTTTACTAAAGAGACAAAAAAATAGCCGGGTGTGGTGGCAGATGCCTGTAATCCCAGCTACTCGGGAGGCTGAGGCAGGAGAATCGCTTGAACCCAGGAGGCAGAGGTTGCAGTGAGCCAAGATCCCACCATTGCACTCCAGCCTGGGCGACAGGGCTAAGACTCCGTCTCACAAAAAAAAAAAAGAACACAGAATGAACGAAGGCAAACTTACCTCAAAGGAACGGATCGGAAATAGTGGAATGTTAAGACTCAGTGGGTGAGTTTTGAAAGGGAAGCCCCTCATTGCCTGCAGGCCTTATATTGCTCCAAGGGCCCAGAAGTTGGTTTTTGCCTCTCCCTGGTGGCCATCTTCCCACCACACAGCAGTTTCTGTGGCACATATGAGCCTAGAAAATACCTTCGGCTTCCAGGTCATCATCCTGAGCCAAGCATGTTTCTCCCATGATGCCACCAGTATGCACATGGGCCGCCCATTTAGGAGTTCAGAGTTTGATCCATTCCTCTGTGGGCGGTCAAGTGCCCCTTCAGCAGTGCGTTCTCTGCCTGTCTCTGGCAGCGTTCGCAGAGGGCTCCCCAGCTGTTCAGGCAGTGGCCCCGCAGTTACTCTCCAGTCTCCTGTGCCAAGCTCGGCCTCCCAACACTGCGCTCTGGATGCTGCCCAGAGAAGCCCGGCTCCAGGATGACCCATCACAGTGACGTCAGCAGCACCATGCCTTGTGTTGAGCCCATCCCCTGAGAGCACTTTCCTACGATCCTCTCATTGGGTCCCATCTGACCCTCCCCAATGCCGACAGGTACCTGTGATATGCGGGAAGAGAATTCTTATCCTGGTTCTACCAAGAAGAAAAACAGGGCACAAAGGCTGTGGCCTGCCAACGTCACAGTCAGGGACGTGTTCCACCAGTGTGGCATTAGGGCTGTTTCTCTGGCACGGTCCACCACCCGGCCACTGCACCCGGCCGCAGTAGTCCACCCCCATGCATCCTGTCTGAATTAAAACAAACTAATGCCATTAGATTTGCTAAACTGAGGTTCTGACTATTGGAAATTGAGACTGGAGAAGGGATTCCCGGCTGTGCAGGTGCACTTGAAGCACCGTCATGACGGAGGATCCTTCCAAGATTTCCCCCAAAACAGAAGACCAGCAACCTTGTCTCAGAGCTGCCCTAGAGTTCTCAGGGCCCCATTTGAGGAGGAGGGTGGAGTGGGGTGGCGAATAGGGAGGGCAGACACCTCCACTGCACTGCTGTCCTTATAAAGAAAGCAGCTTCCAGAAATCAAACATTGTTTAATCTCTTGCCGCCAAAATTCCCAATTGAAAAGAGAGAGTAGGCCGGCTGCTTAATATTTCTATGCATTCACTAAACAAAGGGTTGCCAGGCTGGGGATTCAGAATCAGGCAACACGGTCCCCACCTGCCTGGGATGACGACAGGTGACTCCATCATCCTCGGGTGCAGGTGGTGGGGAGAACTTCTACTGTTGGGCAGCACGGAAGTCCCCTTCGGGGCAGAGGGCACAAGAATGAGCACAGAGGCCACAGGTGAAGTCGGGAGAGCTAGTGACAAGCCCAGGCTCTGGACCAAAGCCATGCCTGCCTGGGGACAGAACTTCCCCACTCTTCCTGCAGCTGTAAGCAGGTCGCCTCCTTTCTTTCTGTCCCCAGGCTTTCACCTGTGGTAGAGGTGACGGCAGCACAGCCCGCTCCATGGAGCTTTGCTGTCGACCACACACATGACCTTGGAGGGCACCATCAGCAGCCTGAGTCCCTAACATCAGACAGAAGCACCCCCGCAGCCCTCCAGCACTGCACAGCACACACCAGCCATGGTCCTCTCTCTTCAGCCTCGCTCACACCTCTTTCAGGTTGCTAACCATGGCCTAATTGCTGAGAACACTTTTCTGGCATCTCCTCTGCCCCCCAGAAAATGCCGTGGTGTTTCTGTCCATGCAGAAGGGAGAGGCCGGGATCTGCTGAATGAAATTCACCAAGTCCCACTGAGAAGCTCCGCACGGATGGGAGCTTTCAGTCCTTTCCTTTTCCAGGATTACCAGTCCCGTAAAGAAACAGGTGTTGCGAGAGGCTGCTGCCCGAGCTGGGAGGAGAGCTTTGGTCTGCCTGCCTCTGAGCTTGGACAATCCCTGGGAGGGCCGTCTTTTCTCGGGGCCTGGTGGGCAGGTCTGTGTTCCAGGGCTCTTGAGGGTGTTAGAGTTGCCCCACAAATCAAAAAACCATGCCTGATCCCACTGACAACAGCCTCTCCACAGTGACCAGCAGATGCCAGGGCCATCCTGGCCCCAGGGAGCTGAGCACCAAAGGGTCAGGACCCAGCATGTCTGAGGGACGGGGTGGACGCAGAGGTGGGGAGGATGCAGCCGTCAGCAGACACTTGCCCACAACCACTGCTGGAATCGGGACCCCGGACCCGGTGGGGGACTCAGGACAGCACAAGGAGGTGGGGGCGGGGGCGGGCGAGGTGCAGAGGGCTCGGGAGGAACTGGAAGACGTCAGAAGGAATGGCGATGCCACGGCCAGGCCCTGCCTCCTTTCTGGCCGTCTGGCCGGTGTCGCGCTCTCTGAGTCCTGAGGCCCAGGGAGGGCATGGCCTGGTTTTCCCAAGAAACTAAAGGGCCATATTCAGTGCGGATTTCTTCCAGCTTCTTCCTCAAACAGCGCGGCGCAGAGAGGGACCTCCCACTTCCCACGTTCTGGGGCCAACAGAAAGGAATCCATGGAAAGGCTGCATGTTAGAGTCTCGTCTTATTCACCAGTAAGTGGACGTGACCTTAGCTTATCATGGGCGACCTCTCACGCCAATGCTTGAGGTCCGTGACAAGGAAACTCGCCCTCACCAAGCTCACACACAGCCGTTGCATGGAGAAGAGGCCAAATAGTGGGGGGCCCTGGGATGGTTTTCCTGACACATGAAACTCCTGTGACAATAAGTGTGGCTGAACATGGCAGAGGTCGTGAACCGGGGAGACCGGGGCTTCATCCCACACCTGCCTCCGCCTGTGTGTCCTGCCCAGGAGCCGTGTTGACCCAGGGCACTGGGGCAGTGGGAGCCAGGGTGTGGGGGCGTTTCCCACGAGTGCTCTCTGCTCTGATTCTTGTGAGTGGTCTTGGAGCCCTGGGGCCCTGAACAGTTTGGCGTGGAAACAGTGGCATCTGATAATTTCTTAATTCAGGAAAATACACCGCTTGGTACTGAACAGTCTACACCTAAATGCCCCACTGTCTAGGACTTGGCAATCCTAAAAAAGTTACTGGTGGAGGCAAAATCCCAGAGGCCCAGACACTCAGGCCATAGCTGTGTTAAAGACTTAATGTAGAGGGTGTGTGCAGCCAGGCGGCAGCGCTGACGAGCAACGGCTGCGTGTGAGCTCGGAGGACAACACGCGGACCCCTCTCCACGCAACGGCTGCGTGTGAGCTCGGCGGGCAACACGCGGACCCCTCTCCACGCAACAGCTGCGTGTGAGCTCGGCGGACAGGGACCTGATGCTCTCCTGGTGCTCCGTGTGACACCCGTTTCCCTGTGGGAGACATCTGGATGGATGTGACCCGGAGGTTGGTTGCCATGGCTCCTGAGGCCGTCAGTTTCCACAGTACCACTCCTGGGAGGCGGAGGGAGATGGCGGGTCCTTCTGGGGTGGCTTCTCCTTTGATTGCATAAAAAGTCCACAGACATGGGAGCTGCAGAGGGCTAAGGCCACCCAAGAAGGAGTGAGCCACAGCCACGTGGAGCGACCACGCAGGCAATGCATGCTGGGTGCCCCAGATGCCAGCCAGAAGGGCATCCATGGCCGCTTCCTCTCTCAGGGTGGGTCCTGGCCGTGTCACCTGAGGATGAGGTGAGGGGTGAGGCTGGGCACACCAACCCAAAGTGACCAGGGTGGCTTCAGCAGGACACACAGGCTAAAAATGATGCCAAACAGTGGGGGGCCCTGGGATGGCTTTCCTGACACCTGAAACTCCTGTGACAAGAAGTGTGGCTGAACACGGCAGAGGTCGTGAACGTGGACTCCAGGGAGGAGCCTCGTGTAGGGGGAGGACATGGAGCTGGCGACGGCCTTTCTTCAGCTCACCGTGGCCCACCTGAGTGCACGCCTGTTTCACTAATGAACGCAGACTTCCCTCCAAAGCCACGGACATGCTGACGTTGTGGGTAGCATGGCGAGAAGGCGGATCGGAAGTCACACGCGGCCACAAGGGGCCTGGCTGCAGCCCTCCTCCTAGAGACGTCTCCCTGTGTGCTGCTGACTCGTTCACGGATTCCAGGGGTCCATGGAATCATGAAATACAGAAGCACCTTCCCCCTGTGGTCTCTGTGGACGGATCCGATCTCTTCCAGCCTCTGCGTCCCACCTGCTGATGATGAGATAGTGCACCCTCATGCAGGAAGCTCATCCTCCCAGCAACCAAGCCCCGTGTCCACCAGGATGTCAGTCCTCCGGGAGAAAAGCGCCCACCCTGCTTGTTCACCCCTGTCTGTCCTGGATCTTGACAGCTCCGGGGACCTATGCCAGGCTCTCTATATATCCCATGAAACAAATGAGTGAGTGGATGACCCAGGGAGCAAGCAGGGCCGTGCTGTACCTAGGAGTGCAGACCGCCCCTCACCTAAAGAACTCTTCTTGAGCCCAGTAATTCAAAACAGGCTCCAGACTCAGCCTCGGTGGGGGCTGTCCCCTTTCTTTTGAGTTTGGCTGCTCAGGCCTTCAGTTTTACGTGGGGTTCTCTTCTGCACTGGACCAAGACCAGGCACAGATTTCTGGCAAGGCTCTGACTCACGCAGGTGTTGACGGAAGGGTCCGGTCCCACCACCCTGCGGGCCACGCCGCCGTGCATCGCCTCCAGTTGTCCCTGCTGTCCCGCCGACTCCTCGCCACCCTTGACCTGTCCCCGTCCTCCTGGGCCCCTGGCTCTCTCCCCCTCAGCTACTGCCTGAGCCCAGCTTCCTTCACTTGCCTTTGCTGGCTTTCCAAGCACGGCAGGCGTGATCCAAATCAGGAGGAAGCACCAGCACCAGGTTTCCACACGAAAATGAGTACAAGGAATTGAGTGACATAAGCAATTGATGAAATGGGGCTGGAGGGAAACCGTGAAATGGCTTCTGCAAGAAGGAAAGGTGTGGGGTGATGAGAATCCAGAGGAGGATGAGGATCTGGGCAGAGCTGGACTCAGGCCATGGAGCAGTGGCCTGCCACAGGGGCCGGGATGACTAAACCCCACCACACAAGCGGGGTGGCTCCTGCTGCAGGTGGAGGCACTTCCCAGGTGAGGCTGCAGGACAGAGGGCACACAGCCCTTCCTCCCCTGGACTGGGGCGTCACTAGCACCCGTCTGGCAGCTCCTCACAGGGGCCCTGCTGGCCAAGGGGGCCCAGCCTGGCATCACAGGGTAGAGTCTAGAAAGAGGCATGCAGCTGAGGGGCGCCTTCTGCACCCGCCTCGCTGGTTTTGTCATCTCATCTGGAGCAGGTGCTTCTGAGGGCCTGCCTGGGTGCTTTAGGGCCTTCTCTTGGCAGAGCTGAGGGACAGATGGTCCCACGTGGACAGACGGTCCCATGTGCACAGACGGCTTTGCTTCCTTGGCTTTCTCCGGGGACCAGTGCTCTTCCTCAGCAGGTGCACAGGCACCTGGAGTTGTGGAGGCTCCACACACCGGGCAGTCCTCCATCAGTGTGGGAGGAAATGAAGGTGCCGGCTCCCCCGACCATTCCTTGGCATGGCTTTCACACAGCGCCTCTGAGGGCTTCCTGCAGGATGGGGCCCCCATCTCCCTTCCCCATCCCACTATCCCCACCCCTCCACTTGGGTCTCATGACATCAACTTCCAAAAACCCATCTGCACCCAAGCCCTTCCCTCAGGCTTGCTTTGCAGGAAACCCACACCAAGAGTTCGCCCTGCTGGCCAGTGGCCCCTCTACAGTGGCTCAGTATCACCAGCAGACTTGGGAGCAATGGCCCCGTCCAGGGTCTTCCCAACAGCGCACTGCTTGCTAGACTCATTGGGAAATTTTGAAGTTCATGAGTTCCGTGAACTTACTGACTTTCCTTTCTCACATAAGCCATGTAAAGTTTTTATTCTGAATCCAGCCCCGTTTCTGCTGTTGTCTCCCAAGTAACCGTGGCATTTGGTCATGTCTGACAACGCGTCACATCAGGGGGAGAGTGAGCAGCCGGGGAGCAGAACAGTGCAAGTGGGACACGTGAAGAAGCGCCTCGCCATCTCTGCATCTCCCGGGGAGCAGATCAGAGCAGGTGGGACACGTGAAGAAGCGCCTCGCCATCTCTGTATCTCCCGGGGAGCAGATCAGAGCAGGTGGGACACGTGAAGAAGCGCCTCGCCATCTCTGTATCTCCCTCCCCGCCTCCCACCTTGATCTTTTCCTCCCTATACATCCCACCCCTGCCCCTTACAGGGATCACTGTCCACAGGTGGCAGTGTGTATTTTCACTTGTTCTGCAACGACTCTTGGTCAAGATTTCAGGATGCCTTTTAGAGGAAAGGGGCTATATCTATAAATGTATGCTCACATAAAATACAAAATGTAAACCACCTGAGTCCAGGTTACACGTGTCTCTGGCATAACAACTCCTTGCCTTTCTTCACACAATAGTTTTGCAATCCACAAGGTGTCTCGTCCATTTAGTGAAAATCGTTGTGTGCACCAGAAGCCTTTTACTCATCAAAGATAAAATAGATGAAAGCACCACTTCTTTCAGAGCCTGATGCTTTATTGGAGAAACGCGATCCTTCTTTAAGTTTACTGCATCTTCATAGAGATGTGTTAGTGAGAACTGGATGCTAGGAGAAGCACGGCCAGAGGCAGCTGTAATAGAATTTGTTTGGGCCCAGAAAGGGGCACTAACAGCCCTCCTCGCTGAGCTGAACAAGTGGGTCTGCACTAATGAATTTCAGGTCCAGGCACCAGGCTTGAGTGGCAAAGGTTGCTGTTCATTGACGTCAGGCACCTGGCAAGTGTGAAGAGTGAAATGAGAAATGAGGTTTCAACCTGGAGGGAAACAGGAGGAGGGGAGACTCAGAGGGCCGCACTCCAATGGCAGGAAGGGACGTGGTCTCAGCAACTCCCCAGACCAGAGCAAGGATGAGCAGGCGGAAATTCGAAACAGGTTCTGGCTGGGTGTGAGGATACTCCAGCAGCTGGAGCTGCCTAGAAATGGAATTGCAGGATCTCAAGTAGTGGCTGTCTAGAGTGGCCCCTTGATTTCACATGGACTGGACTCCAAGTCACACCTTGACTAGCCCATGAAGTCCCTCCTACCTTGAATAACATCTAAGTCTGTTGGGTCTCCCATCTCCAATCTGACCTTCTTCAACCTTATCAGTTTCTGCTTAGCATCTTATTCCATCCTAAGAGCTTGGAAGATGATTATATGTTTATTGTTTTAGTAGTACTTGAGTTTCATAGTAATTTTTAAAATTACGGGACTGTTATCCTTTTTTAAAAATTTAAATAGGGACACATTTGTTTCCTCCTATTTTTCAATGTCACATCCAAATCTCCTTGAAATCTCAAAACAACTACTGGGCTTAATAGTGTTCCAAAGCTTAGGGTGTATTGGATTATATTTTCCTAACATCCCAGGGCAAACCTTACATAAAAATACACATTAATTTGCTTTAGAGGTTACATGTATTTTGAGCCCTTGCACCATAGCCACAAGGAATTTGAAGGACCAGTGTTTGAGATAGAGACCTTCTTGAACATTTTCTAAAATGTTTGTGTCTCTTTCCCTTAATAAAAGAATCCAGTGAAGAGGACTACAACTTTAAGAACATTGCCAAATCACAAGGGCCACATTAGGACTACAAATATTAGTTGACCAGGACTAGATTTTGGAAAAAGAAGGTTTAGATGTTGTGTAGTCATCTGGTATAGAATATTTTGCTTGTCTTTCAATATTTGCCATTTCCCTTTTATTTCAAGTAGGGTACAAGAAAAATAGAGAAACTTGGCTAATTAGTTGCTTGGGTTTATTGGTCTCTTATCATGGAAATTCTTCTCTATACACAAGAAGATAGCTTTTATTTTCAAAGATGAAGATAGACGTCATCATCTGAGTGTGCTGAAGCGGATCAGGGGCCCATGCCGACCGTGGCTGGTTACATATCCATCTATCCATCCATAGCGCCCACTGGCTTTGCAACATTGGCTGCCAAGTGACCAGGACAAGCCCCAAGTGTTGCTGTTCCATCCTTTCTGGTTGCTTTTTTTTTTTTTAAACCCTTTCTTCCAGCAGTAATGACTTGCATCAGCTGCCCCATGTCCTTCAGTTCTAGAAAATGCCTGATAGCAGTCATATCTACCTTGTTCTGAGCACACAGCATTGCGTTCCTTATTTGGAGCATTTGTATGTTAGGCCTTCAGTCAAAAAAAGGCTTGGTTGGAGAAATTCAGGCATCAGACAGCAAAAAAGAAGAGGAACTCATTCAGCACGGGAGGGTGAACATCACGGGTGTCCCTGAAATCACACTGTCTCTGCAAATCTGTTTTGGGGACTCCCTCGTCAGGCCTCTGCAGCATTCCAATAATAGTCTCCATTTCCTGCTGGCTGAGGATCCAGCTCCCAACTGCAAGGTCACTTTTTGAAGTTGAGTTTCATCTCCACTGTGATGAATAGATGTGTTAGAATGAACAGAACGTTCCGTCCCGCCACTAAAGATAAAGCATATAGATAGCAGTTTTAAAGGCTAAAGAGCAGAGACCCTACCAACAAAGACATTTTGTTTGCTTTAATTGTGGCTATTTTAATGCATATTGGTGGCTCAAATCTATAAAGACTGCATGAGATAATGCAACTGTGCTGAAAAAACGCACAAAAAAACTTTCCAGCTTTATAAATTAGAGACATTAATCAAATTAAAAGAGCCTTGAGAAGGCTCTCAGTGGGATTCTATCCAAGTGGCCAACCAGCTCCTGGTCTTTTTGATGGCAGAATGCCGAACCCTTCTTTGCCACAGACACGCTGGTTTCCGGGGCTGCTCACCCAGGGACTGGCTCTGCAGAGCTGCTGCAGTGGTGTGGAACCAATGCTAACGACTAATAGTTGCAATCATATTAATAATGCTAATCTGAGTAGGTTCAAGATTAAAAGGCAGCTGTCGTGACGTTTAATTTTCTTCTGATAATGGATTTGACTTTCAGAAATAGTCAAGAGTTGTAAACTAATGAAGATAAAATATTTTTTCTCTTCCCAGTATGGTAGAAGAAAATGCAAACTCATTGTCTTATTGTTTTATCGGATTGCTCATGGGGTGTGTGATGTTTTCAGGCCTTTATTGACTATGCATTTTTTTGTGTGAGTAAATTGTCTGTTTATGTCTTTTGTCTATTTTTAGTGACTCATAATGTCCTTGATCTATAAAGGCTGTTCCTCTTTTGTCACATATATTTCATCTGCTTAACCAGTTTTGTATGCTGTTTTCTTTCTTCAAAATAAAATATATCTTTTTTGTCTTCATGAACCATAAAAAGTATCCATGTTCACTGCAAATAAAGAAAAAAGAGAATACAAACAATACATACAAAATAGGAGGAGGAGAGTTAACATCACCCAAAATTACATTACAGCACCACAGAAAACCACAGTTAACATGTTTGTGAAAATTTTCCCAGACATTTTGTGTGAATTAGAATATTATACAAAGGCATTTTACTGTATGTACTTTATTATGTAACTTTTTATTCACTAAAGTATGTATCATGGATCTTTTGGCCAATACCAATGAATATAGACATATATCATCATATTTGGATACTACCTATTATTCCAGTCTAAATAAGTACTAAATCACTAACTTTATTATTTTTGGACTTTTGTTTCCAGTTTTGGCTATATTATAAACAATGAATAGACAACTTTGAACATACATTTTTAAATACATTTTTTGGTAATCTCTTACAGATAAATCTTAGACATGGACTTGCTGGGTTAAGGCCGAGCTGCGTTCCTTCTGGAGGCCCTCGGCTCTGGCCAGCGTCCAGAGGCGGCCTGAGTTCCACGGCTCACGGCCTCTTCCTCTGTCTTCAAAGCTAGCTGTGGAGCATCTTCAGATCACGTGCTCTCCTCTTACTCTCTCTCTCTCTCTCTCTCTTTCTCTCTGTTTCTCTCCACCCACATTTTCGTCACCACGTCTCTGACACTTTCGCCTCCCTCTTACAAAGCACCTGTGATTACACTGGACCTATCCAGATAATCCAGTGTCATCTCCATTTCAGGACCCTTAGCCACACCTGCACAGTCCCCTTTGCTGTGGAAGATCACTCATCACAGGTTTGGGGCTTGGCTGTCTTGTGGTGCTGATGCAGAGGTGGCATGACTCTACCTGCCATGCTGGTCATGGCCACCATCATGGCCCTCAGCGTTGGACCTATCTTATTTTCATAAAATGATTATTCCAGATGAAGCCTTTTCTCAAGGTTTAACAACATCAAAAACATATATATGACTGGGGTCTGGCTGAACTGCATACATTTAAAATTAAGTATGGTGGTGTATTAACCTCAAGAGCCACGAGTTGAATTCATCAGGTCCTTCAGTTTGTGTCACAGTCTCATCACTGGCTCCCGCGGGGCCCACTTCCTGTCTCATTTATTCCTCTACTCAATGCCTTTATTCCCTTTCACCATCCTCTGGAATAGACAACCATCCTAAGTGTGCCTTTTGGTTTACATGTGCTTCTTAAAAAGAGCATCGTGTGTGTGCCTGTGTGTGCACATGAATGCTGTGGGCATGTGCGTGTGTGTGCGTGTTCTGTTTTGCCAGAGATCTTATTCAGCTTCTTACTCTTTTCACCCAGGATTATATTTTAAGACGGTCTTTGTTGCTGTCAATATCGTCGCGAAACACCACGTATCGTGCATCCGCCACACACCCCAGCGAAGAACCACCAGATGTGTTTCGCCTTTATTTTCTATTTTTACTACTGGGAATTGGATCTTTTTCCTATTCTATTTTCAAACTAGTTGTTTTTATTCTACAGGTAAGCTCTCATTTTTGTGTTTATTTTATATTTTTAGCTGATATAATTCTGAGTTTTTGAAAAATATTTGTTTCAGTTATGAGAAAGAATAATTGCATCTCCTGCTTTCTGTGTTACTTTTTTAGGACTGCCATAATGAGTCCCATAAGCTGGATGGCTCTAACACGGTGTTTCAGAGGCGGCAAGCCCGGGGTGAAGGTGTTGGCAGGGTTGGTTCCCTCTGTGGACGGGGAGGGAGGGTCTGCTCCAGGCCTCTCTCCAGCGTCTGCTGGTGGCCGGGTCGTGGGCATCTCTTGGCTCGCAGAAGCATCGCCCCTGTCTCTGCCTTTATCTTCAGGTGGTGCTCTCCCTGTGTGTCTCTGTGTCCAAATTTCCCCTTTGTATAAGAACACCCATCATACTGGATCAAGGCCACTTTCAAAATCTCATTTTTAATGGATCATTCACAAAGACACTATTTCCCCATAAAGTTGCATTCTGAGGTATGGGTTGAGGATTTCAACATGTGAATCTGGGGGTGATGTATTCCAGCCCATACTACTTTCCAGTGTTCATAACTCTAATTTGTTTTCTTATTTCATTGCTTTGTCTTGGACATTAAGAATAATTGTTAATGACATTTGCTACAGCAACTATCTGTGTATCCCCTTGGAGAGTGATGGGCCTACCTCACCTTAAAGGGTGGTATTAGATATAGCTTGAGAGAGACCTATTCCATACATGAGATTTCTAGTTTATTCAGAGGCTTTTCTTTTCATTTTAATCAGGAATGGATTTTTTAAACCAATGTGTTTTCAATATTTACTGAGTTTATGATTTATATTTTGTCATAGATTGAACTGTATTAACACATAACCTAAAATAAAAACAATATTATAAGAATTAAATATAACTTGGGCTTTATGTGTACTCTTTCATTTTAATGCTAAATTAATGTTTACTCGTATTTTACTCAAGATTTTTTTCATTTACATTGAAAAGTAAACTTGTCTGTAAGACTTAGTATGTATGCTTTCTTTTTACAGTTCGTTTCTTAAGTATTTTTATTATGTACCCCAAAATGTGCTAAGCAATGTTGAATGTGCAAAGTAATATTGAATATTATTTAATCTTCATAACAACATCATTTGTAAGCACTATTTTCCTCTTCATTTTATAGGTAAAAAATTAAAAGGTGAAATTACTTGCTGAAGAACACACAGGTGGTTAATGCAATGCTCTTTTATTCTTGTTTGGATTTACTTTTTTTTTTTTTAATAGACAGGGTCTCACTCTGTCACCCAGGCTGGAGTGCAGTGGCACGATCTCAGATCATTGCAACCTCCGCCTTCTGGGTTCAAGCGATTCTTGTGCCTCAGCCTCCTGAGTAGCTGGGATTACAGGCCCACGCCACCATGCCCGGCTAATTTTTGTATTTTTGGTAGAGATGGGGTTTCACCATGTTGGCCAGGCTGGTCTCAAACTCCTGACCTCAAGTGATCTGACCACCTCGGCCTCCCAAAGTGCTGGGATTACAGGCATGAGCCACTGTACGTGACTGGATTTACCAAGGTTTTTTTTTTTAATCTTCCTCCCCCTTTCTTTCTCCATTCTTTCTGTTCTTCTTTCTTTCTTTCATTATTCCATTCTAATCTTTCTTTCCTTCCTTCCTTCCTTCTTCCTTCTATTCTTTCTTCCTTATCTTTTCTGTTCTTAAACTCTTTATTTCATTACGATTTTCTTTCTTTTTTCCTTCTCTCCCCACAAGTGTCCCTTATTTTTTTCTTTAAAGAACCAACTCATGTTTTTTTAACCAATGTTATTGTATCTCTTTTCTTACTCAGCAATTTCCAATTTTATTTTGAAATTTAATTATTTAATTTTGAAGCTGAATAGAGACTTCACCACTGGTGGCAGTGATATCCCCGGCATGGTTTTGGGGTGAAATTATTAAAACTTTCACTGGTAATGAACTGGGATGAGATTCCAGTAAAGGGCAGTGCACTGGGGGTGTGGCCTCTTTCGGGCTTCACGGAGGAAGGGGTAAGTGTGAATTATGACTGTGGTAGCAGACGGCTGTTGCTTTGGAGAAAGACAAAGCAGGGATGGGGTGATGAATCACCGCCTTCAGGGGAAGCATGGGATTCAAGGGACTCCTGAGCATGTATAATGAACACTTCATCTCCTACATTTGGAAGAGAGAAAAAGCCGTGATAAAAGCTGAGGAGTTAAAAATAAGTGCAGCCGAGCTCTGAGAAGTTCAGATACTCTGCTAGGACCAGTGTCATAGGCTAGTGGCATGCCCTGATTGGAAAGGAGAGAGCCCATAAGACTTAGAAGGAAGGCGCTGGTCCATGCACTGTAATTTCAAGTCCTCCTGAGCCTTCTGGGCCTGCAGATGTGGTCCAATGCTCCCTGACAAGACAGGGAGCTTCAAGACAAGGAAGAAAACTTTGCTTTGCAAGACACGACTCCCTTCCTTTCTCATCCCTCAGGATTTACTCCAGTCTCCTCTGCTGGACATCAAGGAGTATATCCCAAAGGAACTGCAGGATGTAGCAAGGAGAGTATTATGGGATTAGATTCAGGGGTGCTAGTTCAAAGGAAACTAACTATAAAGTGAGTAAGAGAGGGCTTACTGATATGGGGACATTAATGGGACACGGGATGGCCCTGGCAATAACCCAAGGGGATGATATTAAGCTCTTGGTAACTTTATAAGGGTGATGGTTCATACAAAAAGAATCAGTAACAGGTGTACACAGAAGCTCAGGGAAGTGTACACACTAGCGTGTATTCACAGGCACATCTGCTTTCATTGCACTTTGCTTTATTGTGCTTTGCAGATACTGCATTTTTTTTTTTCAGATGAAAGGTTTGCGGCAACCTGAGTTGAGCAAGTCCATCGGTGGAATGTTACCAACAGCATGTGCCCACTTCACGTCTCTGTTTCACATTTTGGTAATTTTCACAATATTTTAACTTTTTCATTATTATTGTCTCTGTTATGATGATCCATCAGTGCTCTTTGATGTGACTGCTGTGATTGTTTGGGAGCACCACAAACCATACGCATAGAAGATGGTGAACTTTGTTCATGAATGTTGTGTGTTCTGACTGCTTTACTGACTGGCCGTTCCCCTGTCTCTCCCCCTCTTTTCAGGGCTTCCTATTTCCTGGGATGCAGCAAAATTTAAACTAGGCCAATTAATAACTCTACAATAGCCTGTGAGTGAAAGGAAGAGTCACAAGTCTCTCACTTTCAATCAAAAGCTAGAAATGATTGTGCTTCCAGATAGGCTGAAAGCTCTGCCTCTTGTGCCAAATAATTAGTCAAGTTGTGAATGCAAAGAAAAAGTTCTTGGAAAAAATTAAAAGTGCTACTCCAGTGAACACATGGATAATAAGAAAGAGAAACAACCTTATTGTTGATATGGAGAAAGATTAAATGGTCCCGATAGAATATCAAACTAGCCACAACATTCCCTTATGCCATCAGGCTTTGAATTAGAGCAAGGCCCTAACTCTCTTCAATTCCTTGGAGGCTAAGATTGGTGAGGAAGCTGCAGAAGAAAAGTTTAAAGTAAGCAGAGGTTGGTTCATGAGGTTTAACATAACATAACATATATAACATAACATAACATAACATATATAACATAACATAACAGTACAAGGTGAAGTAGCAAGTGCTGATGGAGAAGCTGCAGCAAGTTATCCAGGTACTCTAGCTAAGATCACTGATGAAGGAGGCTTCTCTAAATAATAGATTTCTCAATGTAGATGAGACAGCCTTCTATTGGAAGAAGATGCCATCTAGAACGTTCCTAGCTAGAAAGGAGAAGTCAGTGCCTGGCTTCAAAGCTTCAAAGGACAGGCTGACTCTCTTGTGAGGGGCTAATGCAGCTGGTGACATCAAGTTAAAGCCAATGCTCATTTAACGTTCCCAAAACCCGAAGGCCCTTATGGATTATGATAGACCTACACTACCTGTGCTCTGTAACTGGAACAACAAAGCTGGATGACAGCACATATGTTTACAGCGTGATTTACTGAATATTTTAATCCCATTGTTGAGACTTGGTATTCAGAAAAAAGATTCCTTTCCAAATATTACCTCCCATTGACAATCCACCTGGTCACCCAATATCTCTGCTGGAGATGTATGAGATTAATATTTTTATGCCTGCTAACACAACATTCATTCTGCAGCCCATGGGTCAAGGAATAATTCCGACTTTCAAGTCTTATTACTTAAGAAATACATTTTGTGAGGTCATCTGCCATAGATAGTGATTCCTCTGATGGATCTGGGAAAAGTAAATTGAAAACCTTCTGGAAAGGGTTCGTCATTCTGGATGCCACTAAGAACATTTGTGATTCATGAGTGGAGGCCAAAATACTAACATTCGCAGGAGTTTGGAAGAAGTGGATTCCAGCTCTCATGAATGACTTTGAGGAGTTCAAAACTCCAGTGGAAGAAGTCACTGCAAATGTGGTAGAAATAGCAAGAGAACTAGAACTAGAAGTGGAGCCTGAAGATGGGACTGAGTTGCCACAATCTCATGATCAAACTGGAAAGAATGAGTTGATTTTTATGGATGAGCGAAGACAGGAGTTTCTTGAGACTGGCTCTACTCCTGGTGAAGAGGCAGTGAAGGTTGCTGAAATGACAACAAAGGGTTTAGAATATTACATAATTTTAGTTGATAAAGAAGGGGAGGTGTGAGAGGATTAAGTCTAATTTTGAAAGTTCTGTGGTGGGTAAAATGCTATCAAATCGAATTGCATGCTACAGACAAACCTTTGTGAAAGAAGAGTCGATCGATACAGCAAACCTCATTGTTGTCTCATTTTACAAAGTTGCCACAGCCATCCCAGCCTTCAGCAACCACCACCCTGATCAGTCAGCAGCCATCAACATCGAGGCAAGACCCTCCACCAGTAACAAGATCACAATTTGCTGAAGGCATTAGCGTTTTTTAGCAAAAGTTTTATTTGTTTGTTTGTTTTGTTTGTTTGTTTGAGACAGAGTTTCGTTCTTGTTGCCCAGGCTGGAGTGCAATGGTGCAATCTTGGCTCACCGCAACCTCTGCCTCTCTGGTTCAAGCAATTCTCCTGCCTTAGCATCCCGAGTAGCTGGGATTACAGGCATGCACCATCACGCCCGGCTATTTTTTGTATTTTTTAGTAGAGACAGGGTTTCTCCATGTTGGTCAGGGTGGTCTTGAACTCCCGACATCAGGTGATCCACCCACCTTGGCCTCCCAAAATGTTGGGATTACAGGCGTGAGCCACTGCACCTGGCCTCAAGTATTTTTAATTAAGTTACACATGTTGGTTTTTTAACACATAACACTCTTGCATACATAAAAGATGTAAGAGGGGTTGGGTGTGGTGGCTCACGCCTGCAATCCCAACACTTTGGGAGGCCAAGGTGGACAGATCACAAGGTCAAGAGATCAAGACCATCCTAGCTAACACGGTAAAACCCCGTCTCTACTAAAAATACAAAAAAATTAGCCAGGCGTGGTGGTGGGCACCTGTAGTCCCAGCTACTCGGGAGGCTGAGGCAGAATGGTGTGAACCCGGGAGACGGAGCTTACAGTGAGCCGAGATGGTGCCACTGCACTCCAACCAAAAAAAAAAAAAAAAGATGTAAGAGTATGGAGTAAATGTAGCTTTTATATGCTTTGGGAAACCAAAAACATCCATGTGACTTGCTTTGTGACATTTGCTCTGTTGCAGTGGTCTGGAACTGAACCTGCAATATTCCAAAGTATGCCTGTGCTTCATAAGGGTAGAAAGTCAACTGGCCAACTCTGTCTTGCACAAGGACATGGAGGGCAAACATTCCATTCGCCAGAATACTGACAACTATGCTGGGGAAGGGACTCTGTCCAAGAGGGTCAAGGGTGATCATCAGCCACGGTTAGTCAGGGTTTCCTAGAGAAGCAGAACCAACAGAACACATATATAAAGAGAAGAAAGAAATTATTATAAGGAATTGCCTCACAAAAATATGGAGGCTGACAAGTTCTGAGATCGCAGTCAGCAAGCTGGAGACCCAAGAGAGCCGATGGCGTGGCTCCAGTTTGAAAGCTGGAGGCTCCAGTGCCTGGAAGAGCTCATTTTTCACTTTGGGTCTGAAGGCTGGAGAACAACCCATGTCCCAGCTCAAGCAGTCAGGTGGGAGGAGCGCCCACTCACTTGTGGAAGGGTTGGCCTTTCGTTCTATTCACACCTTCAAGGGATCAGATATGGCCCACCACATTCAGGAAGGCATCTGCTTTCCCCAGTTCCCCACTCAAATGTTAACTTCATCCCAAACAGCCTCAGACACAACCAGGACAATGTTTGACCCAGCGTCTGGGCACCCCATGGCCTAGCCAAGTTACATAAAGTTAACCATTGCAAGTGACTGTCCTTGTAGGCAGGGATGACAGTGGGAGATGCCATGGCAGAACTGAGAGTGGGGAGAGGCTGGTGTGGGTGGCATTTCCCCATCAGCAGGGTGGGTGCTATCATGGGATGGGGCATCATCAAGGGTCACCGGCCCAGAGCGCCCTCCCCAAACTATGGAGACGGTCAGTAAAACATGGTGTTCCTGAGGCACAACAGATGGGCGGCCAGCATGGGTATGCTTTCACCTATCAAAAGAAATCAATGACAAAATAGATCAGGAGGAACGGGGCAGGCATCCCAATACAACGTTATATTACTGCCCAGTTTCCCAGACCGGGGACCCACCCATGAACACAGAGGCAGGGTCTTCAGAAGGGAGGGTGGGAAGCACTGTGGTGCCACAGGGACATCATGTGCCACACAGGGGTGTGCTGGGCAATGGCAGGCGGCATGTGCCATGGTGGGCTCTTGAGATTATCATACGTATTTTTAGTATAACTTTTCTCTGTTTGGATATGTTTAGATACACTTACACTTACCATTTTGAGTTACAATAGCCTACAGCATGCAGTGCAGATACAGGCTGTGCAGGTTTGTGGCCCAGGAGCAACAGGCCATACCATCCAGCCTACACGCGTAGTAGGCTACAGCATCCAGGTGTGTTATTACACTCTATGGTGTTCACACAATGGTGGCATCACCTAACGACGCATTTCTCAGGATGTGTCACCATCGTAAAGCAGTACATGGCAGACATGGTGAGAATTCTTCAGGAATTTCCTCAAAGGAACCTGGAGCCATTCACTCTGGTAACCAGAGGCTGGGAAAAGGCGAGTGCACAAACATTTGGAGAACGTTAGACGCAGGGTCTGATCCGACCTGGATACCAGGTTCTCAAAGTGCTATCACGGCCCAGTGTGGGAGGGGAACATTTGGGGACCGGAGAGTCAATGGAGTCAGGCCTGGTTTCAGCTCACATTGGATCCACTGGACCCACAGCCCTACTTAGAGATCAACTCTCTGGTCCTTGAATATGTAATTGGATACATGAATGTGGTAGTCAGAAAACCCCACACATTGGTGATTTCGTCGGTGCGTAAAAGCCTAGTAGAAGCTTATGAAATTGCTCTCACTCCTGCCAAGAGAGAGAGTCAAAAACAACAGCATGACCCCGTGGACCCCGGGGCGGGGATGGCAGAGGCCAACAACATCCTTCAAGACTTCAAGAATGCAGGGAATAGCCCCCATCATGTTCCATTCAAGTCATCAGTTTGGCCCCTGCAAAACCAGATGGATGCTGGTGGATGGCAGATGACTGCAAACTCAGCCCCGGTTGCAGCTGTGCCTCACGGGCATCTATGCTAGGGCAGGTCAGCACAGCTTCAGGTGCCGCTCTGCAACCGGTGTACACACGCATCCTGTTTCATGCTCAGGATTTCAGGCTGCACTTGCTCGCCGTTCCTCCGCTCCATGTGGTGTTGGCTGAGGTCTCGCCGCAGGTTGAAGTTGATGACAGCTCAAAGCTCCCAGATGACTTCACCCACGCGTGGTGCTCTGTTGAGGTCGATGCTCCACGTTCTAGCTCAGGAGGCTTCCTGACGAGAGAATCCCGCCAGTGAGCTTTCCAAGTTGCAAAAGCCGAAGTTGCAGACCTCTTAAGGCCCAGACCCAGAAGCCACACAGCGGCACTTCCACCACATCTGTCCGTCAGAGCAGCACAGAGCCAGCCCCAACCCACGGGGAGGGAAAGCGGAGTCCACCGTGGATGGGGCAGTGGTGCTGGCACATTGCAGAGAAACAGGAGACGAGCGCACAGAGCTAGCCCTAACGCACGGGGAGGGAAAGCAGAGTCCACCGTGGACGGGGCAGTGTCGCAGCCACTCAATCCACCACAGCAGCGTTTTCAATGTCCTTATAACACAGGTAGAGTCTGTAATGGCAACTTTATTTTTATTTATTTATTTTTTTTTTTGAGATGGAGTTTTGCTCTTGTTGCCCAGGCTGGAGTGCAATGGCATAATCTCAGCTCACTGCAACCTCCGTCTCCCAGATTCAAGCAATTCTCCTGTCTCAGCCTCCTAAGTAGCTGGAATTACAGGTGCCCCCCACCACATGGAACTAATTTTTGTATTTTTAGTAGACACAGGGTTTCATCATATTGGTCAGGTTGGTCTCAAACTCCTGACCTCAGGTGACCTGCCCACCTAGGCCTCCCAAGGTGTTGGGATTACAGGCATAAACCACCGCGCCCAGTGTAATGGCAACTTTAATTGAAATTTTGATTCATTTATGTTTTATTTTAATTTCAGGGTTGTAAAGAAGTCTGTATTTTAATTTCAAAGGTTAAAATTTTTGAGTGTGAACAGCTTAATTTATTTCTCCTCCCTTCTTTCCTACCTTTTCTTCTTTTCTCTTCTTGTGTCTGTATGTTGTGACTATAGAATACAACCCATATACATTCTGCTTTTGCCAACTTGAGATGTAATTTATAGCATAATACATGGTGCATTTTAGCCAATTTTCAATGGACATTAAAAACAGTTGCAGCCCGGATGCAGTGGCTCCAGCTGTAATCCCACCACTTTAGGAGGCCGAGGTAGGTGGATTGCTTGAGCCCAGGAATTTGAGACCAGCCCGAGAAACACAGCGAGACCTTGTCTCTACAAAAAAAAAAAAAAAAAATGATCTGATACATGGCATGTGCCTGTAGTCCCAGCTACTTCAGCAACTCAGGTCGGAGGATTACATGAGCCCAGGAGATGAAAGCTACAGGGAACTGTGATCACACCACTGCACTCCAGCCTGAGTGACAGAGACATTGTGTGGGGAAAAAAAGTTATATTTTCTCTAAGGTAGTCATTTTTATATGAAATCATTCTAATTTCTTTGTTCATTCCCTCTATACCTTTGTTTAAAATTTGCTTGAATGATCTGTTAAGCCAGGCAGAAGTACTAAATATTGAGTCTCCTACCACATTCAGTTTCTGTACGTCCCTTAAATCGCCAACATTAATTTATCTATTTAAAGACAGCATAACTTAATACTTAAACGTTTATAGCAATTACATATCTCTGATGTGAATGGTGCCCTTTATAATCTGTAATTATCCTCTCTGTCCTTGAGTGATTCTCGCTGTGCTGCCTCCGAGCCTCAGGTTAACCCTGTGGTCTCCTCTTCCCTCCGTGCACGCACCCAGTACACTTTTTGGATCCCTTTCTGTCACTTTATTGTATGTGCTTGTAAAGAGCATATAGCTGGGTTTGGGTATACAGCTCAATCCAGGAGCTGCGATCTAACTGAAAGCTGAGAGTGAGCTTACGCCGGACCGGTGCCCTGCCTGCTGGGCCCTTTCTGCAAGGACCGGTGCCCTTTCTGCAAGGACCCAGAAAGCCTGTCTGCAGGCGCAGCCCGGAGCCACCCTCACACCAGGGAGCCCCAGGGCTGCTCCGCCCACAAGCCAAGCTGAAAGGAGAGGGCCGGAAACATAGCTCCTTATTGCCACACTGCCTTGGGACCTCCATCCCTGATGATACAAGAGAGGGACCACAAATTCGGAATTATGCAGCTCAGGAGCCCACGTGCAAGGGTCAGGTCTCCCTCCTGGAGCTGCATATCTGGTTCTGCTAGTTCTCTGCCGACTGTCCTGGAATGAAGGGGCCTGGAGAGCTGCTGCTCCTGATTTGACGGGTTTCCTCAAGGACGTGGCTGCAGCAGATGGACTGTGGCTGCTCGCGCATGAACCCTGATTGGCCCAACGCTCATCCACTTAGGATTCACCTGATCCTCTCAGCCATCTTCTGCCAGGCAAGGCATTCTCTCCCGGACACAGGGCCCCCTTGGCTGCCTGGAGCTTGCTGACAATCTCATCGATCCAGAGCACAACCCGGATCAAGCAGTAATTGGGAGTAAAGGCAGCTGTGGAGCCAAAATGATGCGGGCCCGGCGTAGGGGTCACGCACTCCACCGGGCCTGAGGGGTGCGGAGAACGGCACAAAGTCCGGAGCCCTCACAGGGACTTACAGGCTCCGCGGGGCTCCACCCTCACTGCTTCTGACTTCCCCTCGCCTCCATGTGGCCCCGCAGGTCTTATTCAGGTTTCCAGCTCCCCAGGCTTGCTTCCCTTTCGGCCTTCGCATTCGTGCTTCTCTGACGAATGTCCCTGCCCCTGGCTGGCCGCGCGGCTTCCTTCTCATCACTCAGGGCTCACCCTGCAGTCGGGGTCCTCAGCTGTGCTGCCCAGGCCGCGCCATCAAACGTGGCCTGCCCTTGCCTTCTGCCAAGTCACCTGACTTCATTCTCCGTGTGGGACCTCCCTGGCCCTGTCTCCTTTGTTTATCTGCTTTCTCAGGCATGTTCTGACCCTGGCCTCCCCCACTAGAGTGGAAGACGGAAGGACGCGCAGCTGTTGCCATCAGACGGGCGAACACACGGGGCTTCGCTTGTCAAGCGCGCATTTCTTCCCACGCTGTGCTCCCGGGGTGGTTCGGCAGGGCCCTGTCCCACCGCTGACACGGGCTCTGCCACTTTGGGTGGCACCATCTGAGACACAGGTCTCTGCATTCCCCTCGGGGGAAGAGAGAGAACGGAGAACCCTTGCTGGGCTTCACTTCCTCAGCCGGGAGTGAGCGCGCTTGCCTTTCACCCCTGTTTCATGGGCTGGAGCGCCCTGGGAAGGGCCTGGGAAGGGAAGGGAAGGACATGCTTGGTGGGCACTGCCATCTCTGTCTTCCAAGTCACCTCTCTGGTGCCAGTACCCACCATGGTGCTTGGCACAATTAGAGGCTCCATAAAAAGATTTGGATTGAGGGGAGGAAGAAAGGACACCAGCTCTGCCTTCGAGACGCCCATCGTGGACTGAGCGACGTGGGCACGTGTGAGTGTGACGTACAGGGTGGCCTGCGGGTGTCTGAGGAGCGTGGCAGAGGAGGGAGCGCCGCGCGGAGGCCCCTGAGAGGAGAAACAGCTCACCTGGAGACATGGGTGAAGTACACAAACACAGGGCGGCACAGGCTCTGCACGGCTTGGAATTTTGCACACCAAGCTACGGTGCACACCTGTCATTTCAGAGATGACATTCCGAAGAAAGAGCGTGATATGGTATGGCTTCAGTGTGAAAGATCTTTCTAGCAGCTGTATGCTGATGGAGTGGTTCAAGAAGGTGGGGGACGCGGTGGAAAGAAAGCAGACCAGTGGGTTGGTGACGGCCATGGTTCCAACAAGTAGAGAAGAGCACAGTGAATGCATGGAGGAGGCAAACCACAGCTCACAGTGGTGGCTGGCGTGGCTGTTGGGCTCTGGTTTGCATCGTGAAGGAGCAGTCCCCAAAACGCAGGGCAGGTCACAGTCTTGCACCAATGACGTTTCTACGCTGTACTCTCAGAGGATCCCTCAAAGCCCTGGCCAAGCTTCCTGCTGCGGTGGATGCCAGGGTAAGGGGCTGGTTGGTCCTCTGGTTTCTACACTCAGCAGAAATATGTCCATCTAGTATGCTCAGGTTTTTTAACAAGGAATAAAGGACTAAACTCTGCCTCTGCTACGTCCAGTGATTCATTCTCTAGAGCTCCAGATAACTGAGTTCTTACCATATAAACTTTGGGTCATTTGAAAATAATCCACTGTTGCTTTACAGCTATAACTCCAAGCTCATCACTTGAAATTAACATTCTCTCCCACATTCTCTATGTGTGGGAACCGCTGGAACCCACTTGGCAGACAAGGCACCAAGCCCAGATGCCCATTTCTAGGACGGTGAGTAACCACAAGTCTGACCTGGGCATCAGGGTGCACAGTGTCCTCAGGCAGCAAAGCCGGCTGCACTGCTACGGGACTACTCTGGGAGGGTCTGAGGACTGTCACCATAATTCTCTTCAAGATCCCAGTTCCTTCTCTGGCTCATTCCCTGCTACGAAAAGTGTGGAGCAAAGCCACATCGCAACAGTCAACTGGTGAAGGTGGGTATCCAACATGTTCAGGGAATGGTTTGATCAACTATTCTTATTTATAAGGAGGTCTAGTACAAAGTGATTAGCAGTGGCAAAGAGAATAAAACACCCTCAAGATCTCCACGCGTAGTCACTGCACTGAAAATGCACCCTATCCACAAATCCCTGCATGACTTTCCATCTGGCACCATCTTTCCCTATTCCTAAATCCCAGGGTGGAGGCTGCTTGGGCCACTCAGAGTATTAGCAAATATTGCCTTACTTAAAGGTTTTCCTGTGTCCCCTTTCCTTGCATAATTTAATTTTAAGCCATCAGAAGTTAAAGACTATTTTATACTTTGTTTTACCAGGTATTTAAGTTCAGCTATTTCACCTGGGTCCCACTGTATGGAGACCACCAGGCTGAACTCTAGGGGAAAGTGAAGAGGGTTAGGTGAAGTCCATGATGCCAGCTAGTACAATGGGAGAGCAATGAGACAGTGCTTTTCCATCTCTACTGTCAGGCAGGGTGTATGTAGTAATCTTGAAATAAATAACAAAAGTCAAAGAAAATGATCCAGAATATAGAGGAGGAAGAGATGAATTTAGGGAAGAGAGCATCAGAGAAAGCTCCTATGAGAGGCCATGCTGAGCTAAGCCTGGAATAATGTTGGACAGCCAGGACCTGCACAGTCTTTCCATTTTGAAAAAACTGGAGTCCATGCTCTTCAGGGACCACTCCAGGTTCTCCATGACCTGGCCTCCCCAGACCTGGACACAGTGCTCTGTCCGTAATAAATCGGCTCCCTAACAGTTGTCTAATGTCACAGACAGGTTGCCCTGCAATGACTCACACAGTTTAGTACTTGTTTAGCCTGTGTATAAGACAACAGCATTAAAAATATCAATGACTAATGGGTTAGAGAAGCATAGATGGGTCAGATTAGAGTCTCTAGCTGATGAAAGGATATTTGGAAAGATCAGGTTTCAGACCTTACACAGACCATCTGCTGGAAATTAATGAGGTTGGCACCAGAAGTGCCACAGGAATCCTCCATATCCAGCCTTCTATCTTTCCATCCATCCATCCACGTATCCATCCATCTATTATCTATCTATCAGTGTATCTGTATATCCATCCATCCATCCATCCACTCATCCAACCATCTATTATCTATCAGTGTATCTGTATATCTATCTATCCATCCATCCATCCATCTATCCAACCATCCATCCAACCATCCATCCCTCCATCCAACCATCCATCCACCCATCCACTCATCCATCCATCTATTATCTATCAGTGCATCTGTATATCTGTCCATCCATCTGTCCATCCATCTCTCTCTGTATTTATCAATCTATCTGTTTATCTATGCATCCATCCAACTCTCTGTGTATCTATCTATCATCTATATCTGTGTATCTATCTGTGTATCTGTATAACTATCCATCCACCCATCTCTCTGTATCTATCTATTGATCTATCATCTATGTATCTTTCTAGGCCCCTCTCTCTTGCTAACTGAGTAAGACATTGCATATACATATGCACAGACATACACACATATGCATAAATCAAATAATAAAATACTAGACATTACATTGCAGTAATGCTAAGACACATTATTTCACATTTTGGTGTCTCTGAAATCAGAATATATCTCACAAGTAAAGACACAAAATAGTTTGACGGTGTTTTTCCTCTCTTAATGTTACCTTAAAAAATGAAGCATCTTACAATCAAAACCTTCTGAGACTCAATGGGATGGATATAAAGAACTTTGAAATAATCTAGAACAATCTCTTCATTGAAAGACCTTAAGTGACTTTACCAAAGTGAAAGCTCGGGGTCTTGAGTGGAGATCAGTTGATTTTTCCTCCATCTCACCATCTGCTCCTCCCATCACGTATTTTCTCATGGACACAAACATGCATATACACACACATGTACACCACACACACACAGACACACATACACCAGACACACACATATACACACACGTACACCAAACCCACGCACATACAAGACACACACACCAGACACACACAAGTACCCCAGACACACACAAGTACCCCAGACACACACAGACATACATACACCAGACACACACACCAGACACGCAACACACTCACACGTACGGCAGACACACACACATACCAGACACACACACATGCACACACACGTACAGAAGACACACACACCAGATGCACACACATGCACACACACACACACACACCAGACATGCACACAGGCACACATACACTGGACACACACACACCAGACACACACACATGCACACACATACACACATGTGCAGCAGACACACCAGACACACACACATACTGGACACACACACACATGTACACCAGACACACACAGCAGACACACGCACATGCACACACACACACCAGACAGCACCTAGATGCTTGTTATATATTATATATCATATTGTTATGTCATATTTTGCTTATTTAATGTTGGAATCTTACCCTCAGTATTGAATTTTTACAAAATAGTCTCCAAGAATATTGAATCTTAACCTGAATAAACTGTATCATATTGCCTTTCATAGCCAGAAATGTAAAGAAAGGCAGAGTTGGATGAAACACTCTCCACTTGTCCCTCCACCCCCCGGTCTTGGGTCTCCCATGCAAAATGTGGCATAGGCTGCTCAGGGGTCATTGGGAACCGCCCCAGGATCCCAGAGCTCCAAGGCAAACTCTGACCTCGCCAAGGGAAGAATGAGTTCTGCTGTCTTTTCTAACATTGTACAGAATGGAGATTTTTTTTTTTCTTGCTTCCTGGGCCATTCTCACTCAGTTTTGGGGACAACTTCCTATTGTTTGGACCCACCCCAGCTAATCTCCCTCTGGCCAGATGTGCTCCACTGTGGAAACATTTCTGGAATGAAATTAATTTGCGATTATAGCATTTACTATAGGGGCACCTCCTCGTTAATCCGGGCTAGTCCTTGTGGCTAAGATCCAACTCTCTGCTGTGCCTCAGCATTCAGCCTGGAGCCTTGAAGATGTGGGTGTTCAGTAAGGACCTGTCCAAAAAACCACCTGCTCGAACCTGTTCTCCCTTCTGGACCCAGGCTCTCTATTTTCGTGGTGGGTGATTAATAAATGGTGAATGAATGAGGGGTGATGGAAAGGAGGGGAGAGAGGCAGAGAGACAGGGAGAGAGAGAGAGAGGAACAGAGATGCACCAACCATCTCTGGAATGTCTGTAGACTAAGGCCATCCTAAGGACCTTCCTAAGGGCCTTAGAAAAACACACATATTTAGAAAATACAAGTTCTTTAATAAAGGACATGAATAAGCCCAGGGGAGTTGTACACTTATTGGAATGATACAGGTTCACTTTCTAGTTCCATGTGTAGAATTCTGGGATGGATGCCAATTAAACCATGCTTGCTGGAGCTGGGAGAAGCCCTACATTCTAGCAGCTTTTCCTCCAGGAAAGCGCGAGGCACTGGGCCTGAGCGTCCAGCTGAGGCAGGCACTGCTGACTTGGCTGAGCCGTCAGCCGGGCTCCCAGAGATTTGCGAAGGCCACTGCTCACTACATCCAAGGCATGCCAGATTAGCTAAGGGGGGCTTAACCTTACACTCCATCTTCCAACTTACAGAATTGAGTGGGGCTGAAGGTGGCAAGCCCGGAGGAAAGAAGGTACCTCCTAAGCATCTGGGACTCAAAAAGCACCCTTGGAAGGTGCTCCTGGACCCAGGGAGCGCTCTCCCCAGCAGAATCCTGCCTTTTCCAGGTGACACGTTCTGCAGTATTGTCATTTACAAGTCACCCTGTCCTAAAGCCCAACAAAGCCACTGATTGACCCAAGGTAATTAGCCGCTTCCTCAAGGAGCCGCTTCACGGCAGGGCAAAGGCTGGAATCCAGGCCCCCGCACCCCTCTCATCCCCCTCCCCAGGGATTCTCCCAAGGCACATTAAAAAGAAAAAGGCTGATGTCTTTCAGGATCTACCAAAAAGATAATGTGCAGTACACATTTCCCACGTTCGCACAAAATTTGGATTTTTGAAATAGAAATGTTTTTCTGCAACTATCCTCAGTTTTCTCATCTCATAAACAAGAGAAAACCTAAGGCCATCTGACACAGCCCAGGTGGATTTCCTCTTTACTCACCTACGCTCTGGTTTAATATGTTTCAAGGAAGGTTTTTCAGGCTACAGCATTTGCACCTGGGGGAATTATGGCTTTAACTTTCTTTGTAAAAAGAAGATCAAGAATTGTTGCCAAAATAAATTCTTTGCTATTCTTTTTTTGCCTCGGTTGTCTCCAAAAAGAAATTAGCAGTCACAGTCTCTCCCTCTACATTATCCTTAAAAAAATACCATTGTGTTTGCTCCAGAATTAAGGGGAGCGCAGGCCCGGCCGCTCCTTTCTTGTGGTTGTCTGCAGTGGAGCCCCCGGCTTTGTGCTAAGACAGGAGTCTCTCAAGCGTTTATTGAGTGATGTTCGAAGGCACCGGAATCTTCTCTTTCATTCTCCTCACAACCGACACGCAGGATTCACTCAGGAGGGATCAACTGGCCACAAAGCACACACACCAAGGCAAGACATGGCCTTCTAACCTTCCCTGGAGCTCTGTGGCCAGTAATACCCTTCCCCGCCAACACACCCAAAAGGTTGTACAAAACCAGTGGCATGTCTTCCTGCAGAAATCACCGGGTGGAGGAGGAGGATGCTTGCTTTTGGTCTCTGGTCCTCTAGTAGCTAGCACATTGACGTGCCTCCGTTTACCCATCTGTAAGATGGCGAAGGTAGTGATGACTGTGCTGGTAGAAAGCACCAGAAACTAAATCATCCCTAAAGTCTCACTGAGCTCCAAAATATCCTGATTGTTGGCTGGGTGCAGCGGTGACTCACCCCTGTAATCCCAGCACGTTGGGAGACCTAGGTGGGTGAATCACTTCAGGTCAGTGGTTTGAGACCAGCCTGGCAAGCATGGTCTCTACTAAAAATACAAAAATTAGCTGGGCATGGTGGTGGGTGCCTGTAATCCCAGCTACTCGGGAGGCTGAGGAAAGAGAATCACTTGAACCTGGGAGGTGGAGGTTGCAGTGAGCTGAGATCACATCACTGCACTCCAGCCTGGGCGACAGAACAAGACTCTGTCTCAAAAAAAAAAAGAAAAGAAAAGAAAAGAAAGTCTTAAAATATCCTGATTGTCCCTTAGAATTATCAGTGAAAAGAAGAGTGAGCCAGATGTGGTGGCTCACACGTGTAATCCCAGCACTTTGGGAGGCCAAGGCAGGCAGATTACCTGAGGTCAGGAGTTCAAGAACAGCCTGGCCTATATGGTGAAACCCATCTCTACTAAAAATACAAAAATTAGCTGGGCATGGTGGCAAACACCTGTAGTCCCAGCTACTCGGGAGGCTGAGGCAGGAGAATCGCTTGAACCCAGGAGGCTGAGTCTACAGTGAGCCGAGATGGCGCTACTGCACTTCAGCCTGGGGAACAGAGTGAGACTCTGTCTCAAAACTCCCACAAGTTAAAGTTGCTTTGAATCAGGAACCCAAAGACTGTGGCCTTCATCCTTTTGCTAATTGACATGCCAAAGGCCATATGCATTTTTCCTCCTTGGGCCTTAGTTTCTTTATCTGCAAAACAGAGTCCTGGGACCAGAAGACCTCTCTGTAAAGTCCAACCTGAAAACCATGACTCATCCCAAGAAAATAGTCACAATGTGTACTTTTAACACAGGGGAAGCCTGCCAGGGAAAATGAGGATGAAATTTTAGTGGACATGAATTTGAAAGGTGGGTGGAGTTGCCAAAGACCATTTCTAGAGCAAAGATTTTAGAGTGAGTCTAATGTGCTGTCTTTTCTTCTTTCAGGGCTGACCTCTGTCATGGCAGAAGAGGAGGCAGCCTGTATGTTGTAGTTTTATGGCACCAAGAAAACCCTTCTTGATCTGTTGCAGGGCAGGCTCTAAATTCCATCTGAGAATGCAAAGCCCCTTTGCCTGATGCTCTAATCCCCACGCAAACGCAAACCCTTCTGGAAGGCTGTAGTGGACATAGGCCTAACAGTTTATTTTCAGCTACTTTTACTTCCATCCCAACACAAATCAGATTTTTCCTCTGAGAAGGCTTGACAAGGGAGAGGCCAAGCCCGTCAGGACACAGAGGGATCTTTGAGAAGTAAGGAGTAGAGAGGCAGGGGCAGAACTCCAATTTCCTGCTCTCTCTCAGCTACAAGCAGGTGACCCTTCCACTTTTCATCTGGGACCCCTCCCCTGCTCCAATCCAGTCGTGATGTCACCAGCGTGGATGCCCCAGGGACTCCACAGGTTCAGATGCCCACCAGTTATCTTTCTGCTGCCGGAGCCCCCAAGCCTGTGTTCTCTCTTTTGGTCAAAAGCACAACATTTCTCAAGTGTTCAGAACGAGAAGCCAAGCTCTGAAGACCCCCCGGTGTCTCTCCCTCTGTCCCTACCACGGTGGTCTTCCACAAGGCTCCCTGCCCAGCTATCCCTCTACCGCCACCGTCTGTGGGGCTGCGGGACAGCCCTGTGGAAACAGGGGTGGGGGTCAGGTCTGCACCATGGGAGAAAGGCCGCCCACGGCAGTGCCATCTGCCTTCTCCCACCCACTGGTTCCCCAGTATGTACCCCCCACGGCAACACGGCACCCAGGTCCGTGTTTGCTTCAGTCCAATGCGAGTGCTGTGAGGGAAGTGTTTTCTGCTCTGTGCGATGACGGGCCCCACGTGCCTGGAGTCTCGCTGACACATAAGACTTCCTCAGCAGACATGTGTTGCTGCATAAATTTTACCCTTAAAAGAGCCAATATAAACAAAGAAATGGCAGGAGTCCCCACAAGAGGCTTCCTAGAGTTCACACACTACAGCACAGCACCAGTGTCTTGGCTCAATACTTAGCGCCTATTAAGACCTCTAGCTTCCCCTTCCAGCCACATTGTCCCAAACAGGCTGCCCCACCAGGGCTGGGACCTTTGTTTTGGCTGTCACTCCGTGGGAGTCCTGGCCCCTCATCTCATTCCCTATCCCAACAGTCCTACTGAGTCCTGCAGGATGTCCCCTTAGACCTACACACCCTCCTCCTCAAGGTCAGGAATGCCAGGTCCACAGCTCCAGCACTCAGAGAAGGCTAGGGAAGGGCGGCACGGATGCCTGGGAGGTGGGCTTGATTCTTGATTCTGCCCACTTAGGCCTGCTTGCAACCCAGTGGTGAGAGGTTCCAGCAGCATCGCTGGACGGCAAAGGGCCTCTGCTGTAACCACTCACACGGACGCACCTGTGTGGGAGCCCAGCTGAGCAACCCCAGCCCCTGCAGAGCAGAAGTTGCTTTTCTTGTATTTCAGCAGCAGGGGAAGTTTCAAAGGAAAAAGTTATGTATGTGGTTTCAGAAATAAAGCAATAAGATCACCGTGGGGGGAGGGGTGCCCAGGTGGGATGGGAGGGGACAGAGAAGAACAGGGAGGGCCTCGGCTGTCTGTTGGGGTCTGTGGAAGGGAAAGCATATTTACAGAAGCCACTGCATTTTCAAGGGAACAACTCCTGGCCAAAAGCACTCAAGAAACCAAAACAACAGGTAATTTAGAGACAAGCCAGGCCCCAGAAGTGGCTTCAAAGGCTGTTTGAACAAAGTGGTGAAGATTTCAAAGGCTGGTGGCAAGTGAAAGCCACTTGTTTTTTTGGGGCTCTTTTCACGGGCCCTCCCTGATGGCGATCATCACCTCTGTTGACTCGACTGCCTGCAGAGGCACAGGGGTGCTTGCAGCATCCAGCCTGCTCTGAGGACAGACCCAGGGAAGGTTTGAGGCTGATGGTCTGATGCCTTCCACAGGGGAAGTGGAACTGAGCACACCCCTCCCTGGGCCCGTTCTTCAGGGACCATCACCATGGACTCATTGCATCCTGTCTGTCTGTCACCCGGACCCCTCCTTCCTCCTGACCGGTGTGGGCTGGGCACCTTCTATGCACTCAGCATGGATCGAGGCACCAAGGATGCAAAGCTGTCCCTGAAACCAAACACCTGCCTGGGGTCTGCTCCGCAGGGACGCCTTCTGGGAGCCCTGGATGTCTCTATTCCACATGCAGAGGCTGCAGGACCCCACATGCAGGTGTCCCTGAAATGGGCTTCCTTCTGCAGCCGTGGGAGGAGAACCCAGCAGCGGGGACAGGAAATGGATTCATCGCTGAGCAGTCAAGGATGCTGATCTTCTGCCCCTGGTTCTGATCCTGACCCAAATTCCCTTGGGACCCCCAGAGTTGAGTTATGTGACTGTTTTTGGATGCATAAGAGGGGCTAAGACCACCAGCCAGGCCGTAGAGCACTCCGGGTGTAAAAACAGAACACGCTGCCACGGTGGCACAGCTGAATGGAGAATCAGAGGGAACCAGAGACATCCAGGGCCGGGGTGGGGGGAGCTGTAGCCCTAGAAATCAACAGTGCTGGGTAAGGCTGGAGAGCCAGGGACAGTAAATACCTGACCCCTCTCCTCTCTGCCAGGGCTTCCCATTGGCCAAACCTGGCTGGAAGCAGAGGGCTGGAAAGCCCAGGAGATGGGGTTCCCAGGGGTCTGTGTGCCATGGCTTGGGGTGCAGTGGGCCCAGGGAACACAGGAGGCAGTGGAGCCGGCTTCCTTAGGGTCCCATGCCTAAGCGTCTCCTGCATGCCCGCCTGGCCCCAGGCCTGCCTACCTCAGGTCCACCTGCAGCTCCCAGTCACTCCAGGTCTGCTCTCTGAGGCCCCCCTTCTGGCCACAAGACTGCTGGCCACCCTGGCATGAGGCTGACTGCAGACCTGGCTTCATGCTCCTTGCCTGCCGCTACCTCCACTCAGCATGTCCCCGCGAAGCTTCTGCTCGGTGGATGTTCAGGTCATCCAGGAATCAAACTCAGCCTGACACGGGGCATGTGGTGGCCGATTAGCAAACAGTCACTTGTTACTTAGAGGGCCGACACCAGCCAAGTCCTATGGCCTTGGGTAAGTCCAGCCAGATGGCAGGAGGGAGGCCTGGTGGCTCACAGTCAGCTCAAGGACAGAGCACGCTGCTCTTCAGGGCTGTCCCAGACCCCAGGCAAATTAGCACCTGCTGAGTCACTGTGAGTGTTGCAGGGCACACACCCACCCTAGGTGCCTCTAGGGAGTGTCTGTGACCCCTGAGGGGTGGGCAGGCTGGGAGCTGCCTACCGGCTGTCACTCAATGTTTAGACCAAATGAGACGGGGTCCCCTCCCACCTGGTCAGCCACAGATCACAATGAACCTGAGCGGTAGGACTGGGGTGGGCTGGGGAGGGGGCTCCTCACCACACACACCTCCCTGTTGTGCCATTGGCTTTATCATGCGTTTTTATGAGATTTGATTGAATTTTTTAAGTGGAGTTAAATAACGGTTCCATTACATGAGGCAGAGCTTCTCCTACACCAGACATTCCTCACACCCTACACCTCCAACTCCAAAATGCCTGTCCTGTCCATCAGAATGGAGCCTAATCATGGAGAATTGTGGAGCTTAATCATGGAGAACTGTGGAGTAGCTAGCATTCCCCCTGTGAAGAGTGTGCCTGTTTTCACGTTGCTAATAAAGACATACCCGAGACTGGGTAATTTCTAAAGGAAAGAGGTTTAATGGACTCACAGTTCCACATGGCTGGGGAGGCCCCACAATCGTGGTAGAAGGCAAAGGAGAAGCAAAGGCACCTCTTCCATGGCGGCAGGCAAGAGAGCGTGTGCAGGGGAACTCCAATTTTTAAAACCATCAGATCTCATGAGTCTTATTCCCTACCACGAGAACAGTATGGGGGAAACCACCCCTGTGATTCAATTATCTCCACCTGGCCCTGCCCTTGACATGTGGGGATTCTTACAATTCAAGGTGAGATTTGTGTGGGGACACAACGAAAACCATATCACCCCCTAACTTTTCAGGGACCTGGGGCCCCCTCTTAGCCTGCCTCTCCATGGGGTCCTGGGTGTCCCAGGCCACAGAAACCCATACCTTCCTTTCTCTGGCCCCTACCTCCCACCACGTGACCAACAAAACTACCACCGCACAGCCATGAGCTGCTAATGACATTTCCCTCTGCAATGGGCCACCTATGCCATGGTGGCCCCATAAGATTTCAACAGGATGAAAAGCTCCTATCACCCATCACAACGTCACAGTGCCACCCATTACTCACGCGTCTGCAGCGATGCTGGTGTAAACAAACCTCCTGCACGGACTTTTTATCATTATTTTAGAGAGAGTTCCTTCTAGGTCAACTGTAAAGCATCCCCGGCAGGTCCCTTCAGGAGGTGTTGAGAAGAAGGCATTGTTACCACGGGAGATGACAGTTCCACATTATGCCCCTGAAGACCTTCCAGTGGGACAGGACGTGGAGGTGGAAGACAGTGACGCTAAGAATCCTGACCCAGTATAGGCCTAGGCTAATGTGAATGCTTGTGTCTTCGTTTGAAACAAAAACATTTAAAAAGTAAAAAAAAAAAAAAAAAAAAAAATTCTAATAGGGAAAAAGGGCTACAGAATAAGAATATAAAGAAAGAAAATATTTTTGTACAGCAATACAATGTGTGTTTTCAGCTAAGTGTTATGATAAAATAGTCAAAAAGTTTGAAAAAGTTAAAAGTGTGTAAAGTAAAAAAGGTGCAGCAAGCTAAGGTTAATTTGCTATTAAATAAAGAAAATGCTGGCCGGGCGCGGTGGCTCATGCCTGTAATCCCAGCAGTTTGGGAGGCCGAGGCGGGTGGATCACGAGGTCAGGAGATCGAGACCATCCTGGCTAACATGGTGAAACCCCGTGTCTATTAAAAATACAAAAAATTAGCCGGGTGTGGTGGTGCATGCCTGTAGTCCCAGCTACTCAGGAGGCTGAGGCAGGAGAATCGCTTGAACCCGGGAAGCGGAGGTTGCTGTGAGCCGAGATTCCGCCATTGCACTCCAGCCTGGGTGACAGAGCAAGACTCCATCTCAAAAAAAAAAAAAAAAGAAAAGAAAAGAAAAGAAAAAAAGAGAATGTCTTAATCAGTGGGGTGCAGCCTAAGTGTAGAGTGCTATAAAGTCACTGTGGTATGCAGCCATGTCCCAGGCCTTCACATCTGCCCACCACTCACTCCCCGACTCACCCAGAGCAACTTCCAGGCCTGCGAGCTCCACTCATGGTGACGGCCCCACACAGGCGTCCCACTGTTTATCTTTCACGCGTGTTTTGACTGTACCTTTTCTGTGCAGATGTATTCAGATGAACAAATACTCAACGCTGTGTGACAGTTGCCTACTGTGCATGGTACGGTACCATGCTGTCCAGGTTTACTGTCTGGGAGCCGTGGGCTACACCCTCCGGCCCAGGCGTGCAGAGGCTATCTCATCCAGGTGTCCAGGTGTCTGTGAGAGCACTCTAGGAAGTTTGCATGACAACAAAATCGCCTAAAGATGCCTCTCTCAGAACACATCCCCATTGTTAAGTAATGCGGGCCAGTATTCCATTTTTGGGGGCACCTGCCCTGCCTCCAGTACGAGGAGGGAGGAATGTGAGGGTTCAGAGCTGTCTGGAAAGGGCCTTAGGGTGGGGGTGCATTTCCTCTTCTCCCTCAGTCCCCAGGCTGCATTCACTGCCTTTAGAAAATCCCAGACCAGAAGCCTCTATTCCCTGTGCTGGGGCAGCCACGCCTGCAAATCTGGGCTCCCTCTTTAGAAAATGAATTTACTTCAGCAGAGATTTCCTCAACACGTGCAGGGAATGCAATAGGGAGAGGAAGAGGACAGGGTAGGTGAGGACCCGGGGGTCTTTCCTTGGGCCGAACACTCTTCCTGACACCCCTGGGCAGCCTTCAGGGAGCGCGTCTTGCTTGTGAGGTCAGAGAAGCAGTCATCTCCCTTGGGATCAGCCTCCTGGGGGCCGATGCTTGGGCAGGTGCCGGGGCCCATCTTCTGCTGGCTGAGGTCTCACTCCACTCAGAGGCAGCCTCATTTGCTCTGATGTGGCTGCTTTTGAGGTGGGGAGCAGTCTACCCCGTCCTCACCAGCTTTCTTGAGATACAATTCACACACCACACAACTTATTGGTTTAAGATGTACAATTCAGCGGTTTCTAGAACATTCACAGAGTTATGCAGCCATCACCACAATCACCTTTTGAGCACTATCATCACCCCTGATAGAAACCCTGAGTCCATTCACAGTCTCTCGCAATCCTCGCAACCTCCCTGCTCCACTCCAGCCTGCGGCCCACTCATCCGCCTCCTGTCTCTTTGGATCTGCCTGTACTGGGCATTGCATGGAAGGGAACCATGCACTGCATGGCTTTCTGTGTGTGGCTCTGTCACTGCACATCAAGTTTTCAGGGCTCCCCAGCACTAGAGGCTGTGCTAGAGCTTCCTGCGTGGCTGCTTTTGGGAATACAGCTTTGATGGTGGTTCAAGGCCCTGGAGATTCTCTGAAGGGGCCCCTGGAGGAGGGGCCTGGTCTAGCAAGATCAGAGCCTGAGAGTGCTCCCTGGTGTCCTGGGGTGGGTGGGCTGACGGCCCCCAGGTGCGTGGCCCAAGGCACATGGTGTCATCCCCCCTCAACATGCTAACACAGATAGCATTTACCTGATTCGGAGCCTCAGGAAGGATAAAAGTGACAAGACAGGGAGAGTGTGGACAGAAGGGAGGAAAGGCCGGGTTGTGAGCCAGTCAGGTGTAGATACGCAGATAAGAGACAGGACTGAGATGCTCAAAAATAAATAAATACATAAAAGAATTGAATCCCTTTCCCAGCTGCGTGCTGTTTGCCTAGTGGAGCCAAGGAGGCAGGATGCAGCATCTTTTCGAGGCCGGGATGCTCCCTCCCCTCCTGCTCCAATCTTCAAGAATTCTCCATTCTCCTGAGCCTGAAACAACTTGGTACCCTTCAACTGGTTAACTCTTGAACTGTGTGATAGACGTTAAGCACTTTGGAAGGCAATGGAGTTAAGGCACAACGGACATGACACAGCAGTCCTGCAGCTACGGATCCACTTGCCACCCCCTTCTCCAGCCTCTCAGGTAGCACCGGGTGACCGGTCCCAGCGAACCTGGAAGGCCAGGAACCTTGGGAGCAGAGAGGAGATGTCACATGTGGGGAGAGAGATGGTGAGGCGAGGAAGCAAAATGCCTCACCAGGACCAGCCTCTGGGGAGCCCAAGGACCAGGCAAAGATCACTGTCAGCAAATGAAATAAACGTGAGAGGAATCACCAGTAGCAAAGCCATACCTAACAAAAGGGCAGATCTGAGCTCTCTCGGCCCAAGGTATTGCACTTTGGGACACCTAAGAAAAATAATACAAACTCTAATTGCAAAACCACATATGGAATGAATCTTCACTTAGAATGAGAAGAGAATACGACAAATTACAAGTTCTTAAAAGTTGACAAATGCAGCAGATGCTGCAGCATTTTTAAAAATGAGACTTTTACCTACCTACTCGGCAGCACACCTTCCTGACACTTCTTCCCGCGCTTTCCGCCCTCTTCGTGTGACAGTTTTGTAGAATCGGTTCTTCACATCTGGTGTCTATGGATTATACCGATTGGTTTTCTTTGTATCCCTCTCATCTACTGTCTTTGTTTCTTGTTTAAGAAGATCCTTACAACTTTCTTTTTCTCTTCCGTTGTTATTTTAATTGCCTTTCGTTTTTGGATACTGTGATTCTTCATTATTGAGACACTCAGAGTTTTTATTTGCTGTGGTGTAGAAGGGCTGATGGCATTTTGAAAGTCCAGCCTCCCATTTTTCACTTTATATTTGTGTCTTCCACTGGGATCATTGCTTCCTACTGTATTGTAATTGTGTAATGGTCAACATGAAATTTATAGGAAACAGAGGCACAGGTAAGAGTAGGTTGAGTGGATGTTAAAGTTGCCACTCTGCTTCCCTGAGCAACTTAACTGAGCATCAGACATCTTACTGAGTTATTTGTGAGTGTGTTTATAATTTTTGTCACTGGAGCGCTTATGTCTTCAAGCTGTGTCACTGTGTTGGTGGCCATTTTTCCTGCCATTTTGTTGGGAACAGGCAGAATGAGTCAAGACCAGAAGCACCGAGTGCGCTATGATGGAACAAGAGGAGTCAGATGGCTGAGAGGGCAGCTCCCCACACACCCACACTGTCTGGAGGCAGGCCACAGTTGCAGGGATTCTCATGCATTCTCGTTCTCACAATTTACATCGTCAGAGGGGTGTAGGCTGCATTAAATGTTCACACACTGCATGAGAAAGTATGTTCTCATCAAGAGGACACGAGCATGTTGACTGGGCATTCAGAGCAACCACGTGCTCTTCACGTGGCTCATGACTGGAAGAACTTCCCGTAGACTAGCTCCTGCTCCTGACACTCGAAACCGTTTCTCCTCCACTGCTGAGTATTCCTGGGGCAGATTCCAGAGGCACGTTCACACAGCTGCGGAACCTCTGGCCCGGAGAGGTATTTCTGGAAACCATTTATATACCTGGATGGGTAGCAGTAACACAGCCCCATACCCAGCTGGCTGTGAATCACAATATCTGTCTCATTAACCCAGATTACTGTATTTCCAGCTCAACTTTGCCTTAGCTGGACCCAAGGTATCGTGGCAAATCCAGCACCACAGAACATGAAGGCAAATGTGATAGAGAAAGACAGCAACTCAAATACATTGTGATTAACGCATCTTTCTTTTGCAAATGTTATAAAAATATAATTGTGTCAAAACATTGCTAGGGCTCCTTCCCCGGTTTTGCCGCCATTCCCGCTCTGGGCAAAGGCCACGTGATGCCGTGTCTCCACCTCCCGTTGCCCACCACATACCCCTCCTGTTCTTTCTCTGTCATTTCCCTCCTCTGTCTCTTCATTTTCCCACTGAGAAGAAGGTGCCACGAGGTATCTGAGAAGGGAAGAGGACCCACAAAACTGCACCAGGAGAAGCACAGAGTAGCAGTGCTGCCGAGGCTGAATTTTACACTCACGTCAATTCAGGTTTAACAGAATTTCAGTCTATTTGGAAACTTTAAAAAATGATCCCAACATACACTTTAATGACAAACGAGCAACAATAACAAAAAAATTCAAAAAATGGAGATGGTGGGTGAAATAGTTGGGATACTAATCCCACCAAAATCTCTAATAAAAAAACAAAAACAAATCCAAGACTGGTACTGCACTCAACAACTATTAACTGAGCTAAAAATATATTCAAGGAACAGAATAAACAGAACTAAATCACATCATGGGATATATAAAAATGGATTCTACAGTATAAAGGAAAGAAATGCATACACAATAAGATGTTGGGAAAATTCACCAAGGGAATGTCTCACAAATCCACCAGTGTGCTGGAACCAGAGTCAACTGTGCACCTCCCCTCCCTGCTCCACTGGCAGCGATAGCTTGGGAATAGGCCATCTGGGAGTATTTACACCACAGAAAGCAGCAAATGTTACACATCAAGGTTGTGTGGGTTTTTCCCCCTAGAGACAGTTGCTAAACAATTACCATCACACTATTGGTTGATACACACAAAACTTAATTTCAGAATAAGTGAAATTTAAGTGTGAACAGTAAGAATTTTGATGAGCTGGAAAGATGTAGATGGGTATTTAACCAAGCTCTACATGAAAGCGACGAAAGGGAACTCAGAGTGCAGGATGCACTGATTTCTCGCACCTGGGAACTAACAACGCATGGACATAAAATAGGAAACAAAATTCAAAACACATGACACACTGAGAAAACAATATATATGATAATAGATGGTTCATATTTATATCAATAAGTAATATACAACATCCTATTAGAAAATGAACAAAGACAAGGTAAACCAGAAAGAAATGAAAATTAAACAATAAATATCAAAAAATATTCCATCTCAGTAACAATAAAAGAAATGAAAATGAGGTGCTGATGTAATATGATTTTTTGAATCCAGTGGAAGCCACTCTGAAATGCTCCTATTCAATACTGGTGTGAGTAAAATTAAACTGATGCTTACAGAGTGCAGCTAGAGAAATCCCACGGCTGAGCAATTTGGCAATATGTGTCAAGTCTCAATAGTGTTTTACCTTTTGCTCCAATAGTTAGGAATCTATACTAAGGGAAAATCACTAGCTACACCAATACATAAGTAGAAGATATTTACTATAGCATTACTTATAATAGCAGTTAATGCAACATGATTTAAATGCCAAACGATAGAAATACACTTAAATAGACCAGGTGTGGCAGCTCACGCCTATAATCCCAGGACTTTGGGAGGCCAAGGCTGGCGGATCACCCGAGGTCAGGAGTTCAAGACCAGCCTGGCCGACATGGAGAAACCCCGTTTCTACTAAAAAATACAAAAATTAGCCAGGTGTGGTGGCACATGCCTGTAATCCCAGCTACTCAGGAGGCTGAGGCAGGAGAATCACTTGAATCTGGGAGGCAGAGGTTGCAGTGAGCAGAGATCGCACCACTGCACTCCAGCCTGGGCAACAAAAGCAAAACTTGGTCTCAAAAAAAAAAAAAAAGAAAAAGAAAAAGTAAAAGAAATACCCTTAAATAAATTATGGTGCTTGCATGGTTGAAATACTACCTTGCCATAAATGTCGTTTTTCAACTTGTAATAATGTATAGGAGAAAATTTGTGATGTAATTTAAGTTTTAATAAAGCACAATAATATATACTTCTTTAGTCACCTTACATAAACATACACAGAAGGCACACAGAAGAAAAGATCATATCAAAATTATGTTAACAATGTTAACCACCTCTGGATTAGAGATTTCAGGTGATGTGTGTTTTCTTTGTAAAATTGCATTATCAATATGTCAATAAAGTCCTAAGACAGAAGTTCTTATACATGGGACAAAAGACCAACTTGAGAATCTGATTGTGGTTCTAGGTCAGTGCCGTCTAATAGAAAATAATGCAAGCCATGTATGCAATTTTAGATTTTCTTTTTTTTGTTTTTTAATTTGAAACAGAGTCTTGCTCTGTTGCCTAGGCTGGAGTGCAATGGCACGATCTCAGCTTACTGCAACTTGCACCTCCCTGATTCAAGTGATTCTCCTGCCTCAGCCTCCCGAGTAGCTGTGATTACAGGCATGCACCACCATGCACCATGGCTAATTTTTGTATGTTTAGTAGAGACGGGGTTTCACTATGTTGGCCAAGCTAGTCTCAAACTCTTGACCTCAGGTGATCTGCCTACCTCAGCCTCCCAAAGTGCTGGGATTACAGGCGTGAGCCACCACTCCTGGCCCCTTTAGTTTTAGATTTTCTGGGAGACACACAAACAGTTAGAAAGAGGAACCAGGTGAGATTAATTTTAATAATATATTTTATTAATCCAGTATGTCTAAATATTATTTCAAATATAATAATTGTTTAAATTATGAAGAAGATATCATGCATTCTTTCTTATTTTCACATTAAGTCTCTTACTTTATACATACAGTGCATCTGAATTCACAGTAGCCACATTCCAAGGGCTCCGTAGCCACATGTGACCAGCAGCTGCCATATTGGACAGCACAACTCTAGGGACGCCTCCAGAATACACGCATGGCACATCCTGCCTCAGAAGATTGCCGTCTGAGACTCCAGAACAACGACAGGTGTGATGACAGTTTCCCAGTGTCTCACAAGCAGAGAACGTCTTGGATAGTTAATAACAATTTCGTAACCTATGGTTTAGGTACAGAAAGTCACTGAGGATAAGGATGGCCAAAGTTGATCCATGCCTTTTTTGTACATTTTGGCTGCTGAATGTGGAGAAATAAAAACTCTTCTTTTTCTAGCATATTTGCACAAGGCCTAAAAATAGAGGTAAGCTGGTCACTCTTAGATGTTCACACACTGATTGGATTCTCAAGGGTTAACCTGGGTGATGTTTCCGAGATGTTTAGCAACTGCCTTTCCAGTTCTGAAAGATATTTACAAGCTGGCCATTTCCTCACTCCTACAATTACCAAAACCACATATAAGTTAAAATTGATTTGATTTATCTTGTGATAAGGTTCATGAACATTGTTTTTTTCTTAATTCAATTAAGATTAATTCTCATGCTCTCTTGGAGATCTGTGGGATAAGGGCTTCTGATATTACTGATTAATTCCATCTTGACGGCTTTAACTTAGGGACAGCCTACCTCTTATACTTGGCCACATCCTCTTTGCTTTGCAGCAAAAGCACACTGAGCCCTGAGTTTTGACTCACCTTGACCAGCTGTGCAGAACCTGATGGTACATTTTTGACTATTGGTTCCACTGATGACTTCATATTACCTTTATCTTATGTTGACCGTAAAATCTGTCCTGATTTTACACTATGTGTATTTCACTCCAGAAATCCTTTCTGGAATGAGTCAGCTTTTAATTAATTAATTGATTCCATTTTAGTATCATCCAAAAGTGAAATTGTGAACTCCTATTAAGAATGCTGAGCTATAATATAGCTCATAAGTTTCATTTCTGAGAAGTGGCTAACTTATCCATTAGTCATGCAGATTAAAAGTAATGAATTAAAGGCAACCTGTAGAATAGGAGAAGGTATTTGCAAGCCATATATTCAATAAGGAATTAATATCAAAATATACAAGGAACTCACACAACTCAGTAGAAAAAAAAACACAGGTAATCAATTTTAAAAATGGACAGAGAACCTGAATAGACATTTTTCTAAAGAAGACATACAAATATCCAACAAGCATGTAAAAAGTGCCCAATATCATTACCATGAAAACACAAATCCAAACCACAATGAGATATCACTTCACACCTGTTAGCATGGTTATTATTTTTTTTTTAAAAGAGAGATAACCAATGTTGATGAGGCTGAAGAACAAAGAACGCTGGTACACAGTTGGTGGGAATGTAAATTGTACAGCCATAATGGAGAACAGTATGGAGGTTCCTCAAAACATTAAAACTAGAGTTACCATATGATTCAGCAATCCCAGCTCTGAGTATACAGCCAAAGGCTTTGAAGTGAGTGTGTCGAAGAGCTCTCCATACCCCTATTCACTGCAGCTTATTCACAATAGCCAACAGAGGGAAGCAACCTAAGTGTCTATCAATGGATGAATGGATAAAGGAAATGTGGTCCATATACACGACGGTGTACTCTTCAGCTTTAGAAAAGGAAGGAAAGCGGCCGGGCACGGTGGCTCATGCCTGTAATCCCAGCACTCTGGGAGGCCGAGGCGGGCGGATCACAAGGTCAGGAGATTGAGACCATCCTGGCTAACATGGTGAAACCCCGTCTCTACTAAAAATACAAAAAATTAGCCGGGCGTGGTGGCGGGCACCTGTAGTCGCAGCTACTTGGGAGGCTGAGGCAGGAGAATGGCGTGAACCCGGGAGGCGGAGCTTGCAGTGAGCAGAGATGGCACCACTGCACCCCAGCCTGGGCGACAGAGCAAGACTCTGTCTCAAAAAAATAAAAAAAGAAAAGGAAGGAAAGCGGTCATTTGGGACATCATGGATGAACCTGGAAGATAGTAGGCTAAGTGAAAGGAGCCAGACACAGGAAGACAGACGCCGCATGGTCTCATTTATACGTGGAATCTGAAAAAGGCAAACTCACAGAAGCAGAGAGCAGAAGGGTGCTTACCAGGGGCCAGGGGATGGGGGAATGGGAAGATGTTGGTCAAAGCACACAACCTTGCAGTTACAAGATGAAAAGGTTCTGGAGACCTAAGGTGCAGCATAGTGACTGTCATTAAAAAGAACGTATTGAGGCCTGACACGGTGGCTCACGCCTGTAATCCCAGTACTTCGGGAGGCTGATGCGGGCAGATCAATTGAGGTCAGGAGGTCAAGACCAGCCTGGCCAACATGGTGTAACCCTGTCTCTAGTAAAAATAAAAAAATTAGCATGGTGGCATGCACCTGTAATCCCAGCCACTCAGTAGGCTGAGGCAGGAGAATCACTTGAACCCAGGAGGCAGAGGGTGCAGTGAGCAGAGAGCACACCACTGCATTCCAGCCTGGGCGACAGAGCAAGATTCTGACTCAAAATCATAAAATAATAATAATTAATAATAATAATAATAATAATAATGTATTGAATACTCGAAATTTGCTAGGAGGGTAAGTCTTAAGTATTTGCAACACAAAAAAGGTAATTATGTAAAGTAATGAAAATATTCATTACTTGATTATGGTAATCATTTCACAATGTGCACATATATCAAAACATTACATTGCATACCTTGAATATACACAATTTTTGTCAATTATACCTCAATAAGCTGAAAAACTAAAGTACTCCATTAAAAAAATTTTAATAAAATAAAATAACATGTTAAAAATCCTTAAAATTATTCGGTAGAATGAAGGCAGTTGGCCAACAGGTTATCTATACATTTCCCTTGCCTAGAAGTGTTTCTAAATTCTTGCTAGCCCTCCCCCTTAGCTAAAGGTACATTGCACTGTTTTCTATATTGTAACTGTTCGCTGGTTTCAAAAAAACCTTCCCTATCCACACACTTTCTCTCTTCCACTGAGTTTGCCCAGCTGGATGTCTCTGGTCCTTGGAAATCCTCCCATTTTACTGTAAGGGACCTCACTGGTATTGATTTAAATCTGCTTTCTTTTTTCTTAACTCAAGTCTCTTTGAACAAACAATAGAAGAAAAATTCCCTGGAAGTTGTCATGAGAATGTTGCCTATGAAGTAGCTCTTAAGTTAGGGTCATTTACTAAGCGTGGTTAATTTAGAATAATGTGGTTTGCCTAACCATGGTCCACAGTCCAAGTGGCATATTCAGGGGAAAACATAAAATAAAATAGAGTGACAGCTTCAGCTAATAGTTACAACCTCCGGCTACAGAGTTTCGTCTAAATATAGAACATAGTTCACTCCACAGAGATGGAGCTCCTGCTGCGCCAGGGAGTGGGGAAGAATTCTCCATGGTGATGTTTAGCTGGATGATAATACATTTAACACATCAGGCGTATCAAATGATGTGATGGAAGGTATGATGAATGTGAATTTCCTTCACTCTTCTAAGTTAACAGGAGGTTTATTCAACAATATTCAGCAAACATTTACTGAGCACTTCTATGTACGAATCATTAAGAACAGAGGTATACAAGTCATGGGGTCTGTCCAGGACAGCTCGGCTTTCTCAGCCTCAGCACGACTGACGTTTTGGAGTGGTTAATCCTTTGTCCTGGGGGCCGTCCTGGGCATGGGAGGACGTTTAGCCGTGCTCTTGGCCTCTGTACACTAAATGCCAGTGGCACCACCCGCCATAACAAGCAAAAACGTCTCCAGGCTTTCCAAATGTCCCTGGGAGGGAAATCACCCCCAGTAGAGAACGGCTGGTGGGTGGAGAAGTCAGACCAGCAGACAGGGAGTTCCTAGGCCACAGTGTTGGGATAGGGGTGAGAGTCGTGGGGGTCAAGGGGAGGTGGCCTGACCCGTGGGGGCCACCTGGGGCAGGAAGGCTCCCCGGGCTGGAGGTGCTCACGTGCGGGCCTGGAAGGTGACAGGTGTTTCAATAGCCCAGTGGGGTGGGAGCTGGTGGAGGGCATCAGAGGCCCAGAGGGCAGGAGTCCTCGGTGAACAGTCCTGGGATGAGATGGGCAGAGGACAGCTGGAAATTGTGGCCCTCACTAAGATGAGGACTGAAAAAGAAGGATAACTCTGAGCATTGGAGAAGGAGGAAGACAAGGCATACTGCTCTCTCCAGTCTCTGTCAGGCTCACACCTTGGCACAGGTGCATGTAAGCACTCACACTAATCAAGGCCTCTGCCGTGGAGGCCCCCAACAAGATTGGCTCAACTTTTCAGGAATCCACAGTGTCTACAGCCCCAAGACAACCATTCTAACCCCACCTCCTAGGGTCGTTTAAAGGATTACGAAAGATGACATGCACGCAGCCGGGTACCCGATAGTAACTAACACAATAATCACTCAACAACAGTAAGTTCCGTTTGCTCTTTTGAAAGGTAGAGTAAGCATCGATCCATCCTAGTGGTCAGGATTTTTATTTTCTTCTGTGCTACCTCCTTAAAAATAAGCAAACAAACAAGAACATAAAAGTTTTGAGAGGCTAACGCTGACATTCAGGTGAAATCAATACTATACACCTAACTTCCACCTAGTCGGTGGAAGACCTAACTCCCCATTTCCATGTCCCAGGCAGGACAAGTGCACACGTGTTCTGAAAGGGCCGGCAGTCACTGCACTACCCCCAATGTACAAAGAGTGGGGTGCAGTCCCTGCTATCTAGGCTTTCACAATCTTGTGGGCAACAGGAACAGAGAGGAGGCAGAGAAGGAGAGGCCAGGTGGATGAGTATTTATCCAGGTGTTGTTTCCCTAAATTGTTTGCTAGAATAATGGGCACTGCTCCCAGGTTCAGCCTGCCTTTGTAGGCATCCATTAGGAAGATGTATAAGAAAATCACCCTCCACAAAAACGACCACAAAACCAGAGAGATGTAGGCTTGGGGTATTGTCAGGGGCAGGCTCCACCTTCAGCACAATTGCTCCTGGCACTTGGTTCTTCCTGTGACAACATCTATAATCCTTTTGCCAAACAGGGTTCATCACCAACATCTGTTTCAGACAGACACGAACATCTCTGACATCATTCAGAGCCTATTCTACTTCCAAGGAGAAAGCAGCTCCGGGATACAATGTCAGGTGCACTACGAGAGAGTTTGTGTGCTCTATTTTTGCTTGGGGTGAAATAGATCCCAATGCCAGTCATGGATAATTATAGTCTGGAATATTACATGAAAATTAAAATGTGTAAAATGTCTCTCTCATTTCAAATAAATGTCAAAAACCGCACATACACTTCAGTGATGAGACTTTGGGATCAAATTGAAGCAGGCACTTTATCTCTGCCCAAAAACCAGCCCAGCCTCTCTCTGGGTTTCACAGTGCTGCGTTTTCAAGGACAGATGTTTGAAAGCTCCCGATGTTTGGCTCCTGCAAAGCCATATTTGGGCAGAGGAGGGCACAGCACAGAGAATCTCATTTATTCACTGGCAGCATTCACACTTATCAAAAACAGAAAGTTCAAATTCAGGCCATGGGCAGTTAATAGCTTCAAGAAAAACTGATATTCAACTGAAGAGAAACAATTTCTTTTTTAATCTGTTGGAGAGGATCAATACAGTCCATCGCAAGCCTGGAAAATTATACTCTCACATTTTCTTGGTGTCCTGAAAGTTGAAGTAAAAGCATTTGCTGAGCACAGCCTCGTTCCTGTAATAACAGTCCCTACATTACTACCTCTAGTTCCTAGGGTGAGGTACCCAGGCAGAGGGACCCTCTCCCTTAGAGACTGAGACGCTCCCAGAAATTCTATCCTTATTCTCATGGCTGCAAATTAAAATGTGAATTTTCTGGAAGAGGAGAGGCTGTGGCGGGCCTTGTGGGGCTGCTGGGAAGCTGGTGTGGCTGTGGACAGGTGACTGGGGGGGCCCGTGTCCTCGTCCAAGGGAAGGAAGGGGCTTGAGCCGAATGTCCTTCCCGTCTCAGGTGCCTCGATGCCAGGGAGTACGTGCTGCCGGTCACTTCTGTCCTCTGGGGACTCCTAGTAGCTACAGCAAGTCTGACACAAGGAGGGAAGAAGGACCAAGTCCACTGTGAGGGGCTGGCTGCCCCGAGGGAGGTGGTGCTGGGGGTGGGGTGGGGTGGGGATGGGGGAGGCAATGACGGGGGTGGCGGGAGGAGGCAATGCAGGGGTTGGGGTGGGGGTTGTGGGGGAGGCGATGCTGGGGGTGGGGTTGGGGTGGGGGCAGGTGATGCCGGGGGTGGGGTGGGGGTGGGGGTGGAGGGAGGCAATGCTGAGGGTGCGGTGGGGATTGGTGGGGAGGCGATGCCAGGGGGGCGTTGGGAGTGGGAACGGGCTGTGTTTCAAGTGTCTTCTGTTCTGTGGTTTTCCTGGGGGGTCCCTGGTTCCTCCATCCAGACACACACACACACACACACACACACACACACACACAGCTTAAAGGAAGGGCTCTCAGAAGAGGGGAAGGGGCAGGGAGAGCACAGACCCCAGGGGAGACATTCATACTTCCTTTCATCTAACGCCCCTCTCAAATAAAAACAAATTAGATTCCATTTCCTGGCACTAACTTTCGGAAATCAGGTGTTGCACTGCTGACCTCTTTTCGTCTGAGGAAGGGGAGGGTCCTCAGGAAGCAAATCATAAGGGATAGTAGCCTGAGGGTGCACTGGCCCCGAATCAGCTGACCTGGTGGTTTGTCGGGAGGAGCTGTGAGTGGATCTAGAACGAATGGGGAGAAGGTACAGGGAGCAGATGGCGGTCGGACGAGCAGAGGTGCCCAGCGATGGAGAACGCGGCTTTGTAATGTGGCCAACGTTTCAGGCTCTGGAGGAATTCCAGCAGGGGCTGCCCATCCAGGGAGCCTGTGGGAAGCCTGAGTGTGGGGGAGCAGGCAGGTCTGCACTCTGATATCCTAATGATTCCACGGCTTCTTGGTTCAACCAGGTCTTCACCATGGGCAACGCTGCGGGCCAGAGGGAAACAAACAACCCACAGAGATTTCTTGGTTCAACCAGGTCTTCACCGTGGGCAACGCTGCGGGCCAGAGGGAAACAACCCACAAAGATGAGCCCGAAGGGAGACTGGGGAGGGCACAAAAAAAAATCAGAAAAAGAATTGAACAATCATAGATGCTGAGAAAAGTGTGTTGCAGAGTTCTGTTATTCAAAACAAAACAAGAACAACGTAACTGGATCTTCTTGCTGGAGCCTGGAATGCAGGGGAACAAAAGTGACCTCACCGCTGTTGTCAACACTGGTCCAGCCTGGGCCTCTCTGTTTTAGGAGACCATTGTGAAGAATCAGGAGGGCCTAGCAAACGACCCCTAGACAGGGCTGGGAGAGGTTCACTTCAGAGTTTGGAACTTCCTTCTGGTAGAAGAGCCAGGTAAAGAATGACATGTATTATCATAAAACACGCACAGTGCAAACGTAGATGAGTATGATCTGGCTGTCCCCATCTTCACAGAAGGATGATCAAGATCAAGAATTTACCCTGCAGCAGAAAAGTTCAGCTAGAGCAGAGACCCTGCCCACAGGTCAGTGGGGCCTGGAACTAGGCCCCCAGTGAGCCCTAGGGTGGGGAGGGCATTCACCCCTCACCTTCCACCTCAGCTGGTTAAAGAGGAGAAAGAGGAAGAATTTGGGATTGCCCTGACCCCCAGGGTAGAACACACGTACCCCTCACTCTTTGATTGCCTTCCCTAACCTCTTTCAAATACTCATGCTTAATGCAAGATGATGAACTCATACTAAGTACAATTTAGATCACAGATGTTTTAATTATTTTGGTTTCAATTCAGTGATTTTTAGAAAGACATATTAGTTCAATCTTCCAATTATTCCCCGGATTTGCAAACTTAAATTTCCAACACACACCTACTTAGTGTTTGTTTAAATGCACTTCAAATTCTCAGGTTTAACTCACAGGTATCTGTAGCTCACCTGTCTCCTTGACTTCTATTCACTCTTTTTCTAGACAAAGCCTACTCAGAAACGTATGGCTCTGGCATTTAGTTATGTCAGCAATGTCCTTCCCGTCTCAGGTGCCTCGATGCCAGGGAGTCCGTGCTGCCGGTCACTTTTGTCCTCGGGGGACTCCTAGTCACTAGAGCAAGTCTGATGCAAGGAGGGAGGAAGGACCAAGTCCACTGTGAGGGGCTGGCTGCCCCGAAGGAGGTGATGCGGGGGGTGGGGTGGGGGTAGGAACATCTTACTTCCTTTCGGCAAACTCCTCCAGAGACCCTACACACAGTTTTCATACTTTATGGATTGTATATATTTGACAGCTATCTACTGCATGAAAAAAATTCACCAACTAAAACCATTTTAAACAGTGAAAATCTACTATAACCAAACTGGTTTGAAACCTCAACACCAATATAATAAGGAAAAAGCTTTTCACTGCAACGCCATTGGTTTTAAACTCACCTGAACTCCCTTGAAAATATCAGAAGGATAAGAGTTGTATTTTGCCAACTGGAAGTAGGACTGAATAGATGAAAGCATTTGGGATAGATCTGTTCACTGTTCAAGACTCTGCCACACTCACTAAAGTTTCAAATGATGCAGATATTGCTTAAAGAGCCTTGAATTAACAACCACAAAAGACAGAAGGGAAGAAACGTGATGCAAATCATTTCAAAGTACTTTCTTTGCGTTCTCAATGTCAATGTGGACACACTTTTAAAAGCATCTGCTACAGCAATGCACAGATTTTTCTTTTTTTTTTTTTTTGAGTTAGGGTTGATATAGTTTAGATATGTGTCCTCACCCAATCTCATGTTGAAATGTGATCGCCAGTTTTGGAAGGGGAGCCTGGTGGGAGGTGATTGGATCACAGGGGCGAGACCCTCATGAAGGGTTAAGCACCATCCCCTTGGTGCTGTCCTCGGGACAGTAGATGATTTCTCGAAAGATCTGGTTGTTTAAAAGTGTGTGGCACATCCCTCTCTTGCTCCCCCTCTTGCCATGTGGTAGGCCAGCTCCCTCTTTGGCTTCCCCTTCTGCCATAATTGAAAGCTTCCTGAGCCCTTACCAGAAGCCAAGCAGATGCCTGTGCCATGCTTATACAGTCTGCAGGTGCATGAGCCAATTAAACCTCTTTTATTTATAAATTAGTCAGCCTCAGGTATTTCTTTGTAGCAATGCAAGAACAGCCTAACACAAGGATCATAAATATATATTTAAAGAAATATGGTTTAAGTGTCCATAATTATATGGTGAATTAAGTTGTGCAATTCTAGAGCTATCAGCCCATTCAACAGAAAGGCTTGGAAAAATGAAGTGTTTTGCCTACAATCACAGAGCATGTTCACATCAGCATTAGGACTGAGGGAGGGTCTCCCGGCTTCCAGGCCATGAGCTCTCCCCTGGATCATATAGACCCTCAACTGAAGCTGCTGGAGCATCCCAGCACCTCACAGTGCTTTCATAGCAGGGATTCCCTGCATGAACCCCAAAGTAAGTCCTCTGGGGTGCAACTACAGCCACATCAACTGGACCTGCAGCCCATGTCGTATTAATAAATTAATTGTGTAGAGAGTTTGACAAAAATGGCTGTCAGACCTCCTGCTAAAAACTTCCAATTCAAGAAGAAATATCTGAGGTCTTTCTTGCTGGATCTCAATAGGGTAGAGTAACCTTAATTTCACAGGGCCTACTGCATGAGATTCCACAGGCCAGGTCAGACAGGGACAAGTGGTGATGAACGCTATGAAAAAGACACATTCATTCCACGGTATTCCCACCACCTCCCTGCTTACCACGGGTCACTGGTGAGCAGCAGGGTTTGAACCCTGTCAATCTGATGCCGGATCCCCCCAACCTGTGCTGGCACTGGGGGGCTCCATCACATTCTCCTGGAGTTTTCCCCAATTCCTGATGACTGTGAACTCCAGACTCTGGAGGAGAATGGTACAGAGCCTTCCAGAGCCAGGACAGGGAAAGGATTGAGAGAGGCAGCTCTAGTATCTGTCCTGTGAGCTCCTACCTCTCACAACCCGTGCAGCCTTGGGAAGCTACCCTGCCTCTCCGGGCCTCAATTTTCTCATCTGTAAAACGGGATTATAACAAAATGTGCTTTGTGTGATCGTTGTGAGGATTAAATCAAATTGTAAAGCGCCTAGATTGAGAGGCCAAGGAGGGTGGATCACGAGGTCAGGAGTTCAAGACCAGCCTGGCCAAGATGGTGAAACCTCGTCTCTACTAAAAATACAAAAATTAGCCAGACGTGGTGGCAGGCGCCTATAATCCCAGTTACTCAGGAGGCTGAGGCAGAGAATTGCTTGAACCCAGGAAGCAGAGGTTGCAGTGAGCTGACATTGCAACACCGCACTCCAGCCTGGGCTACAAAGCGAGACTCTGTCTCAAAAAAAAAAAAAAAAAATGCGCCTAGAATGATGCCTATCACGTGCTAACCACGCAGTAAATGCTGGATGTTTATATTACTGCAATTTTTTCCTCTAAAAAGTTTATGTTCTTGGAAAGAGAAGACTAATGCATCACCCAGTGAGAGAACAACATGTGAAATGACACAAAGGAAGCTGCTTTCGTTTGCAGATCAGAGGTGTGGAGAAGGCCGGGTGCTGCCAGGACCAGGGAGGGCACATGCCATGAACGCACAGATCTTTCTGAGGGTCTGCATGCCGGGAACAGGTTCGGGAATGCATGAGCGACTGTGAGCCGGGCTAGTGCCCCACAGAACAAGGGGACACGGGATCAGGTGTCAAGGGAGGATCCTGATGAGGTGGCGGAGAGAAGCACGCATGTTCCCAGCCAGGCAGGTACCAAGAGCCAAGTCCCACGAGCACCCGTGCGACCGGCCTGGGGCTGGCCATTCTGCAAGAAGAAGCCACTGTAGGAAGCTTGGGATCTGATCCAGCGCAGAGCTCCTCATTTTCAGAGAGGTGGAAGAATTGTGAGGTTCCATAAGATGACCAAGTTTAGGACAGGAGACCCTGTGGAGCCCTCCGGGCAGTTGAGATGGCGGGGTCCCGGCAGAGCAGCCGGAAGAATTGCGTGGCACATGAGAGAGCGCCCCCGCATGGCCGGGAGGTGTTCTTCTGCTTCCCAGGAGGCCGTGAGGGCAGGCTGAGGTATGACTGAGGATCTATCTGCTTGTAACATGCGAAGATGGAACAGGCCGTCTACTCTGCGGTGTGATGCGAATGAAAGAGGAAAGGCATTTCCTGCTCCCTTTCGCCTCCATCAGGGCTGAAACTCCCCCCACTGATTGAGGACCACGGGGAAAGTCCACGTTGCCTGGAGAAGGCCCCTCTGCGAGTCATGACTGTGATGTGAAGGAGCCTTTCTTCTCTGGGGGACACCAGGAGGCGAAGGCAGTGAGACTCAGAAGTGGAAAGTTCTATCAGGAAAAGGAAGCCAAGAACATCTAGAGCGGGGTGTCCAAACTTTTGGCTTCCCTGGGCCACATTGGAAGAAGAATTGTCTTGGCCACACATTAAATACATGAACGCTAATGATAGCTGATGAGCTAAAAAAAAAATCGCAAAAAAATCTGATAATGTTTTAAGAAAGTTTATAAATTTGTGTTGGGCCGCATTCAAGTCCTCCTGGGCTCCGTGTGGCCTGCGGGCCACGAGTTAGACGAGCTTGCTCTGGAGGGAATCTGCAAGGTCAGAAACGGGGGTTGAGGGGATGAAGGTGTTGGGAGGAGAACTGTGCAGCAGGGAGCTAGGAAAGAACCCCAAAGATGATAAATTCAGGTGGGAAAAAGCCATTTATTCCTGACATTGCCCACAGCTGGTGACGTAACGGCTCCCAAGAGGCCTATGCCTTTCATTCCACTTAAATAAACACCCTTTCATCATCATCTCCTCCAACTCCGAGTTCTACGCAGGGCTCCCTCCAAGTGGCGTTTTAATTCTCACAGCTCCGTAAGAGAGCAAAGGCAGGTAGGGGCTGCTCCATGGGTCCGGAGGCAGAAACACACTCAGCCCAGCCCTGGGCGCCCCTCAGGCCCCACACCCAGGACGGGGTAGGCAGGAAAAGCCCCGGGTTGGGTGTCTTCTCTAGCACCACAACCATCAGGAAATCTCGAGAATGAAAGAAGAGATTATTTTTAAGAAACAAAAATTACTTTTAAAAACTATTTTCTCCATTGTACAGATCAATTACTTGATTTCTCAGTAGGAATATGGCCTTGAAATACACATGTAGATGAGAAAACCGTTCAGGTCACATTTACATCACTTTCGGATCTATAAATTGCATACATATCTGTGATGGACCACAAAGGAAGTAATTACATTTGTTTTACTTGTTAAGAGTCTGAAAGAGCACTTATTGTGGGGAATGAACCCAATACTGGCAGAGCGCTCAAAACAGTGCTGGGAATGTACTAAGTAGCCAAGCAACGAGCTCGCGAGTTTCCCCCATACACAGGAAATTCAAAGTGAAAACACAGCTTCTTTCTAACTTATGCTAAAATAATTGCTCCAGGTAAAAACGGAGCTAGGACAGGTGTGAGTGTGGCTGTGGATGTTTTCTACAGGCCTTGCTTCAGCTGCACGAAGACCTCAGCAAGTGGCCCACCCCGCCCTGCTCTGACACCTGGGCTGAGGCTTCAGGCACTCACTGGTCGCCAGGAAGCAGCAAGTCCCACTGTGAGGGCTAAGCATGTTCATTAGAAAACTGGCACCAGTTTGTGTTTGCTTATTCAGCTGAGCCATGTTCCCTGTAAACCAGGCTTGGGTGTTGGGAAAGCTGCTGATAGCCGGAACTGTTCTGTTCTGTGTCCCTGTGTCCAGCCTCCTTCCTGCATCCAGCTCCCATTTGCCTCGCTGCCCTGTCCACGAGGACACCCAGAGCCTCTTGCCCAGGGCTCCAGCGAGTCTGCTGTTCCCTCCTGGGAAGTGAGGATCTAAGCTCCAACCTCTGGGCCTTCCTGAAGGACCCTCCAATTCTCCCACTGGTCTCCTCCTGGTAGCTGCCTGAAGGGGACGAGATCTGTCTACTGATCCCAACACTATGCTGACTGCTGATATTGTTTTATGTATGATCCTTCCCGTTCGCATCTCCCAGGAGGGTGTGTGAGGGAGAGCAGGGCTCTATAAGAATGAGATTCTAGACAGGTGAGTGGAAGAACTTTTGTAGACTGGAAGGCTCCTCTAAGGTTTCAAATCCACCGCCTGCCCTCTGTGCCAGCAGCCAGGCTGGCTGACTCAAAGTCTTCTAGACCTGCACTAATACAGTAGCCATGAATCACATGTAACTCTCCAAACTTATATTTACACTAATCAAAATTTAAATAAAATCAAAACTTTTAGTGTTTCCATCACACAAGCCACATTCAAAGGGATTGAGGTCCACATGTGGCTACTGCACTCACCCAAATCTCATCTTGAATTGTAATCCCCATAATCCGCACATGTTGTGGGAGGGACCCAGTGGGAGGTAACTGAACAATGGGCGTGGTTTTCCCCACGCTGTTCTCATGACAGTGAGTGAGTTCTCATGAGAGCTGATGGTTTTATAAGCATCTGGCATTTCCCCTGCCTGCACTCATTCTCTCTCCTGCCACCCTGTGAAGAGGTGCCTTCCGTCGTGATTGTAAGTTTCCTGAGGCCTCCCCAGCCATGTGGAACTGTGAGTCAATTAAACTCTTTTCTTTATAAATTACCCAGTCTCGGGTATTTCTTCATAGCAGTGTGAGAGTGGACTAATACACCCACCATCTTATAATCCTGCTGGACAGAGAATGCCTTACCCCAGGCTGCTATAACAACCACCAGTGCCTGTGTGGCTTAGACAACAGACGTTATTTCTCACGGCTCTGGAGACTGCAAGTCCAAAATCAAGGCGACAACAGATTCAGTTGTTGGTGAGGGCTCTCTTCCTGGCTTGCAGACAGCCACCTTCTTGCTGTGTCCTCACATGGCTGAGAGAGAGAGAGCTTTGGTTTCTCTTTTCCTTCTTTTTAGGACATGGGTCCCATGATGGGGGCCCCAGCCTCATGTCCTTGTAGAACCCTGATTACTTCCAGAATGCCATGTCTCCTAATATCATCACTTGGGAGGTCAGGGTTTCAACATAGGAATCCTGGGGACCCCAACCTTCCATCTGTGACAGATAGGCAATATTGGCTCTAGAGGATCAACACCCCGGAGTCTATTTAGTATGTACATGTAAGAGACCAGTGCCCATTCAGTTAGGGACCCATGGGTTCCTATAGGACTTGATTCCCACGGAAAGTTACTGTTGTGGCACTGCTGTCCCCATTTGCACGTCCTTGTGCCATGGCACAGTCACCTTCCCCGGTCTGAAAAACGCTGATGGTACACCCACGGGGCCTGGACAGTTCGATGCAGCCTAATGAGGCCACGGGTTGAAGATTCGTCTGAGGCACCTGTCTCCTGAAGTCAGCCTGTCAATCCCAGGTTGTTTTGTCTGCCGCGAGGCATGGATAGAGCCCCCAGGGTCTGAAAGGCAAACCACTAACAAAAGCCCCAGGACAGCTTCGGTTCCAGCCTCATTCTGCCTGGACCCAAGTTTTGGTTCATTAACCCTGAAACGTTTCCTTCACAGAAAGCTGGTGGCAGGCAATAAACATGCCGGGGGTGCCCTTGCCTGTAGACTGTAGACGAGAGAGACAGCTCAGGCCAAGGCTTAGTTCTGAGACATTCAGAAAGGAAATGGTGATGTTGAGAGACGGCCACACTTCTGTGACTGGGGACTCGGGCAGCCACACTCCTAAGTCATTTTTAGTTTTAAAATGAGTGTTTAACATCCATCGTGGCCTTACCTGCCTTTCTCTTTGCTGAGGGTAACTGCACAGTACCAGCCATGCGGTTTACAATTGGAGAGCGCTCCAGAAAGTGCCCGACTCAGCCCTGCCCACCCCTGTGGGTCAGGCATCCTGAGACCCCCATGTCCATTCATAAACTGAGGCTCAAGCATGGTAAGGATTTGTCTGGGGTTGCCTCAAATATAATTTGTGGGCTGGGGGATCTGGGACCTGCCATCTGACATCGATGACCCCGATCCCACCCCCTACCCCCACAGCTTGAATAAGAATATTTCTGAGAGCTATTGCTGGCTTGCAGGTTCCAAAGGAGGGGCGGGACCTCTAGTCTCAAGGTAGCCAATGGAGCACTTGCGTCACCTCCCTGTCTTCCCAAGTTCATGTTGAATGAAACAAGAAAAGCACAATGATAGAAAAGAAATTTTTGATAAATTCTTGGAAAATAGGAAGCATGAGCAACCAGCCTGAAAAAAACAGAGAGAACAGAGGAAACCACAGAGCAAGGACTCCAGAGGTGAAGGGAGTCTCTGGGAGATCCAGACACAGAAAGAAGAAAGGACCTCAAGACCAGGATGCGGGGCGGGGCAGCCAAGAACCTTTGTGCAGGACTCTCACACAGAGCAGCTTGGGTGCACCACTGTCACTTAGTTGGAAGTAGCTTGGTTTTTCTCAGGTTGAACTCAAGGGCCAGCTCCCACAGGGAAGGATGAGGTCTGCCCTGGGGGGTGATCCTGGGAGGGACAATCAGAGCAGAACTTGCAAGGCTCAAGGCCACTGCAGGAAGGGAGGGGAGGCGGCCCGGCCTAGGAATGAAGTCACCCGCCTGCTTTCAGAGAAGGCAAACACACCCCTTCCATCCAACTGGAGGTGACTTTGCAGTGGACCTGACAACTGCAAAAGATGCCCCAAGTATCTCCCAACATTGAAAGAGATCATCCCTTCTGTGATGGTGAATATAAGATGACAATTTGATTGGATTGAAGAATATCTAGATAGTTGGTAAAGGATTGTTTCTGCGTGTGTCTGGGAGGGTGTTGCCGGAGGACACTGACATTTGCGTCGGTGAACTGGGAGAGGACAACCCACCCTCAGTGTAGGTGGGCACCAATCCAGCATGGCCAGAACGAAGCAGGTGGAAGAAGGTGGGAGAAGCCGGCCTGCTGGGTCTTCTGGCTTTCATCTTTCTTCCGTGCTGGATGCTTCCTTCTGCTCCTCTTGCCCTTGGACATCAGACTGTAGGTTCTTTGGCCTTTGGCCTTGGACTTATGCCAGTGGCTTGCCAGAGGCTCTCGGACCTTCACCCACAGACTGAAGGCTACACTGTTGGCTTTGCACTTTTGAGGCTTTGGGACTTGGACTGAACCATGGCCTATTGCGAGACTTTGCCTTGTGATTGTGTGAGCCAATTCTCCCTAATGAACTCCTTTTCATATATACATACATGCTATTAGTTCTGTGCCTCTGGAGAACCCTGACTAACACAGACACCTTCACTCACAATTATGAACCCCAAACCAAGGTCAGCAGGCATTTGGTGAAAGCAAGAGCATGAGAAAGGAGCAAGATGAGGAAAGAGGAACTCAGCATAGAAAGTAGAGAGGACACAGAATGAAAAAGAACTTTAGAAAGCTCCAGGACGGGCACAGTGGCTCAAGCCTGTAATCCCAGCACTTTGGGAGGCCAAGGCAGACAGATTGCCTGAGGTCAGGAGTTGGAGACCAGTCTGGCCAACATGGTGAAACTCTGTCACTACTAAAAATACAAAAAAAAAAAAAATTAGTTGGGCATGATGTGCGCTTGTAATCCCAGCTTCTTGGGAAGCTGAGGCAGGGGAATTGCTTGAACCAGGGTGGTGGAGGTTGCAATGAGCCGAGATCATGCCACTGAACTCCAGCCTGGGCAACAGAGTGAGACTCTGTCTCAAAAAAGAAGAAAGAAAGAAAGGAAGGAAGGAAGGAAGGAAGGAAGGAAGGAAGGAAAGAAGGAAGGAAGGAAGGAAGAAACAAAGAAAGAAAGGGAAAGAGAGAAAGAGAGAGAGGGAAGGAGGGAGGGAGGAAGGAAGGAAGGAAGGAAGGAAGCTCCACCCGCCTTCCCAGAAAGACCAGAGAAGATACAGCACCCATGAAACAGCGGGTTCCTGTGCAAACCAGGCAGGAATTAAAAGGTGTTCCTTCATCTTAAAACACCTGCCAAAAGGAAACATTCTGTGGATAAGCTGAATAATTGAGCATAGCAGATGAGTGAGAACATCTCCCAGAACATTGTGGGGAGAAGAAAAAGAGCAAGGTGGAAAATATGAAAGAAAGTTTAAGAGACATGGAGAACAGACCAAGCAGCCTGACATTCATCGACTGGGCATTCTGCAAGAAGGCCCCGGAACACTGGGGCAGGCAGCAGGCTTCTGAAGAGCTTCGGGACTGGAGGGAAATCCCACACTCAGCATGAAGGGCCCAGGAAGAGCTGAACGGGGTTAATTCTACAAAGCTGCATATCCAGATTAATCCCTTAACATAGAAGAACTCTAGGAATAAAAATACCATCCCAAAAACTTCCAACAAGATAAAGCAACGTGAATAGAGATGGCTAATATCAGATTCCATACCAGCAATGCTGAAATGAATGCCAGATATCAATAGCTCAGTGTCCTGAACATTTCTTTGCATAAAAATTCTTTAATATCCAAACCCTTAATCAAAGGCAAGGCATAGACTGGGTGAGGTGGCTCATGCCTGTAATCCCAGCACTTTGAGAGGCCGAGTGGGGGCGGATTGCCTGAGGTCAGGAGTTTGAGACCAGCCTGGCCAACATGGTGAAACCCCGTCTCTACTAAAAGTAGCCAGATGTGGTGGTGAATGCCTGTAATCCCAGCTACTCAGGAGGCTGAGGCAGGAGAATCGCTTGAGCCTGGGAGGTGGAGGTTGCAGCAAGCCAAGATGGAGCCACTGCACTCCAGCCTAGGTGACCGAGCGAGACTCCTTCTCAAAACATACAAACAAAAAACAAAGGTAAGGAATAAATATAGACATTTTCAAAATTCAGAAAATTCACTTTTGTGAAAAAAAAATGGGGAGAGGAGAACTATTTTAGCAAAAGGAGAAGAGACCAAGAGAAACAAAGGGATTGGAGGCACAGATGCCCTGGAGTGTGACTTAATCAAAGAAAGACTAGATAGAAATTTCTTATAAAGTCATTAGATCTTAATGCTTAGAAAAGTGTCCAAAATGAGTAACTTTACATGATCTTCATCCTAGGAATGATTTCTATTGCCTTTGATTATTGAAGACATCTTGTAGTCAAACACATATCGTGACAGAAAGTAAATGTAGTAAGACATGATGAAGCAACAATCTTCATGTAACAACCAGACCCTGAGAAGCAAAGCTGCATGGAGAAATGGGAGGAAGGGAGCTGCTCTTCCTTCTTCCCTTCTCGTGGCTGGGTGTCAATTCTTGCTGACCAAAGTTGGCAAATCAAGGAATGGATGTTTACATATAATACAATCATGAGAACAAGTCAAACAGCTGAAAACAATAATACAACTGAAGAAAGTTGGGATGTGCTGGTGGCAAAGAGAAGCAGGAGGCGGTGTAATAGTGACAGTGAACGTTTATGCTGTGCTTGTGCCCGCTGGGCCCTGTTCTGCTCTATGCATCATCACATCGTCAATTCTCATAATAATCCTATGGCATGGGTGCTGCACATATGGAAACTGAGGCACCACCATATAACTTGTCCAAAAAGCAAGCAACTAGTAACTTAGCTACATTCATCTTGCACAGTGCAGAATCCATAGACACTGTCTACGGTTGGTCATGTTGCTGACGCCATCACGCCCCAGGGACTTCTCTCACTAAGACCATCTCTGAGCTCCATCCAGGGTGGCCCTCCCAGCGTCAGTCATCACAGCCCATCAGCCTCGCTGAACACAGCTGGTGCCCCCTCGACACAACTCACTGCCACTGCCGCTGGCCTCCTAGCTCCTCTTCTCTCCCTGCTTGAGAGGGCCCCTCTTCCAATCATGGAGTGGCCCAGGACCAGCCATCTGCATTCACCCTTCAGTGGGACTGGTGACCTCATGTGGACTTTAATGCCATTTGCCAGCCACAGCCCCCATTTCGGATCTCCAGTGTCATCCTTTTCAAAGCCCCGCAGGCATATGTCCAGTTGCCCATGTGACCTAACAGAGCATTCACGCTCAACACCTCCAAAGCCCTACTCGTGCTCTGAACCTCACCTACCTTGTTCTGCACACCACGTACCGCACCTCAGGTGATGGCAGCTCCATCGCTCCCGATGGTCATCTCACGGGGGATCCTGCTGGATCTACCTTTGAAACACACTCCAAGTCAAACTTGCCATCTCTGCGGTGAGCTCCCTGGCATTAGCCTTCGTCCCCTGCCGGGGTTGACCTCCCCGAGTTGTCCCCATCTCTACTTCCTGCACAGACTGCTTCCTGTGGTCTATTCTCAAACCAACAGTCAAGGTGGCTCTTAAGACCTCAGTTACATGGTTCCTTCCTCTGCTCACGTGTCCACCACTCACTCTGCATAAAAGCCATGGACTTGCAAGGACCTAGCTGAGCTGCCTCTCCCTCCCTGGCCCTCTGACCTCCTTCCTGATTCTCCCTCCGCAGAGACTGTGCCAGCTTCCTCGCTGCCTCTCTGCATGCCTGGCCGTGGGATGTTGGTGGCTCCCTCTCCCCAGAGCTTGGTTCGTTCCTTCACTTCCTAAAAACCTTTACTCAAATGTCCTCTTCTCGATGAGGCCTCTGCTGCTCACCCTACTTCATACTGCAGCAACCACCTAACCGTGTGCTACTTCTCTTTCTATCCACGGCACTTACCACCTCCCAAGAAGCCAAATAATTTGGTCGTTTTTAAGAGGCATGAGTTTATTATCCATCCTATCCCCCTCCCTAGTAGAATGTCCGCTCCAGAAGAGCATGAGCCCTTGCCCGTTGGACCCTGAGTTCCCAGAATACCATCTGGCATACACTAGGCGTCTGATACATGCTCCTAATGGGTGAATGAGCTCTCCCTGGTCTCCATGACTCCCACGGCGCATCCTAGGCCAACCCTTATGGCCAGTGGGGTAGAGTTCTCCCATTGTCCGGAGCTGGGGCTCCAGGATGCGGTCAGTGTAACCCCAACCACGTGGAATGAGGATGAGGATGGAATGGCCCCACTCAAATGGGCCACCATGCAGCCCTCGGGGGATGAGAAGAGCTTGAATAAGCTGAAAGTAGGAAAGTCCACAGGAATGGGTGAAATGAGTAACAAAACAGCTACCTGGAGCATGAGTGCCTGTGGGGTGCTCACACATGCATGCACGTTCTTAACACCCGATCAGCTGTCTGAAAGGATGCATTCAGAGCTGCCAACAGAAGCTCTCTCTGGGATATGGGATTAGGAAACCTGGAGGGAAAACAAGAGTTTTGTGCCCACCTGTGAACTCTTTGGTAATTTTTACAATAAGCATGAATTATACCGAAAATAACTTGTTTAAAGTGTGTTCTGGGGAGGAGGGCTGAAGCTAGATGATCTGAACCCAAATCACTCCTTTCCCTCCTTTAAAGATTGACGGGGAGTTGTGAAGAAGCTTGGCTCATGTACAGGTTACCCCTGATCTACCCAGATTAAATTGAGACATGGACTGAAATCTCTGAAACACCCATAGAGGTATTTCCGGCCCAACCCCATGGAATTGATCTTTCAATAGTGGATGCATGCACAATCAGGGACCCTGGGACTCTCAGGTGGTTTGGATGAGGCTGCACGGAGGAGACACCTGGCTTCAGCCATGCCTGGAACACACCCCTTGGCTCTTCCTGGCTTCCTCACACCAACAGGCTCCAGGCAGCCACTCAAAGCAACTGCAAATGTCTAGTTCACTTTCAATTCCTAGTTCACTTCTTCCATTCAGAAAGAAATCATATTTGCTAATCTTCTCCATAAACATGTATTACAATCTTGGGATTTTATCAAACCGTGTACACAAAGTAATTACAGGAAGAATAGTGCACTATTTGCATATCTAGTATTTAAAGGGTTACTTATGTAATTATTGAATGTAACTTAGAATAAGCTGTTTGATTCCCTTTCATCGTGAGCCAAACATTGGGCTTTGAAAGGAATTCCTTTAAACTTCAATAATGTAAAGGCACATGGTAATGTGAAGTTACAACTCTAGCTTAAGTGAGTCAGACATGAAAGTATTTATGGCTGGTATTCTGTGAGTAAGTTAACTTTAGACAGTTTAAAAAAGAAGTCAAGTATCTGTTGCTCTTGGTAGACACAGGATGTTATGAGCAATTAACAATTCCTGTCCTCACTTTCAGACAGCGTCCAGTCCTCCCTGGCTTTTGTTGGTTTAAGCTTCCAGCATAACAAACCTCACTGTGCCGTCAGCACCTGAAACAAGTAAAAGCAATTCCTTTATTGACTCCCGCCAGACATTTGCCTTTTGAAACTGACACAGAAAGGGGAGGGCGAGGGGAGAGGAGAAAGAAAAATGAAGAAGGCAATAAGAAACTTAACCCAGTGGGTGGAAAGCATCACACGTGAGAGAGAGATGGAGAAATGAATCCAATGTTGTTTTTTCCTGATGAGAAAGCCGGTCAGGTCTCAGCCTTGTTCAAACTGGAGGCCGTGTGGTCAGCATTCGCTTGGCCACAAGTGTTTTCCATAACGAGGCAGCTATGAGCCCAAGGATCCACAGGGACTGAAAGGCACCTGGAACGCTCATGAAAAGGACCCTCTTAGGACAGCTCAGCACATTCACCTAGCTCGACCTGACAGGCAAGAGCTGGCTCAGCTGGGAAATCGCGTCCACTCTCCAGTTCACGACACGCAGGAGCTGGTTTGGGCTAAGGCTGCAATTCACACACACACACACACACACACACACACACACACACACACACTGCTCTACTTAAAAGTTTTCAACAAGAACTTAAATCTAAGTGCTGAAGAGAAGGAGCAAGGTTGAAAGGGGTTGGATCTGAACTTTGATGTGAGCATCCCAGCTCTTTTGGACAGCAGCCATATCTTTGATCCTACACAGACTGTTAAGAACCAAGTGTCTTGACCTGATCGGTTGAAGTATCACAAATTTTACAGTTATTTCCAGGTTAAGTTAGCTTGCAGGTGATTAATCGTGGGATAAAATGACAAGGAGGACAGTCTTAAGAATTCCCCTAGCTAACAAAGACATTTAAATAAATTAAATGAGTCCCAGTGTGTTGAAAAACTTGAAGTTATTTCCCTGACATTCATTTGACATCTGGTAATAACCTTTAATATTTTCAAAGTATTTGCTCTTCCTTTTCAGATGTGCCAGGGAGCTTTCTGAGCCCCTGGCTGTGTTGCTCTGTGATGTCAGCCTCCTTTTTGACATGTGCAAAATCAGCTGTTATAAAAAGAACACAGGGCTGGAAATCAGGTGGCTTGCATTCTGCACTCCACACCAACTCCGAGACTTTGGGTAAGTTACTTTACCTGTAAAATGAAAGGGCAGAAACTAGACGGGTTCTGAGACTCCTTGGAGCCCTGTAATTTTAAAATTCTTTATCACCTAGCACGTCAAGCCTTGTTTCCATTGAGGATTTTAATCTTGGCTGCACTTTTTGAAGGTGGGGAGCTTTAAAAATAGATGCTTATGCCTGGGCTGCCAGCAGATTTTCTGGGTGAGTCTTGGGCATTGTTTGAAAAGCCACTCGGGTGACTCCAATGCTCAGCCAAGATGGCGGACCAGGTAAGAGGGGTGTCATTATGAACGCGGTGGAAACCGGGAGCAACGGTTATTGCTCAGGCATACCGGGCACCCAGCACTGGCCCTCGGAGCAGCGCGGTGGAAAGGGAAGCAGAGGTCACGGTCTGAGCAGAAGCTTCCCTGTCCGCAATCTCTCCCACGTGGCAACAGCCTCTCCCCAAGTTCTCATCATCTGGTAGGGCCCAGCCAGGAGAGCTCACGGCCCGGCGCAGAGGGGCTGGCCAAGAGGCGGTGCTTGGAGTCATTTCCGGGGACGAATATGCTTGACTCGGTGAGAGGCGCTCTCTCTCTTTCCCCCTTGAGACCACTCTCGGTTCGGACCGTCTAAGCCTGGCCATTATTTCCTACTATTAAGACGGAATGCCTACCTGAGAACAAGGACAAACAGAGGAAGGCCAAGCGGACGCATGGAACTCCGGAAACATTGGTTGAACATCTGGAACCAGATGCACCTGCAGCCATCTCCCCGTGAACTTCTCAAGGCCTCAAGATACTCCTTCCTGCCCTTAAGAAAGAGGAGTAAGGCTTCTGCCACCTGCCTCTGAGGGACTCCTGATAAAGACAGCAGCCTGTCTGGAGAGACCCGTCTCACGCTCTCACTTTTTGACACACTTTGTCATTTTTGGAGAACAAGATAGATCATGCTGAACAATCGAGGAGGAAGGCGTCTGTGATCCTTCGTGTCCGCCACAGTCTGACCTTCTCTGCCGAGGACCGTCCCGGACCTGGGAGCTCGTCAGAAATGCAGAATCTCAGGCCCCATCCCACACCTACTGAATCCGAATTTCCATTTAAACAAAATTCCCAGGTGAAGCCCGTGCACATTAAAGTCTGGGAAACGCTGCTCTATACAATCCATGTGGCCAAATGACTGGCCCAGAGAATTAGGAATATGTGCAGCAAAACCCTATTATCATCAATTCCAAGGGGCAAAGAACTCATCCGTCTTTACGTGGGGAAAATAGCACAGGATGTCAGCCCTGAAACTGGGTCGCCTTTGTGGGGATTTGGGGATTTGAATTCTGCAAGGAGGGATCAGGGAAGGCAGATGTGGTGGAACGTACTCTGTTCCATTCGCAAAGAAGTCTGTTCCGTGCACCTAGAGGTGCCTCCTGAGCAGATGAGAGAACCATAGAGACGTCTCAAGCCCCCAGGGCAGGGGACCATTGAGCTGAGCCGCCGGCACACACGTGGCCAGCCCCATCTGGAGCACCACTGTTTTGAGGGTCCTCCCCCGAATGGCAATCCAGAGCCCACAGAAAACACAGCCACTTACAGGCCACTGCAGGAGCAGGGGGAGTTGGGGTTATGGCTTAGCCCAAGAAAATGCTGCACCCCAAGTGTGTGAGAAAAAATAGGCCTTTTTGTCTGGATGCAAGTTCACAAATAGTCCAAGTACGAGGTGCCGCACTGGCAGATGGGCTCTGGCCACACAGAGTGGGAAGGGAAGAGGCTGGCCCAGGAGGGACTGCAGTGTAGAGCAGATGTGCCCTAGGATGTGGCCAGGAGGGAGGCACCAGGAAGGCAGCTCGGAAAGGGGAGGCTGGGAAGGACCAGCCCAGGAAGCACAGGTGTGGAGGGTTGAGTGTCCCGAGCTGAGGACGTCCTGTCCAGCCAGACCACAGGCCTGGAAGCCACCTTAGCGTCATGGGAGCCGAGAGACAATGAGGACACAGCCACGCAGACTCAACTCTGGAAGACCAAGCTGGAGAGGCAGGGCCAGGGTCATCAGATCTGGGAAAGGGGCCTGAGTGGGGCGGGACGGAGGGCATGTGGGGATTCCAAGGAGACCTGGTGGGACAGGAGGGCAGGCGTCCTGGCACAAAGAGCTGAGCGTGTGTCAGCCCCATGCTTCTGGCCCAGGAAAGTGAACCCCAGGGATCATGTTATTCCTGCAGTAAAAGACCATGCATGGTCCAGCTCTAGAGGCCACTGGTACACTTCCCACCACACCCCCTTGCACTCTGCACCCGCGGCGGTCTCTGAACAATCACGGTGGGCCAGGAGGACCATATCATCAGGATGTTTTCACATGGGGTTGGGGTGGGAAGTGGGAACAGGTCTCATGTCCACAGTCAGGGAACCATAGGAAACCCCTACTCATCCCAGGGCAAGCAAGAGTGTCCCGGAGCCACAGATTAATAGCAGCTGCCACAACCCTCCCTGTGCCCACCCTATAACCCCCAAGCACACATGCACAGCCGACACACACACTCAAACAGATTCATGCACAGCACACATGCACATAGAAACATGTATACACATGTTTGCACACACAGACACACAGAGACACACATACACACGTGTGCAGACAGACACAGAGACACATACACATGTGTGTGCACACAGAGACATACACGTGTGCACACAGAGACACACAGAAACACATACACACGTGTGCACGGTGCACACATACACAGAGACACATACATACGTGTGCAGAGACACAAATGTGCACATACACACACACGTGTGCACATACACACATACACACGTGTGCACATACACACATACACACGTGTGCACATACACACACACGTGTGCACACAGACATACACACGTGCACACAGAGACACGTACACATGTGTGCACACAGACACACACGTGCACAGAGACACACATACACACGTGTGCACACACAGGCACGTGTGTACAGAGACACACACACGTGGGCACACAAGACACAGAGAGACACATACACACGTGTACACACACAGACACACAGAGACACACATACACACGTGTGCACACACATAGACACACATACACATGCGTGTGCACAGAGACATACGCACATACACACATATATGCATGCACACATGCATCACACAGAGACACATGCACACAACTGTGCACATGCATGCGTGCGCTCTGCACGTCATGACGGCTGCTCCTAGCCCTGGCTCTTCCCAGCACCTAATTTGAAGGCATCTGACATGCAGATCAGAGAAGCAGAATCTCAGGTGACGATCCAAAGTAAGCCTGGGATAAGGTCGGCCTTGTCGGCGGGTGACAGGTGTAGGGCAGGCTGAGGAATAGCGTGAGTGCTCAGGACAGCACCGTTTGGTGGTTTTGTCTGAAAGTTTTAAACCACAAGCCTTAGCTGGCCTGGAACCCCTCTGCCCGCTGCTGCCTGGAGGGAGGAAACATTGTAGCAATTTGACAGGACCAACCAGTGCACAAATACAGACGCTCTTCCAATTACCATGGGGCTACGTCCCAATAAACCCAATATAGACTGAAAATATCATCAGTCGAAACGCATGTAACATACCTAACCTACGAAACTTCGCAGCTCAGCCTCGCCTATCTTGAATGCATGCTCAGAACACTCACACTAGTCTATTGTCGGGCAGAATGCCCTAACCCAGACCGTATTTTATGATAAAGTGATGACTGTCTCAAGTAACTTCTTGAACACCATACTGAAAGTAAAAAACAGAAGGGTTGGATGGGTGCTCCAAGTACAGCTTCCGCTGGATGAGTGCCACTTTCATGCCATAGGAAAGTCGAGAGACTGCAAGTTGGACCATTGTAAGTCAGGGACCACTTGCATTCTCTGCTGAGGACAAGGGGTGGCTAGGAAACAGGCACCCCCACACCTCCAGAGAACTCTCAGTTTTGTGGAAGATGAACCAGCTCCAAGACACCAGGGCAGATGTGTGGCTTGACGGGGACAAGCATGCGTTGCCCGCGGTTCAGTGTCAGCCTAAAGTCCAGACCAGGGTCCTCTCTGTGGCTCTCCCACCTACTAATGATGCTACGTGGCTCGGCTGGCTGAACCTCTGTGTGCCTCAGTTTCCTCATCTATCAAGTGAGCATATCCACATCTGCCTCTCCAAGTTGGGGGAAGGTTGAAGTGAGCTGAGAGCAGTGGAACAGCCGGTGGTGTGGACGGCAGCAGCTGCAATTGTGCTGGGAGTGTCACTAATGGAAGGGATGGCCATGGGAGTCACAGTTCTGGGGCAGCCCACGAGGAAGACCATGGCGATGGGGACCTGAGCAGGGCACTGAAGGATGGATAGGGTTGGGAGATTCCAAACAGGGGAATTCCAGAGCCTTCTTCACCCCGCGTGGCTGCATTGTGCAAGGGTGTGGGAGCCCGCAGAGAAGCTCTGTGGGCGGGGTGGCCTCGTGAATCTGGTTCCACCTCTGACAGCTTGTGGCTTCTGACGTCCCTGGGACCTCCCCACCCCTTGGTTTCTGATATCTCTGATATCAAAAGCCTGAACCAAATTCCCCAAGTTCTGTAAGGCCCCTTCCTATTCCAAGATGTTGTAAGATTACAGCATTTTAATTATCTCTGAGAGTGCCAGGTGAGTGATCCATGCCACAGATGCCTTAATAGGCCCTTCAGAGCCTGTCTGGGAAGAACAAAGATAATTTTAACTGATTTAATAAGGAAAGAAAAACATAACTAGCTTGAATTATTGACGCTTCCTTTCACCTTTTGCCAAGATAGACTTGAACTCATTTGAAAGAAAAATGTTGCTGGATTGCACAAAATACACGGAACCTGCTTTCTACTTAGCAATCTCTTTATTTTATCAATTAGGAGCGGGAAATGTAGAAAAATGTGGAAATGAGGATTCTCTGCACGGGTCACTCGGTTCCCTTAGAGGCTGATTGATGGCAGAGACTGAGACGGAGGCGTCTGCCTGCCTGAGCAGGAGATAACTGAACAGGGCCATCATGTGTCTGTGCTGGGCCTTCAACCAAGTTGGGCAACGCTGGCACGGATTTTGAATGGCACGCATCACTGCTGAGCTGTTGGCTTGCCTCTTCCACAGCCCTTCCTGCTCTGTGCTCCCAAGGACCAATGTCCCCCACTCCCCAGGTGCCTCTTCCACAGCCCTTCCTGCTCTGTGCTCCTAAGGACCAATGTCCCCCACTCCCCAGGTGCCACTGAGGGGCTTGGCTTTCTCCACATGACTCTGGGCACTGGCAAGGAACCAAACAGGGGGGACCCGAGAATCCCACTACCCCCATGGCCAGCACAGCACCAGGCACAGAGTGGCCCCAGAAGCACTGAAAGCCAAGAAGGAGTGAGAACGTGAGACAGCATCTGAACCATGAGGCATTTCTCAGGCAGCCCTTGTGCTAACTCGTCATAGAGTGATGGCGGAAATGAGATGAAGTGACTGCCTGCGTCAGCAGGAGCTTAGGCTGCCGCCCTGAGGGACTGGTAAGATTTCACTTCCTTAAGAGGAGGAAAAGGCCGGGTGCGGTGGCTCATGCCTGTAATCCCAGCACTTGGGGAGGCCAAGGCGGGCGGATCACAAGGTCGAGAGATGGAGACCATCCTGGCCAACACGGTGAAACCCCGTCTCTACTAAAAACGCAAAAATTAGCCAGGCTTGGTGGTGGATGCCTGTAGTCCCAGCTGCTTGGGAAGTTGAGGCAGGAGAATCGCTTGAACCCGGGAGATGGAGGTTACAGTGAGCTGAGATCGTGCCACTGCACTGCAGCCTGGGTGACAAAGTGAGATTCCATCTCAAAAAAAAAAAAAAAAGAGAGAGGAGGAAAAAGGGCATATGTGGGGAGGAAGGGAGAGCTCCTCAGTATTCAATGCCGTAAGGGCACTCTCCTCCTTGAAGGAAGATCCAAGATGTTCCCATTTTTAATACCAGGAATACATTAGGGTGTTAGCCACACACGTATAAAACAGAAATTGATGCTTGTGGAAGAAATAAGGCAAAGCAAAGAATCAGACATAGAGAACTGGACGCGACGCAACACAAAATCTGGTTCATCATCATCTCAAGAGTCCATTAAAATTGTTTGTATTTTCCAGTGAAAAAGTAGGCCACACCTTGGTTTTGCAGACACATATGTTTAGTTGGGTTTGCTCTGGTTGGGTTTTGACTTTCCTAATTTTTTTATATGCTTCACAATGGTTTCACAGAGAGGTAGAAACCTTTGATTTTTCCAGCATTTAGCTGCTTTCATCTGGCTCATGAATGGGTGGCCAAGCCCAAGTGTCAACTTGACAGAAACAGAGTTCACAAGTCAAACTGTTTGGACAAGAGGCCCATAAAAAACAGAATTCGGGCTTGAAAGGGATTTCCACGGAATCACAGACTTCAGAGCTGGCACTTAGCAATTACCGAGTCCAGCTAGAGCTGGAATCCAGGTGGACCTGTTGTAGCTTCTGGTGCCACAAGGGACAGATCCCCAAGTCAAAAGCAGTGTGTCATTTTGCACCATTGAAAAGTCTCCGGTCAACACCCGCTTCTGCTAGGCTGGACTCACTGCTCAAACTCTGATACTCGGCTCCAGAACCTTCTGGGATGCGGCGTCTTCTTCAGACTCCACACTGAGGCTCCTCGCGGCTCTCAGCTCTCCCCAGAAAGCAGCACCACCACCACCTTTTCGGTCCTCACTGTGCAGAGAGAGAGGAAAGGGGGTCTCTCCTACAGAAGCTGAGGAGCTTTCTTCTCAGAAGGCCCCTTGCTGTAGCCCTGTCTTCCTGAGCCAATCACTATGGCCGGGGGCAGGTGAATGGAGCCTCCGCCGTCGGGATCCGCAGTTCTCCCTTGGGGGTGGGAAAGTGGTTGGTGCCCCCTAGGCCTTCTCAAGGCAAAACTGGGGAGTCACTGCAGGGAAAAGAAGGCACCAATGCTGAAGAATCAACCCACAAACTGTTCATCTGGCAGGTTCAAGGGTTTTTCTATTTATGCTTTGCATAGTATTTTGAAATACTAACTTATTTTCCATTTTTGATTACCTCACTTTCCCAGTCTCCTCACCATTTCCCAAATCTGGGGAAGTGGAACCCTGTATTAGAGAGGTCCCCCAGCTCTGCAGTGACTGATCCACTTGGCTGTCCCGGAGCCCAGGGGAGGAGGGCAGGTAGCAAGTCCTGGTGGATGAGGAGGTCGGGTAAGTGTGAGTCTCAGCACAGGGGAAGCCCAGGGAGCCCCCAGCCCCGGCACCACCGAGGAAGGCAGAGCTGCTGAGCCTGACAAGATGGAACAGCCGCCTTTACCCCGACACCACCCAGGATGGCAGAGCTGCTGAGCCTGACAAGACGGAACAGCCACCTGCACCCCGGCATCCTCACCCCACACCCACACCTCTTCATCCCATCTAAGACTTTGGACCCAGTAAGGCCAGAGTTAAATTCTCTACCAGCCCAGAGTCTCTAAAAGCAACATGGTGAAGAGCATGCCATCCTGTGTGTGGACTCTGCTCCTGGCTCTGATGCCTACAAACTGGGTGACCCTGCCCCACTCACTTCAGCATGCGTACCTCAGTTTTCCCACCTGTAAGATGGTGGTAACATTAGTCTCCTCTTTATCTGTGATGGCTTAGCCTGGCACGAAGTGAGCTCTAAGGAAACGTTGGCTCTTATGGGGACTTCAATCCAAAATCAAGGTGAGCCATAGGCAGTAACACTCTGCCACGTTTCCTATAAAGTTAGGTTAGTAGACTGAGCCCCACTCACCCGCACTGTACCAAGCGATCTGGGGACCCTAAGGGCCTCAGACCCGGGAAGCCATTAGTAAGACACGTTTGCAGCGCACTCCGGAAGGGATGTCCATTTGCCCAACTTTAAGGGATGTCTTCTGTGTAAGTAATTAGAGACACCCGTGAGGGGAGATGCCTGACTTAATTAATATTTTCTTATAATTGACAAGGAAGTTTTCAGGCAGGAGGAAAAATAATAACCTTGATGTCAGAGACTGGGCTGGTGTGGCGAATGGATGCGGGTTACCCTGACTCTTAATTAAGGCAGATTTTACGGTGGGGTTGGGGCAAGCACCTCTGTGGATTCATTTAAAGTAAAATTTTGACAGGCAGGAAGAACTGAAGAGGTCTTGCAGTGCGCTCCTACAAAGCTAAAGGGGCCAGTGTGGCATTCCCGCAGGAGGAGGGGATATTCAGAGACCAGGCTGCGAGCAGCATGGACATTAGAATCAACATCTCAAGTGTTTCCAGAAAACAGCGGCTTTTAGAGGAGCTAGAAACTGCTGCCACTGAGAGTCGCCACTCACCCTTGGCCAGCACATGGGAATCCTTGCTTCTAGTCTTAGGGCAAACTTCTCTCTCTGCTACGTCCAGGATGCAATGACTAATGGCTGTGTCAGGAAAGGAGAAGTAGGAAGCAGGGAGCCCTGTTCTGCCTGGCTCCACACAGGTGAATGCAGCTGAGGAGCAGCTCCACGGCTGCCTCTGGCCATCCCTGTGGTCCAAGCAGACCACTCACTGGGGAAGCAGCAGCAATGTCTGAAGGAGGCATGGGTGCAAAGGGTATCTCTGGCTCTGTGAAGTGAGGGTAGGAGGGAAGGGGGCCTGGGGCACGACCTGGATGCTTTGACCTTTGGGCTGCCGAAAGAAGGTTGAGCGCGTGGACTTCTAGACTGGAAAGAGGGGGGACCACTAATCCTGGAGGCAGGAGCTGGGGCACAGCCACTACAACTGGCCAGAAAGGCCATGTTGACACAGGTGGGGGTGGGCCCTCACCTCTGCCACAGGTCACCATCCTTGAGTTATTTCCTGTAAGACGGCATAGAGATGGCATTTCCAGTGGTGCCCCTTACTCCACACTCCAGCTCAAGGGAACATTTTCACTGAATAATGTGTCAAGAGCCAGATTTTAAGTAAATTTCTTTCATCTTTCCTAAGTTGCGTACCCACATTAGCCTAGCAAATATATAACTGGGAAACACGCAATGTCCGTTAAAACACACACTGCTCAAACTTCATCATGCAGACATAGATACAAAATGCTCAAAATCAAAAAACCTTATGTTGTCAGATATTAAACTTATTTTGGACCTAAGATCAGGGCATTGATAAATAAATAATCCCAAGACTTTCTCCATTTTAAATAAAAAAAATTAGAAAAGGGTCTCTGCTATTTCCTCTTAACTGAAGGATTAAGAGAAAAGAAAAAAATGTATCATGAATTGGAGTAATCCAGAAGGAAGCCTTGAAGATAGAATACCTTAAGCCACATCTCCAAAACCGAGCTAAGATAGAGAACAAAAGGACATCAGGATTTGTTCTTAAAAGTAAGAGAACATGGGCCAGGCACGGTGGCTCACGCCTGTAATTCCAGCACTTTGGGAGGCCGAGGCGGGTGGATCACGAGGTCAAGAGTTTGAGACCAGCCTGGCCAATGTGGTGAAACCACGTTTCTACTAAAAATACAAAAATTAGCTGGGCATGGTGGCACACACCTGTAGTCCCAGCTACTCAGGAGGCTGAGGCAGGAGAATCGTTTGAACCCGGGAGGCAGAGGTTGCAGTGAGCCGAGATCCACCATTGCACTCCAGCCTGGGTGATGGAGTGAGACTCCATCTCAGGAAGGAAAAAAAAAAAAGTAAGAGAACATAACTTATGCCTGCTACCAAAAATACTGCTGTGTGAGTTGGAGATGGTGCTTTTGGGGTCTTGGTCACAGAACTTGCAGGAAAGGATTATTTTTCCTTTTCTTCCTTTGAAACAGTGAAGGTAAACAACCCATTGCCTTCCCACCAGCATGTTCACAAAAGGTGTGGAGTAGATGGATGAGTGGGTGGACAGATGGATGGATGGATGAATGGGTGAGTGGGTGAGTGGATGGATGGATGGATGGATGGATGGATGGATGGATGGATGAAAACACACCATCTATGCAGGAAGCTAGGCTCCAAATCTCTATGAGCTGTCTAATTATTGAGACATATGTTAAGGATAGTTCATCTTTAACTATCTTTATATATCAGTGTTCACAAACATTTTCTCAACAAGTGACAAGTGACAGGCTTTGCTGTTAAGGGGGAGTGTTTATCCAAGTCTTATGACTACATCAGGCCATAAGAACTCATTTTACAGCCCTCAGCAGATGTGCACACAAGTAAACAAGAGTTCTATCAACTCCTACCCCTACTCCATGAGTGTCTATCCCTGTACATGATTTCTACCCCTGTCCATGAATGTCTACCCCATCCATGAGTGTCCACCCCATCCATAAGTGTCCACCCCATCCATGAGTGTCCACCCCATCCATAAGTGTCCACCCCATCCATGAGTGTCCACTCCATCCATGAGTGTCCACCCCATCCATGATGTCTACCCCATCCATGATGTCTACCCCTATCCATGATGTCTACCCCTATCCATGAGTGTCCACCCCATCCATGATGTCTACCCCTATCCGTGATGTCTACCCCATCCATGAGTGTCCGCACCATCCATAAGTGTCAACCCCTACGCATGACATCTACCTTATCCATGAGTGTCCACTTATATCCATGAGGGTCCACCCCATCTGTGAGTGTGCACCCCATCTGTGAGTGTGCACCCCATCTGTGAGTGTCTACTCCTATACGTGAGGGTCCACTTCTATCCATGAGTGTCCACCCCTATTCATGGATGTCCACCCCATCCATGAGTGTCCACCCAATCCATGACTGTCCACCCCATCCATGAGTGTCCACCCCTATCCATGAGTGTCCACCCCTATCCATGAGTGTCTACCCCTATCTGTGAGTGTCCACCCCATCCATGAGTGTCCACCCCTATCCATGAGTGTCCACCCCTATCCATGAGTGTCTACCCCTATCTGTGAGTGTCCACCCCATCCATGATGTCTACCCCATCCATGAGTGTCCACCCCATCCACGAGTATTTGCCCCTATCCATGAGATGTCTTCTGGTATTTTCTATTTCATATTATTCTATTTCATTTTTCACGTAAGTGCTGGTCATGATCTACTAAGTTGATTTAAAAACCCACCAATGGTTTGCAACCCACAGTTTTAAAAGCAGTGCTGTAGAGGACACAAAAGGAAGATGCTGGATCTCCTTGTGTCGGAGGAAGGCCAGCAAGATGCCCACGAACTAATGGGCCCGAGCCTGTGTGCTCAACAGAGGTCTCCCCACTGATGTGAGAAACAGTTCTGACACCAAGAGAAGAGAAAGGGATGAGCAGAAAGGTGGATCTCAAGGCTGGATACCCACGTGGTTGATGTCTGGATGTGGGCTCTGTAAGAATGGGGCAGAGGCTCAGCCTCCCTGCCTGCACCAGCCATCCTGAAGGGCAGGCATCATTCATGCTTCCCAGGGAGAAAACTGAAGCTGAGATCAAGCACTTGACCTGCTGGAGGCAAACACCCGCTAAGCATGGCCCCCTGTCAGGCATTAGTCCTGAGCCGTGCCATGACCCAGGACAGGGAGATGGGCTGGACAGCTTTACTGGGCAGGTGACAGTATGACCAAGGTGGTACACTGGGGTTGTGAGGCTGGAGGGGGCAGTGGGATGTACAGTTTGGCCAGAGTCCTTCTCTTCAGTGCCTGTCTCACCAGAGGTGTTCGACAAACACCTGTGGATGGACAGGTGGGTGCATGGGTCGGTGGATGGATGGGTGGATGGATGAGTAGGTAGGTGGATGGGTTGTTAGAGGGATAGATGGGCAAATGGAGGGATGGAGGGATGGATGGGGAGATGAAAGGGTGGATGGAGTAATGTATGGGTAGATGGAGGGATAGATGGGTGGATGGATGGGTGGATGAAGGGGTGGATGGAGAGATGAATCGGTAGATGGAGGAATGGATGGGTGGATGGAGGGATAGATGGGTAAGTGGATGGGTGGATGGAGGGATAGATGGGTGGATGGAAGGATGGATATGTGAATGGAGGGATAGATGGGTGGATGGATGGTTGGATAGAGGGATGGAGGGATGGATGGGTAGATGGAGGAATGGACAGATAAATGGATGGATGGATGGAGGGATGGATGGATGAATGGATGGATGGATGGGTGGTGGATGAGTGGGTAGAGTGATGGGCAGATGAGTGAATGGATGGGACAGCAGAGGTTCTCCAGGGCTTGGGTGATAAGTGAGAACACAGTCCTCTGTGGCTCCCTTGCTTCAGGACTTGAAGAAGGCATTAGGAGCTCTCTCCTCCCCAGCCCCTTTCTCCACCCCCCACCAGCCTGCATCCCCACTGTCCCAAGTGGCTGCATCTTTCTCTCTGCAGCCTTTGAAGCTGAGATAGAGAGCCCTGCAGGCCTGGTGGGGCTCCCACTTCAAAGAGCCTGGCACTCTGGGATTTCCCATCCATGTGAACCCAGAGGCACTGGAGTGCTAATGGGGAAACTCCAGACCAGGATGGGGGGGCAGCAGCCCTGAGAAGAGGGGGTTCCCAGGCAACACAGGGCTCCCTGGATTGCCATGGGCCCCCTCAAAGGTGAGAGATTTTCCTGGGGGTTCAGGGGCAGAGTGGCCCCCAAAAAGACTCCCAAAGAGACGTCATCCTAGGGAGGGGGTGAAAAGACTTGGTGAGACCTTCTCCCTCCTTGCTTGCTTCATTCATTCATTCATTCATTCATTCATTCATTTATCCATTCATGTATTCAGACCTTTCCCGAGGCCGCTATCCTGGCCTCTGGACCTCTCTAGCTCTCAGCCTCCAGGACATTGGGCAAATGCCATAGTACCTCCTGAACATCCTCGGTAAGTTGGGTTTTTGTGTTTGTTTTTCAAGGACTAGCACCGTGCCAGGTGTGGCTTGTGGTGCAATTCCTTGTCCAGTATCACCTGGGCCCATGGTTCTCGGGTACATGCCAGGGCCCCCTCCAATGTGACCCCTGCAAACCTTCAGAAGCGAGGGGCCTGCGGCTGTCACACATGAGGTGCTCACCCACCTGCTCGCCTGCATGCCGCTGCAGAGTCCCAGCTCCCTCTCCAGCGGCATTTGCGGAGCCCAGGTTCACTGCGGATGGGCTTGAGGGTGAGCCCAGGGTGGGTGAGGGGAGGGCTCCAGGGAGCACCCATGCAGATCTTGTCGGCAGCACAATTCTGACGTCATGTAAGGTCTTACAGAGTGAAGGATGTTGTTGCCTTTAAGGAGCTGTTTCCTCCCCTCTGCAAGCCATGGATTCGGCATGGAGCCAAGCTGGCGGCACTGGAGTTGGAAGCCTAGTTTCTCAACCCGGCTTTCTCCCATCCTCCAGTGGGATTCAGGCACTGCTTTCCCCCGAGCCACCTTCTTTTGTCCCACCTCACAGGCTGCTTCCAGGTACCCCCTCCACACCCCCACCATCCATGGGGGAGAGGGGTCTCCAGTCCCCTCGGTATCCCTGCCTGAGCCAGTTCACACTGTGTCCAGGCCACGTGATTTCTTTTTCTTATTAAAACAAAATTTCAGAGGCTCCTGTTCAAAGCACTTCCTCTATGATGCAACGTTCTCTTCTTCAATAGGTGAAGGAGCCGGAAATGCCTCTGCCTCTGTGGGAGGTACAGCTGGCACACACTTCTTTATGGAAAGGGGGGTGCCAGGTGGCCTCCAGCCAGGCCTGGCCTGCAAGCATGGAAGGGCATGAAGGGAAGGGTGTGAGGGATTGGCCATCAGGAGAACCCTGGGGAGAAACCTGTTATTTATTTATTTATTTTTGAGACAGAGTTTTGCTGTTGTTGCCCAGGCTGGAGTGCAGTGGTGTGATCTCATCTCACTGCAACCTCTGCCTCCCAGGTTCACGTGATTCTCCTGCCTCAGCCTCTCAAGTAGCTGGGATTACAGGCGTGCACCACCACATCTAGCTAGCTAATTTTATATTTTTAGTAGAAATGGGGTTTCACCATGTTGGTCAGGCTGGTCTCAAACTCCTGACCTCAAGGGCTCCACCAGCCTTGGCCTTCCAAAGTGCTGAGATTACAGGCGTGAGCCCCCGTGCCCAGCCAAGAAACCTATTTTAAATGCATATCGACGGGATAGGAGACAGAGGGAAACAGGAACGTCTGGAGGTAAAAGACCCAAAACCAAGTGGGGGCATTCGGCTGCCCAGTCCCAGGTCTACGTGACAGCCGCCTCCTGCTGAAGGCTTCCTCGCCCACAGCAGCCCACTCAACCCCTCTGCACCCTACAGGACTTAGTATCTGAACTCCCAATCACAGCAAAATGCCTGCAGGGGCATCCTGGGCCCACCAGCCCCCAGAGCATTTTGTGAGGCCGACCCCAAGCCCACACTGTTGCTTGATGCCTACAGCTACAAGCCGGTGCTGTCATCCCTGTTTTACTGACAAGGAGACTGAGGCCAGCCAGAGAGCAGCAGAGCTGGGAGCCCCACCCAGCCTCACCCCTGAGCCAGTGCACTGACAGGGTGTCCTCACCCACACCAAGGACAGACACCGGGGTGCCCCGAGAAACGAAGGTGACTCAGACGCAGCCACTGTGGAGCCCGCGTGCAGGAAATGTTCACTATTTGTTTACATTTTGCCCTAAATGTTTGAGTCTGTCAGAAGAGTTAAGTGATTGTAATTTCCTGATGTAATGAAATGTTATGTAGCCACAGGGAGCTATGTCCACTTACCAAGTTGGCAGATTTTTTTTTTTTCTTTTTCTTTTTTTTTTTTTTTTTTGAGAGCGTCTCTCTCTGTCACCAGGCTGGAGTGCAGTGGCGTGATCTCGGCTCACTGCAACCTCCGCCTCCCAGGTTCAAGTGATTCTCCTGCCTCAGCCTCCCGAGTAGCTGGGATTACAGGCGTGCACCACCACACCCAGCTAACTTTTTTGTATTTTTAGTAGAGACGGGGTTTCACCATGTTGGCCAGGCTGGTCTTGAACTCCTGACCTTGTGATCCGCCCCCCTCGGCCTCCCAAAGTGCTGGGATTACAGGCATCAGCCACTGTGCCCAGGCAGAGAATTTTAAAAATATAAAACCCCAGTGTTAGGAAGGAGGGGAGAAACAAGCACCCCCAGAAAGTGCAACCAGAAGTATAAATTGTTCACATTCTGGAGGCCAACTGAGGATATGTACAAAAATACTTAAAGTATTCACATACAATGGCTCAACAGTTCCTTTTCTAGAAATGTATCCATAGATCCTAAAGAAACGGCCACAGTTACACTGACAAGGACGTTCACTGCAGCATCTTAACAATAGTGAGACATGGGAAATACTCCACAATAGGAAGCAGGATAAATAAATGATCACACGTGCAATGAAGTACCAGGAGGACGTTACAGTGACATAGAACACTTGATAACATGAAAATGTGAGTGATAAAACTAAATTACAAAACAACATTGTGAGATGATCTCATTTACAAATAAAATTCCTAGAATGTGCCATAAACCCAGGATAGATGGCAAGGTTAAAAATGTGTTTCTTAGTCACGGATAAGTTTTTCTTCTTTTTTGATTGTTTTAATTTTCTAACTTTTCTACAGTGAAATCATCTTATTTCTAAGTAAGAAAAATGGCATTTTACATATTTTTTAAATTAAAAGTGGTTTTAATGACCTGGCGTAAAACCTTTTATCAGACACATAAATATGAAGAAAAAAAAAGAGTCCAAAATACAATGATGCATGTAATCTAAACTACGCAAAACAAATGCTATATGTATATTTAACACATACCTGAACACACAGCTATCAGAAGATAATATTTCAAAATATTAATGATGATTTTCTTGGGTGCTGGGATCATGGTTGTTTGTTTTTCCTTTTCATCTTTCTGCAGTTTGTAAAGATTATGCAATGAACATTTGTTGCTTTAAAATCAGGAAGCAATTATTTCTGTTTTGTGTGTGGTAGAATATGCAGTACGTAACATAAAACTGTGTCCACCGTTTTTAAATGTCCGTCACAGTGGCACTAAGCACATCACACTGTCGTGCTCTCATCACCACCATCCCTCTCCAGAAATTTTCTGTCACCCCAAACCGAAACTCTGCACCCACTAAGCAAGAACTCCCCTTTCCCCTCCTGCTGTCCGTGGTAACTACCTTTCTTCCACCTGTCTCTCTGCATTTGACTACTCTAGGGACCTCTTACACATGGACTCACACAGCATTTGCCCTTTTGTGACTGGCTTATTGCATTTATAGTAATGTCCTCAAGGTTCATCCATGTTGTAGCCTGTGTCAGAATCCCCTTCCTTTTTAAGGGTGAATAATATTCCTCTGTGTGTGTGTGTGTGAGTGAGAGACATTTTGTGTGTCCATTCTTCTGTGGGTGGACCCGTGGGTTGTTTCCACCTCTTGGCTATTGTGAACAATGCTGCTAGGCACGTGGGTGTGTTACAGACCCTGCTTTCACTTCTTCTCGGTTTATACCCCCAGTTGGAATTACTGTATTGGATGGTAATTCTGTGTTTACTGTTTGAGGAACCGCAGCTGTTCCCTTTTGTATTCTCACCAGCAATGCATGAAGTTTCCAGTCTCTCCTCAAACCTTATCAACACTTGTTATTCTCTGGTGTTTCGATCATAGCCATCTTAATAGATGTGAGTGGCAGCTCACTGTGGTTTTGATTTGCGTTTCTCCAATGACTGGTGATATTGACATCTTTTCTTGAGTTTATTGGCCGTTTGTATTTTTTGTTGTTGTTGAGAAATGCCTATTCAAGCTCTTTGCCCATTTTTAAACCGGTTCTTTGTTTTTGTTGCTGTTGTTGAGTCCCAGAGTTCTTTACATATCTTGGATATTTGTCCCTCATCAAATATATGATTTGCAAATACTTTCTGCCATCCCGTGGGTTCAAATTTATCTATTTTTTCTTGTGTTGCCTGCACTTTTGGTGTGATATCCAAGAAATTATTGCCAGGCCTAGTGTCATAAAGCTTTTTCCCTGTTTTCCTCTAACAGTTTTATACTTTTAGCTCTTACGTTTTGGTCTTCACTCCATAACAGTTTTGTTGGTTAAACCCCCTTCCTTCATTTCTGTCTGTACCTGACTTTTTTCTGTCACCAATACTTAGAAGAATGAATGGGCTAATTCCCCAGTATCTCCGAGCTTGCGAATGAAGAAGCAAGGTGTGGCTGCATTTGGTCTTGCCAGGGCTGTGGACTGTCAGACATAGCTGGGGTCCTGTCCCTCCGCCCTCACCCACAGCCCCAGGGCCACATGCTGTCACCACCCCTGGGAGTCCACCTGCATTTCCCCACAGCTGGACAGGGTCCTATTCTCTGCCTCCTCTGCCCCACACTTCAGCCTTGGTGCTTCTCTTCAGAGGTCAGTTCTAGGCATTTCACACTGAAGAGGGAGTAAAACAATGCTGGTCAGAAAGGCAGATTCTTCCTAACTCTTCACTTCTGGTTAATATGATAACATAGAGCCCATCAGAAGCTTGGGGACCTGGAGCGCTAATGGAGGTGAGCGTGGGCAGTGTGGCAGACAAGGAGGGGGGTGTCCTTGAGGCCAGAGCAGCCCAGGTGCAGGCAGAGGAGGGAAGCAAGAAGAACATGAGCACAAAGGCCCTCGCTGGCTGCCTGGCAGAGAGCACCGGACATGGCGGCGCCCACCCAAAGCCACGCCCCTACCACTGGACGTGTTGCTGTAGAAGAGGCTGCTGCCCCGGGCTTTCCAGACCCCCTGCCCTGTGGGGCGTGTGCCGGCGGGTGTGACATGGTTTGGATCTATGTCCCTGCCCCAATCTCATGTGGCGTTGTGACCCCAGTGTTGGAGGCGGGGCCTGGTGGGAGTGACTGGATCCCGGGTCGGTTTCTCCCTAGTGGTTTAGTGCCATCCCCTCGGTGCTGATCTCCCAACGGTGAGTGAGTTCTCCTGAGATCTGGCTGTTTGAAGTGTGTGGCACCTCCCGCCTCTCTCCTGCTCCTGCTCCTGCCATGTAAGGCGCCTGCTCCCACTTCGCCTTCTGCCATGATCAGAAGCTCCTTGAGGCCCTCCCCAGAGGCAGAAGACACCTTGCTTCGCATACGGCCTGGGGACCAAGAGCCAATTAAACTGCTTTTCCTTATAAGTTACCCAGTCTCAGCTATCGTTTATGGCCATGCTAGAAGGGACTAACAAAGGGAATGAGCATAGCGGTGTGCAGTGCTCCCAGCTGCATGGCTCAGAAGAGGCTGTCCCCTGCTCTACAGCACCACACAGCTATAGGAAGGAAGAAGATGGGATCCCTGAATGCCACAGGTGGCTCAGCTTCCCACTGTAGGGACACCTGCATCGTGCACTGACACAAGCAATACGTAAGTTCCCGTGGTGTCAAGCAACTGGGATTTGGAGGTTTGTGTTGTTTCCAACAGCTGCTAGCATTATCCTAATCCATAGCACAGGCCAGCAGTCACCATAGTACTGGTCAGCAGACTGTCCGCAAGGGCTGGGAAGACGGACTCCTCCTCTAAACTTCTCCAATCATGAAGACCTCAACTTTCAGGCATCACCATGAACACAAAAGCAAAATGACACATCCAACCTCAGCTGGCTGGAAAGATGGCTGAAACTAATAACTAGTGAAATCTATTAGGCTGGAAATGAGAGCGAGGAGAAATAAATCAGGCGCTAATTACGGGCTGTTCCAGGGAGTGGAGGAGCAGAGGCTTCGTGGGCAGCAGAGCCCTGCCCAGCCAGGCACCTTTGCATGGACTCTTCAATCATACCTCGGGTCTCACAGTGCTATTATCTTAATTATGCACTGAGGACTTGGAGTTTCCTTGAAATATAAATGAGCGTGTCCCATCTAACTATTAAATGCTAGAATAGTTCAACCATTTTCTCAAAACTGTTAATACTCAGAGGAAGAAAGTGCTGCCATTTCTTATTAATTCTGACTTCATTGCTTACATTGAAGCCAAGTACCTGGGCAAGGAGAGAGGGTTGTTAATTCCAAATAGTCTTTGAAAGTCACCGAGACCACTTCCAAACATCCCAGATAGAGGCTGAACGAGAATAAAATGACCCTGACTTTCAAATGCGGACTTTTCCATTTAATTATCAATCCTATTGATATGAATAATAAAGAATATGAAGAATAACAGACAGCATTTGTTAAGTATTTACTATGTGCAAAGCTCCATGCCAAGTGTCTTACACCTATTATTTAATCCTGAGCAACACCAAACATGGATTTTATTATCCGCATTTTGTGCATGAGAAACCTGAGACCCAGAGGGGTTGAATACCTTGTTCAGATTGCACAGCAGAAGCAAGATTTACACAAAGCTCTGACTCCAAAGTCTATGTTGTCAGCCAGGACCCCCAGATATCCTTAACACTTGTGGTTCTGTGGCCCACAAATAGCTCTTCCTTGAACCATAGAGATGCTGCATTAAACACAATCTAAGCAGGATTCTTTCTGCAAGATTTTTCAGAGCTTTACCATACAAATATGCATTTTGAGTCTGCGAACAGGGCCGTGCTGCCTGTCACAGATGCACTGGACTAGAAACCTTCAGTGTTTTTTTTTTTTTTTTTAGACAGTCTCGTTCTGTCACCAGGCTGGAGTGCAGTGGCACGATCTCAGCTCACTGCAACCTCCGACTCCCTGGTTCAAGTGATTCTCTTGCCTTAGCTTCCTGAGTAGCTGGGATTACAGGCACGTGCCACCACATTCAGCTAATTTTTTTTGTGTGTGTGTTTTTAGTAGAGACAGCGTTTCACCATGTTGGCCAGGATAGTCTCAAACTCCTGACCTCGTGATCCACCTGCCTCGGCCAGCCAAAGTGCTGGGATTACAGGTATGAGCCACCATGCCCAGCCTAAACCTGCAGCGTTTTCATTGCAGTCTGCATGCTGCCCACCACCAAAGGTGCAGAAGAGTGCAGGGTAGGAGAGGGCGTGCAGTCTTCACAGGGACCTGCCTGCCATGGTTCTTGGGACCCCGAAACTCAGGAGGAGCCAGAGAGCAGTGTGTGTCCCTCTGGCTGGAGCCGACTTGGCACCTCTTGGCTGAGTTCCCTGCCCAAGGAGTGGGATAGGGGTGCCGATTCTGAGCCTCCATGCTGCCTCGTACAAGGGATGTGACTCAAGCAGTTAATGAGCCCTCTTGACCCCGGCTTCCGCATCTGCAAAACACGAGTGACGCCCTGGGTCGCATGCAGGGTGGGTGTAAGGACGGATGGAGTTGATCGATGCCGGGGCCTGGGTCACCCCTTCTGCCATTCTGGAAGCAACCATGACCCTCGGGGCACCTGCTTCTGCTGCCCCCACTTTCCCGTGGGACACCTTCCTTGTGTGTTTATTTCCTCCGCTTTCAGCCCAGAGACATGGACTTCGGCAGTGCCTTGAGCCAGGGAGCAGGAGGCCAGGTTCCAATTGCTGCTTGACACTTGCTGGCCTTGAGACTGCAGCGAGGCCTTCCGAGTGCCCCTCGTGGGACCCCCGAAGTGCAGGGGGTGAGAGCCCACACTGTCCAGTGTTCCCCGGCCACTGGCATTCTGTTTCCTGAGAAGGGTTTTGAGGCTCTTCGAAGCCGATCTTCCTAGATGAGAAGAACTGGAGGTGTCTCATGACTGAGGCCTTCAACCATACACACAAATGATCGGCCTCAACAGAAGACCACGGCTGCCCTCAGGATGCACACGGGCCCCGGTGGGTGTGAAGCTTGCTGCTTCATAGCCACCCAGACACCCTCCTTCCTCCTTACTGGGGACCTCCTCTGGCTGGAGCAGCCTTTTGAGGAGGCAAATTCCTGTCTGTGGCTGGGAAGTTTGGAAGGTGGCTCATCTTCACTCACTTCCAGGTGGGGCGGATGAAGGGCTGAGAAACACTGGAGTCCAGATGAACAAAGTCTCGCTCTGGATAACGGGCGCAGCGGTCGTTACTCACCCTCGATGTTTACCTGCAGCAAGCAGTTCTGTTTCACTCAAGGATCTGGGCTCTCTGAAAGATCTGATAAACCGACTCTACGATTGTGGTAGGGACAGTGCCAAACATCAGGGTGAAAATCATGAGATTTTCCTACAGACAATTTTAACTGTTTCCATGCTCCCACCTTCCAGCAGAAAAATATAAACATCCACATGTGTGCAATTCACAGAAAGAAGGCTTTGGGCAAAATATCATTGTTCAGCTAATACCTGCAGAACCCTGTCTGTGCAGAGCCCTTGGATAAGGCTTTCCTGGGGGGGGGGGATTAATTCTTCTCAAATAATTACGGTGAGACCAGTGGCCATCCCTGAAGCCACCTGACACCTCCACCTCTGGCTTGTGCCCTCCTTGTGTTCAAAGTTCCCAACGTGTGAGCCGAGAAGAGGCCACAACTGCCTCTCAGACTTTCTTAAGGATCCTTCCCTGGCCCATCCTACCCAGCGCTCACTGTCCTCAGGCATAAAGCACAATAAAAACGCACCTTCACTGGGCCAAGTTTTAGAGAAAGTAAAGGATGCCCTGTCCTGAGGCCATGGTATAAACTAGTGACTACACAGAATCTGTCTGGTCCCAAGGATCCCCCTTCCCTGGCCCCTGCCTTCCCTAGTCCCAGCATTGCTGAGACCCCCAGTTTGCAGATACCTCTCAGTGCCTGTAACCCCACCTCAAGTCCCTGTGAGCTCAAGAAGTGGCTGGTTATTTCAGCCAACTGATCCAGTGGGAATCTGGACCAATCCCACCACCCTGTGTAGTCAAGGCAGGGTAGTGGGATTGGAATGAATTAACTCAAGGTGAATGAAAACAGATCCCAGATAGGATGCTGCTGTGAAAATATGCATGTTTGAATGCAGGCTCATGCCCCTGCTTTCCATGCTCAGCAGGTACTCTTCACATCGGTGATGTTGTTGTTTTGGGAGGGGGGAGACTGTTGATTTTTCTAATTACATAAACAAACCATGCTCCTTGCTGGGAAAAAAATGAAAAAAAAAAACCATACAAGAAAATACCTCTCCTGAATCCATCTTTAGAAAATTACTTTGATTTTTGAAAATACAAATGCTTTGCATTGTGGAAGTTCCTCTTTCCTCCTAAAGGAAAGCAGCCTGGTGGATCCGGCTTGAAATGATCCAGATTCCCAGAGGAGGCGCACAGCTTCAGTCCAGTCGCTCTGCCCAGCATCCCCACAGCTCTGCCGGCAAGGTTACAGCATGCCCAGGACGGGTGGTGTCCACGGACATGGGCAGAACAGAGCAGAGAGTTCCAAAAGGAAGTGGGAGTGCTCTGGAGTAGGGTTGCCCTGAGCCAGCTGTTGTTTCCCCAGCTTCCCCGTGGGACTCTCACCAGGAGCAAGCAGCCCTGTCCCCAGGTTCATTCCCCCAGGGCCTATCCGGAAAGTGGGTGCCCCAAGGAGTCAGTGGAGGATGCAACGACGTTGAGACCCACCAGGCAGGCCTCCTGCAGGAGGAGCGTGCCCTGTGTCTGGGGGGCCCAGGGGCTGCTGTGGCCGGGGTTCCTGTCTGGAGGCGACAACACAACGGGGGACAAGAAACAGGGAGGCCGACCCCGAGCCCTGCCTCCTGAGAAACTCTCCTGCTCTCTGTGCTGAGAAATCTTTGAGGCCTAACTTCTTACCCCAGCAAGGTGTAGGGATCCCATCGCGAGGCACACCGCCGAGGCCAGGCCACAGATAATTGCACCTGAAAGATGTGCGGGGGCTTTGACTCCGGGCATCAATGTTCCATTTGGCCGCCTGGGCGCATCCATTATTCGTGGTAATGACAACCATAACTTCTACGGGGCTTTTCATCTTCAAACCACTTTACAAATACGGTCTGTTTAATTCGAACTGCAGCTTCCCTCTCTCCATCCAAGTGCATTCGCCCTGGCTCCAGGTGCACAGGCAGGGTGCAGACCGAGCTTCTGTGGAAACCAAGCCGCATCCACCAGGCTGCTTTCCTTTAGGGGCAAAGCGGAAACTTTCACCATGCAAAGCATTTGTATTTTCAAAAATCAAAGTAATTGCCTAAAGATGGATTCAGGAGAGGTGTTTTCCTGTATTTTTTTTTTCATTTTTTTCCCAGCAAGGAGCATGGTTTATTTATGTAATTAAAAGGAAAAATCAACAGTCTCCCCACCCCCAAAACAACAACATCGCAATTGTGAAAGTACCTGCTGAATATGGAAACTATGTACGTGATCCTGCATTCAGAAATGTGTATTTTCAAAGCAGCATCCTATCTGGGAATCCATTTAACTCACCTTACTCATTCCAGTCCCACTACCCTGCCTTGACTAAACAGGCCTGTGAACAGTAATACCCACCCGTGGACTTCCGTTCTGCCATCCCAAATCCCGGAGACAGTGGGTGCTAGGTCAGCCCCTGGGTGCTGGGGAGAATGAGTGCCTCAGGAAGGTGCTGGGGTGGGGAGGGCGGTGCCAGGGGAGGGTGAGGGAGTGCAGGGGGGAGAAGGGATGGATGGAGGGTCCCTTCGCCTCCCAGGAAGGGAGGAGCTGGGCTGGGCTGGGGTGGGTTGGGCTGGGGGTACCACCCTTCCTTCCCTGCACCCATCCAGGAATCCGGAGTCTGCTCAGCCCCGCATCTCACCCCACCCATACCGTGCAGAGTGCAGGGCAGCTGCCGATGCCTTCGGCAGAGCGCCTGGCTTCCGGTGCTTAGCGTGAGAAATGTTCTTTTTGGTGATAGCATCTCGACATAAGGTGTTTTTGGAAAACGACAACACACTCATTTTCCTTTCATCATGTCTCAGTCAGGATGGCCCCGGGACTTCACGCACACGGGGGACCTTGGATCATCCGCTGTAGGATCCATACCGGCGAGCACCCCAAGAAGTCAGCGTGCCGCCTGAGGCGAGGGTCCCCAGGGACGCCCCCAGGCACCGCCAGGTGCCACCCCCGCCCTGTGATTGGACGGCAGGGGCTCTGCTGGCTGTCACTCAGCCAGGTCCTGGGAAGCCCCGATACTCAGGCTCCGGGTATGGCGGCTGCCCTGGGCCCTCTGCTCTCACTCTGCGGTTACCTCTCACCCACCGCGACATTAATCCTTCCCCAGCAAGAAGAAGAAACGCTTCCCCAAAATAAAACCGTTCACTCAGATTCAGGTCATCATCACCAAAATGCCTGTGCACTCTGCGCCCGAGGCCTGGGACACCCGGCTGCAGGCAGCCCCCCAACCCTGTCCCTGTCTGGTCTGGTACAGGTGTGTCCCCAGGCCAGTGACCTCTTACCTGCCTAGCCCACCTCAGTGGACTGGCCTTGCTTCTTCTTGCCTCTTTCCATGTTCCTGGACCAAAGCACTGAGGACCGGTCTAGATGTGGGCTCTGCCCCAAGGGAGGTGGGGCAGCCTTGGGGAGGTACCCACTTCCCAGAGCCTGGGCATGTTCCTTTGGGAGGAGAAGGGTAACAGGCAGCACCTCTGATCCCCCTGTCCCCACTGCTACGTGGTCCTACCCCTAACATGAGCTGATCCCTGGGTGTGAACACCTGGACCCTCTGCCCCACTGCCTGGGGCACGTTCCTTTCCTGGGCGGGTCCACAGCTTCACTGGGAGGGAGATGTCCTCCAGGACCACCTGGGGAAGTGGGGGCTCAGTGCACAGAGCAGGAACAGAGGCCACAGGTCTGCCTGGGTCTGGCGATCTCAGGGACTGTGGAAAGAGCCCAGCCAAGCCCCAAATCAGCATCCCAGTGAGTGGTGCCCTGGGAGCCCACGGGCGGCCCCATCGCAGGAGCTCCAGAGGCCATGGGAGCTGGTGTGTGGGAGGGGTGGTCTCCTGTCAGAGAAACTGTGGTGTGGGAAGGAGGAAAAGGAGCTGCGGTCCTGGCAGGCACAGCGCCTCCTGTGCTCCTGTCTCCCGCGGAGTAAGTGGCCATGTCCCTGTGGGAAAGGGAGAAGCTTGAGCCCCAGAGGGGCTTAGTGAAGCCAGCCGCAGGTGCCTATTGGCCTAGTGAGTGAGAGGTGGGCTGTGAGCCCGATGCAGCTGAATGTCGATGGGGGATCTCTGCTGACAGTGACCTGACCCTAGGGCACTGCCAGGGTCTCCAGGGGAGGGGCGGTCTGCACAAAGGGCCACAAGCTGGGGGCTTGAAGCAGTGGACAGTTATTCTCTCAAGCTGGAGGCAGCAGTCCTCGGTCCAGGTGCAGACAACACTGGGCTCCTGCTGGGGGTCCAAGGAGGGTCCCTCTGCCTCTCCCAGAGCTGGTGTTGCTGGCGGCCTCGGCACCTGGACTGGTAGGTGCCTCCCTCCAGCCTCCACCTCCACCCTCCATGGCCTTGTCTCCGTGTCCCCACTGTCTCCCTCTGTGAGTGCCTGTCTCCGAGGGAGCCCCTTCTTATGAGCGTGGCCAGTGTGTTAGATTAGGGCTCACCTTACTGAATTATGATCTCACCCTAATGACACCTGTGACGACCTTATTTCCAAATAAGGTCACATTCACAGATACAGAGTTATAGACATTGATTGTCCTTTGGGAGAGGACACAGTAAACCCACAACAGGCATGGAACAGAGCTCTAATCTCTGCGACGCAACAGAGCCTGGGGGCTCAGCACCAAGGGCAGAGGCAGAAAACCCAGCCAGGGGACAGCCTCTGGGGACACGATGAGAGTTCATTGCTCGGGGGACAAGCCAGGCACTGGGGCTGGGAGAAAGGCAGGCTGCTGAGGACCGGACAGGCACAGAAGCCCGCCCAGCACCTGGGCCAGTGGCAAGGCTGTCCTTCGGCGTGGGGAGCTACACACTTCAGCTGGTCATCTCTCCACCCAGGCTGGAAGGAAAGGCTGAGGCCCGGAGGAATCTGCCTGTGGGGCTAGCTGGGCTCTGCTGGGAGAGAGGTGGGAGACAAAGGCTACCAGGCTGCTACATAAGGGCTGGCCCTCAGCGCTCACGGCCATCTCATGTACAGCAAAAACAAAAGCAACCCCCCTCTTAAGGAAAAGTAGGCTCTGCCCCACGTGCTGTCCAACTGTCCTGTCGTTAGAAAGAGCATGCAGACACGGGCATGCTGTCATGAGAGTCAAGAAGGCAGGTGTTCACAAAGGCTGCGCCTGCAGCTCTTAAACCCATATGGAATAGAGGAGATGGAAAGTAAGCACCCACTGTTTAAAGGGCTTGCTTTTGAGACTAAGGGTATTTTTCCCTACATTTCTCTTCTCTTCCAAGTGGATATTGATGAATATTGTTTTATGGTGAAACATGTTTTATTTTATTTTCCTTTATTTTATCCTGCGTTTTTTTTCAGGGTCTCACTGTAGCCCAGGCTGGGGTGCAGGGGCCTGATGTAAGCTCACTGCAGCCTCAGCCTCCTGGGCTCAAGCAATCCTCTCACCTCAGCCCCTCAAGCAGCTGGGATTATGGGCAAGTGCCACCATGCATGGTTAATTTTTTATTTTTTGTAGAGAAGCGGTTTTGCCGTGTTGGCCAGGCTGGTCTTGAACTCCTGAGCTCAAGCAATCTGCCCGCCCCGGCCTCCCAAAGTGCTGGGATTACAGACATGAGCCACCACGCCTGGCCAACACGCTTTATTTTAAAATCCTCCATTAAATGAAATAATTAGAGAATAAAAAATTCCACTTCAAATAGGCAGAAACTCCTTTTGTTATGCTCTATTTGTTACAAATCTCTCTAAAACGGTGCCTGCATTTTCCTGTAGAAGGAACCTGAAAGCGTCCATGTTGGGTGTTCCCATCGCTGCTGTGAGTCCTGCTAATGCTGACCCTCAGTTACTGCTGACCAGCACTATACATAGGCCGTCGCAGAGGATGAGACCGGCTTGAGGGGCTCTGACCAAAGGGAACCCACTGGGAAGTGTTAAAATAGGACATTTCTGAAGGGCTCACTTGATGTTCTCTTAGAACAGGGCTATGAAGAAAACAGTGACTGATTGTCCCGAGGGGGTTTATTTGTCTGAGTCAAAATTGTGCTTCCTCTGCCCAAGGAAGAGCCTGGTGGGAGGAGGAGGCCCTGGCCTCACTCCCCTTCTTGTCACTAGGATGGGCAGACATGGGGCAAAGCAGCTTCATTTTTCTAGTGTTTAAAGTCTACCACTACCCACATATTGTTCATTTATGTCCATGAATCCCAGACTTAAGAAACTATTTAATTTGATCATGAATTTCTTCCAAGAAATGGCACCTTCCCACAGACCAATGTGTGTCTCTGCCAATGGAGGGGCATGGCAGCGTTTGTGGGGGAGGTGGGCTCCCTCTTGCAGAAATGCCTCGCCCCACTCCTTCTGCCAAATCTTTCCTGGGTACTCCTCTCTAAGTGTGTAAATGGAAGACATTTCTTGCTTTTTAAAGTCTGTACTATATTCATTGCTCAAACATTCTAGGGAAAATCCATTTTCTTATAACGCTAAGGAAAATTCTTAGGGTCAGTCCTGCTTAACAGAAAATGAAGGTGTTCTCTGTGTTACAAGTGAGGAAAATCAAACTTGGAGAAGTGAAAGGAAGTGTCTAGGTGACACTGTGTTGCAAACCCTCATGTAAAACAAATTCTCTGTGGTGCCAATCGGAAGTTGAGGATCATTATTTCACTGAGCAAGGAAGTGATAGTGGAGATGACGACAGCCAGAACTGAGTCTGTATACATAAGGCCGAGAGTAACTTGTTCAAATGAAAAATTAACTGTTTATTTAAAAGTAATTTAATTGCCAGCTGAAAAATTTAGTTTTCTCTCAGGAGGCACACTGGGGGTTGGGTAGGGTGACTGAGAAGTTAAAGCCTGGATGAATCTGCTTTTACTCCTGGAAATAAAATGAGTCACTCCTTTGATTTAATAAGGGAGTGGGGATTTTATAGGTAATGTGTACATAGAAGACAGCCCGAATGAAGAGAATGTCATTTGCATTTTGGCAAGGAGAAGAAGAAAAAGAACAAGGAGAAGAGGGAATTTAGAATGTGACAGTGGCTGGATGAAAGTCCTATGTTTAATTTCTGCAACTTAAAATGTTATTTACTTATGGTTTTCACCAGAGAGCAGATTTATGGATTTTTTAATCTACTTTTCTAATAATGAGCATGTATTAAGTGTATAATTTTTAAAATTCACCTTTAAAATATGCCATTTATTCAGTTAATAACTTTGGAACTTGGAAGAGAAAATGTTCTCAGTAAATTAAACCATAAAGTCTACAGATGAATCAAAATAGATATATGTAAGTTCTCTAAAGAGACAGAAGGTGTCCTGTGGCCTGCAAGATCAGTATGTGATGCAGGCAGTGCACCATGGAGGCACACATCAGTGTGTGATGGAGGCGGGTGCACCATGGAGGTGTACATCAGTGTGTAATGCAGGCGGGTGTACCGTGGAGGCACACATCAGTGTGTAATGCAGGCGGGTGCACCGTGGAGGCACACATCAGTGTGTAATGCAGGCGGGTGCACCGTGGAGGCACACATCAGTGTGTGATGCAGGCGGGTGTACCGTGGAGGCACACATCAGAGTGTGATGCAGGTGGGTGCACCGTGGAGGCGCATATCAGTGCGTGATGCAGGCGGGTGCACCGTGGAGGCACACATCAGTGTGTAATGCAGGCGGTGCACCGTGGAGGCACACATCAGTGCGTGATGCAGGCGGGTGCACCGTGGAGGCACACATCAGTGTGTGATGCAGGCGGGTGAACCGTGGAGGCACACATCAGTGTGTAATGCAGGCAGGTGCACCTTGGAGGCACACATCAGTGTGTGATGCATGCTGGCGTACCATGAAGCCACACATCACTGTGTGATGCAGGCTGGTGCACCGTGGAGGCACACATCAGTGTGTAATGCAGGCGGGTGCACTGTGGAGGCACACATCAGTGTGTAATGCAGGCGGGTGCACTGTGGAGGCACACATCAGTGTGTAATGCAGGCGGGTGCACCGTGGAGGCACACATCAGTGTGTAATGCAGGCGGTGCACCATGGAGGCACACATCAGTGTGTGATGCAGGCTGGTGCACCATGGAGGCACACATCAGTGTGTGATGCAGGCGGGTGCACCGTGGAGGCACATATCAGTGTGTGATGCAGGCTGGTGCACCGTGGAGGCATGCATCAGTTTGTAATGCAGCTGACTGCAACCTCTGCCTCCTGGGCTTAAGTGATTCTTGTGCCTCAGACTCCCAGGTAGCTGGAACTACAGGTGCAAGCCACCATGCCTGGCTAATTTTTTATATTTTAGGTAGAGATGGAATTTCACTATGTTGGCCAGGCTGGTCTCAAACTCCTGGCCTCAGGTGATCTTCCCACCTTGCTCCCAAACTGCTAGGATTACCAGTGTGAGCCACTGCACCCAGCTGTACTCTTTATCTCTAAGTAGTTTTGCCTACTTCAAAATCATGTTCTCTCCTGTGTTTTTTTTTCCTATAAACTTAATGTGGTTTGACCCTGTGCCCCACCCAAATCTCATGTTGAATTGTAATCCCCAATGTTGGGGGAGGGAACTAGTGGGAGGTGATTGGATCATGGGAGTGGATTTCCCCTTTCCGGTCTCATGATTGTGAGTGAGTTCTCACAAGATCTGGTCGTTTGAAACTGTGTAGCACTTCCCCTTTTGCTCTCGCTCTCTCCTGCTGACAGTGAGAAGATGGGCTTGCTTCCCCTTCACCCTTTGCCAGGATTGTAAGTTTCCTGAGGCTTCTGTACAGCCTGCAGAACTGTAAGTCAATTAAACCTCTTTCTTCATAAATTACCTGGTCTCTGGTAGTTCTTTATAGCCGGGTGAGAATGGACTAATACAAAGCTTGATGGCTTTACTTCCTTTTTTTTTTGAGATGGAGTCTCGCTCTGTCGCCAGGCTGGAGTGCAGCGGCACAATCCCAGCTCACTGCAACCTCTGCCTCCCGGGTTCAAGCGACACTCCTGCCTCAGCCTCCCAAGTAGCTGGGATTACAGGCGTGCACCACTACGCCCAGCTAATTTCTGTACTTTTAATAGAGACGGGGTTTCACCATGTTGGCCAGGATGGTCTTAATCTCTTGACCTTGTGATCCACCCACCTTGGCCTCCCAAAGTGCTGGGATTACAGGCGTGAGCCACTGAGCCCGGCCGATGGCTTTACTTCTACTTGTAGATCCTTACTCCATCTAGAATTACCTTTGGGTGTAGTGTAAGGTAAGAGTTGAGGTTTTTTTGTTGTTGTCATTTCCATACGGTTGTCCAGTTGCTCCCACACCATTTATTGAAAAGATCATCTTTTCTCATTTATTGTTTCGGCAACTTTGCCAAAAATCAATTGATTATATATGTGTGGGTCTGCTTTGTGCCTCGATTCTGTTCTATTGGCCTATATTTCTATTGTACACTAATCCCACACTGTTTTCATGACTTCAGTTTTACATTGTCTCAAAATCTGGTAATGTGAGTTTTTCAATTACTTTCCTGTTTTTCAAAATTGCTTTAACTATTTTAAGTCCTTTGCATTTCCATGTAAATTGCAGAATTTGTTTGTAAACTTCTGCCAAAAAAAAATAAGCACGGTTGAGTTTTCATTGAGATTGCACTGAATGTAAGATCAGTTTGGGAGGACTAGAACTCTTCATTATATCAAGTCTTCAAATCTGTGAATACAACCAATCTCTCAACCACTATTGGTCATGTTTAATTACTTTTGGCAATATTATATATTTTTTGTATACAAATCTTGCATGTATTTTGTTAAATTTATCCCTAAACATTTCACATTTTTTATTGTATTAGACATTATGCTCTTAATTCAGTTTCCCATTGTCCATTGCTTATATATTGTAAAAGAAATGGTTTTTATATATCAACTGGTGTCCTGTGGCTTTGGAACACTCACCTATTGGTTTTTTATAGGTTACAAGTATTTTCTATGTACACTAACCTGTCATCTAGGAATAGAGGCAGATTTTCATCTTCCTTCCCAATCTGTGCTTTGTATTTCTTTTTCTTGTCTTACTGCAGTGGCTGTGAATTCTAGTACAACACTGAGGGGAAAATAGTGAGAAGTGACAGTCTTACCTTATTTCTTACCTTAGGGAAAATAAATTCAGTTTTTCACCATTCATTATGTTATCTGTAGATTCTCCATAGATTATCTTTATCAGATTAAGGAAGTTCTCTTAGATCTCTAGTTTTGCTGAAAGTTTTTCTCAATAATGGGCCTTGAAGTTTTTCACATTTTTTTCTGCATCTGTTAAGATAATTATATGATTTCCTTTTGATTTTGATAATACAAGAGTTACATTTATTGGTTTTCACATATTAAACCAACATTGCATTCTTGGTATAAAGCCTATAGAATCATGTTTATTTTCCTTTTTATATTGCTGGTATCATTTGCTCGTGTTTTGCTAAGGGATTTTGTTTCTACATTCATGAGAAATATTAGCCTTCAGATTTCGTTCTTTGTAAAGTCTTTGCCTGTTCTTTTGGGGAAGAGGGGTTCTAATCAGTGTAATATTCATCTCATAAAATAAACTGGGGGGTGTGCCCTCCTTCTCTATTTTTAAAATAGTTTGTGCAAGGTTAGTATTCTTTATCTCTCAAGTGTTTGCTGTCTGGGCCTCATTCCTGCTTTTCAGTAAAGATCAGAGAAAGTGAGGGAGTCATCCACGCTGCTGTTGGAGGAAGAATGCTCTAGGCAGAGAAGGCCGTCAGTGCTGGAACCTTGGGGAAGAGAGCCCCTGACATGTTCCAGGGAAAGCAAGGGGCTCAATGTGGCTGGAATAGAGAGGATGAGAGGGTGAGTGTTGAGGGACAAGGACAGAGATATTGCAGGGAAGGAAACCCTGGAGGGCCTTGTAGATCCTATTATGAACTTGGGCTTTTGTTCTGAGTGGGGTGTGAAGCCATTGGAGGGTGGGAGGCATGATGTGACTTTGTGGATGATCCCTCTGCTGATGGCAGACTGCCAGAGGGCACAAAGCAGCAGGAAGCCCCAATGGGAGCTTCCCTCTGAATGTGGGTGAGAGACCCTGGGATCTGGCCAGGCTGGTGGCAGTGGGAGGGGGAGCAGTTGTTGAATGTGGCTCCATTGTCAAGGCAGATACAGCAAGATTTGCTGACAGACCAGATGTGAAGTGTAAGGGAAAAGGGAGAATCAAGGAGTAGGCCATGGTTTCGGCCTGGAACCCTGGAGTGTTCACCGGCAGAGGCAGGGAGGACTGGAAGGGTCTCAGGTTTTGATATGTTGGGTTTGAGGTGCCGGACATCTCAGTGCGAAATCAGGAAGTGTGTGTGGTGGGAGCTGAGGGGTCTGTGCTGACAATGTGCCTCAGATGTGAGTCCAAGTGGCTCAAAGGAGAGAAGGTGACCGTGGCCAAGGCTGTGTGGAGGACAGGGCCCTGGCAGCAGGACTGAAGTGACGGCGAGGACTCAGCTAAACTGGAGGGACAGTGTTGACCATGGCTATGGGACCAAGAACCACACTGTGGGGTATGTCCTTCTGAGGACAGGTCAGCCTTGTTTCCGTCCATTGAGTGTCCGTGGGCCCAATGTTATGAAATCTTGTTCCCTCATCTTATCCAGAGGGAGCTGTGATGGTTAAATTTTGTGTCACCTTTGCTGGCTGAGGGGTTCCCAGACACTGAGTTAAACATTATTTCTGGGTGTGTCTGTGAGCGTGTTTCCCGCGGAGATTGGTGGTCTCAGTGGACTCAGGAAAGTAGGTGGCCCTTCTTCATGTGGGTGGGCTTCATGCAGTCCCTCGAGGTTCAGTGCAGAATAGAACAAAATGGAGATTTAACCTCTCGGCGTGGCTGCGTGAGCCGGGACACCAACCTTCTCCCCCACTTGGGCTGAGACTGAGACCATCAGCTCTCCTGGTTCAAGGGCCTTCAGACTTGGACTGAACCACACCGCCAGGCTTCCTGAGTCTCCAGTGGGCAGAAGGCAGACTCCATAACCACATGAGCCAATCCCTCTGGATGAATCTCTTTATACAGACATCCTATTGGTTCTGTCTCCCTGGGCTAATGCAGGGGTCTCGCGCAAAGGTGGCAGAGTTTTCAGATGTGGCATGCCTGAGAGCAGGTCAGAAGATGAAAGGGCCCTGGCCCAGTGGAAGCTGGAAGGCTGGGAGAATTGCCGTCTTACCCCCCTGGGGAGCTTCCGTGTTTGCATCACGTTGAATCGTGGCTATTTCTAGGCAGGCTCTCTGGGGGCTGAATCTAGGAGTCATTAGATCGCCCCTAGGCAAATGCCTGTGTTTTACAGATGAGCATGCAGAGGTCAGGACAAGAGCAGCTGGTCCAGCCACACTGTGTGCACAGGGACAGGCCTGTCTTCACCTGTGCTCACCGGGGCCTCTTCCAGAGGTCTCTGCAGCAGAAAGCATGTGCTCCACGTACCGGCCCCCAGCGTCCCACCAGACCAGCGCCGATCCCTGTGGGAGCTGAAGAGGAACTGTGCTGAATGAGAACATTTAAAGTGAATCATGTGTGGACTCCCTATGCTCCCTGACTCCTTGTTTATTTCTACCTTTTCTGGCGGATGCTATTAATAAAATGCTAGGAAAATCTTTAAACATGACATGAGTCAAGGGTACAGAGCTCTCAGTTCAGGCCCTCAGTGCCTAAGAAGCAAATTTTATTTGTTTTTTAGAATGCCACGTAGTTTTCTATTTCAAGCTCCCCTTCTCTCAAGGCAGATAAAACTCTGCTTCCAATCATGAAGATGCCCTCCTTTGCCCCCTGGTGTATTGACGAGATTCGAGGGCAGGGCTCTGGGTCCTCAGAACCATCTCTCCATGCAGCATCTCCTGCAAGATCCGTCTCTCATCCGACCTTGGCTCTGAGTCTGTGAAGGTCACTGCTAAATTGTCGGTGACATCTCTGTCATTTCCAGCCCCTCGTGTCCACCAGGGATTCTCACTGGCCCTAGGTTCTCAGCAGCTTAGACTGGCATGTTTTCTCTAGCGTCCTGCCACCCACCCACCCAACCCCTGCCCTGGAACTCTATCCAGGAAAGAGGCCCAGGACAGGGAGGCAGAGGGGCTGGTTCCTTCCTCTGGAGCCACAAGACACCAGCCCCTCCCTGTGACCTCTTCCCTCCCTCAGCTCAAGAAACCAAGCTCTGACTTTTCTTTTTTTGGCTTTTCTCTGTCTTCACTCACATCCAGATCCCTCCAGGACAACGCTCTTGAAACTCAAAACCCAGAAACGGTGGCCCACACACTTCTTTAAATATTTTTTTCTTGGTGTAATAACCCTGAGGCAGAAAATGCCAAATGACCCGATAGGGCTTGAACAACAGCGAGAAGACAGACAGACAGCAGTGCAGAGCAAGAGGCACAGTGCAGCGTGCCACACCAGCCGAGAAAGACAGACAGACAGCAGCACAGAGCAGGGGCTCAGTGTGTGCCACAGCAGCTGAGACAGACTAACAGAAGCACAGAGCAGACGCTCAGCTTGTGCCACACCAGCCAAGACAGACAGCAGCACAAAGCAGGAGCTCAGCGTGTGCTACACCAGCCAAGAAAGACAGACAGACAGACAGACAGCAGCACAGAGCAGGGGCTCAGCGCATGCCACACCAGCCGAGAAAGACAGACAGACAGACAGCAGCACAGAGCAGGGGCTCAGCGCGTGTCACACCAGCTGAGAAAGACATGTGGAGACTTAGCAGGCTGATCTCGGACTGTGAAAAACCTCAGAAAGGACTTTGGGGATCACCTAATCAAGGCCAGCAGAGTAGTGCCAGAAGCGCCCGCAGCCCCTCCTGCAGCCTGGCAGACACTGCTAAGATATCACCGCGTTCTTTCCCATGGGGCTTGAACCTGGCCTCAGATGCCTTCTCAGTGGTCCTCTGCATGGCATAATCATCCCTGCCAGCTAGCCCCCAAGAGGGCCCCTGAGCTGGCCCCACCAGGCCACACAGCAGCTGGCCCCAAGGGGCAGGTCTGTAGGTCTCCGCCCTGCTCTTCTCACCAACACTGGGGGCTGTCCTCCGTCCCACGTGAGCAGAGGCCAGGAGCAGAGGAGGCTAGTGAGGAGGTGATGCAAGCAGGTCCTGGAAGAATTCCCCAGAGCCCGCATGGCAGAAGACATCAGGTCTGTGTCCAGTGGAAGAGCCACTGCAATGGCCCATCCAGATATGCCTTTGCCTGGTCCCGTGGGTCCCAGAGCCGTGCTGACCCACAGCAGGCCAGGAAAGCCCCAGAGAATCACAAGGCTCTGAGTGGCTCCTCCTACTCTGAGACCACCCCCCCGCAAACCCGTCCCCTACACCCCACACATCCCTCCATACTGGCCCATCAAGGGTTGGTGCCCTGGTGACTGCAGGAGCCCTCTGTGGCCAGCTCCCCTGCTGCCCCAATCACGGGGTCTGGCCCCTGTCCCTTACCTCCACCAGCAGGAAGCAGCTGAGACTCCCAGGCACTGGCCGTTAGCATCCCATGGCAGGCATCTTTGACAGCAGATATGCACGCATATACAGCGATGTCGTATACACACGCAAAACACGGCAGGCTGTCCGTTCCAGCAGAAACCCACGCATATATAAACGGACATATACACACTTGCACACACACCAACCCCACAGGTGTCTTTGTTTAAAGTGTTAAGCATTCAGCACTACAAAAGAATATTGGCCATTTTCCTGAGGCCTCCACGCCCATGAACACATGGCCTCTAAAACTGATGGGCAGAGAAGCATTTAGCAGGAACACACAAGCCTGTGTATTTGTGCAGGGTAAGACCACAGACACAGACTCGTCCACAGCGAGGATTTGTTTTTGACATAGAAAGGAAACAAGAATCGTAGACTCCACATTTTCACACTCACATGATTTGAGGAGGAAAAAATATTCCCCAGGGATTGCAAATTCAGAAAACCACTTCCTTAAGGGAAAGTGAATAATGACTTCAATAGAAGGTGGACATCAATTTTAATTAGTTGGTTATTTGATCTCGTGTTGTCAGTGATAAAGGATCTCAAAGGGGAATTAACTGTGCTTAAGTCTGAGACTGCTTTAGAACCAAAACACTCTGAAAGGTAAGATTCCACCCAATTAACACGAAACTTTCAGCCAATTAAATATGCAATAAAATAAATGCTGTGATAAAGTGCAGCCAATCATGCTGAAAGCCACAGTATGAAGTGACATAAGGAACAAGTAAGCTACAGGTGGCCTGTCCACCCACTTGTAGAAAATCATTGAGAGCAAAACCAATTTCTCCTAAAACCAACTCAGAGAGAGGCTTGGTGCACCCTGCAAGGTGGGGAGGACAAAGTTCGAGAAGCAGGTGGCCATGTGGGCAATTCCAGTCAACCTGCTCGCCACTCGATGTCATGTGTCCCCAGTTATCAATAAACGAATACGTATATATTTGGTGAATTTGCGAGTTCATGAGTCAGTTATTACCAGGACACATGATCACCTAGTTTCTCATTTTGGTTTGGCTGGTTATTCTCTGTGCTAAAAGTTATTCAAATATCTCACATGTGCCTGTAATTTACTACTGGAAATAAATTATCGAAATGTATGGATCGCTGAGGGGCTCATTTTCCTTCTCAGAGAACATCCACCACGTCACAGCTCCCTGTTCAAAAGACGAATGTGTCATTCAGAAAATCCCTCCATCCGGCAGGCGGGCGGGCTTTAAGTAAAGCACCGTTTTAAAGAAGAATGAAAAGCAGACTGTCAATTCCTAAGTAATGAAGGCAATTGGCAAATTTTAGTTCACAAATTACACCCTAATTGTCACTATCAGTGAAGAGCTTGTTAATGTGCCCTTTATCCTTTGAAGAATGTAAGGGAAAGAGAAGACTTGGCAAAAAGTAGAAAATCAAACAAGAAGGTCCAAATATTTTACATTCCCCAGTGTTACTATCTCCTGAACAGACAAAGCCCTGGAAATTGTTCCTGAACAATCGTGGAAAAGCACAGCTACAAGCAAGGACTCTAAAATGCTAACCGCGCTGCCATCACCAAATGGGAAATACATTTCTGCCACTTAGATAAAATTTAAAGTCTTAACTAAAAATCCAGAAAGGTCCTGATATACATATTTAAGAGAAAAGGAAATATTGAGATTTATTTTTAAAAATAATAAAATAATAAATGATAAAAATAATAAAAAATAAGTATTAGCTATCACGACTTTGACCTAATTACTTCATTTTTCTGAGTGTCTGCATGATCAAGTGAGGTTGATAAAGCAAACTGCCTCTTAAGGAAGGTAGGAAGTACGCACAGCGGCAGGCACACAGTCAATGCTTCCTAAGTCCAGCCTGTCTCTGCTGCTTCTCACTGAGGTCTGCTTTCCAATTCTCAGCTGAGTGTGCAACACCTAGCTCATGTGTGTTACACGGAATCCCAGCCACAGGTCAGCCAGGGCCGCCTCGAAAAAGAGAAACCTCTTCACTGTGCCCCTATGAACAGAACCACAGTGGCACGCCGCGTGCCTGGGGAGACGAAGTGTTGTGTGCCCTGGGGCACCAGAAGGCGACCGGGAGGGGGAAAATGCGTGTTAAATGCTATGCTGCAGGTGGTGTACTAGGAAATTCCCAGACACTCTCTATGAGAAACACATCATCTACCCAGTTCCATAAAAGATAAAGTAGAAATTGTAAGAACGTTTAGACAGTTGGGAAGTGCTGGAGCCAGGATTAGAACCCAAGACTGTACATCAGACTCCACACGTATCTCACTCCCTGGGCCCTTGTTCTGTGTCACAGTTCATTCAGAACCCAGCAGAAACATTCACCGCAGCCCCAGTCAGTGTCCCGCGCCGGGATGGTGCCTGAGAGGGCAAGGCCGATTCCAGTTTGATACAGATGTTTAAATTACAGGCATGTTTGTGTATCTACAAACTAGACTGTACCATCTCCGTGTGCCTATCGGAGGTGCACAGCACTGGCCCAATTCCCACCCTCTGTACTTCTCTAGGAACTGTGCCACTGAGTGACAGAAGGTTGAACATTTGGCCCATTACCAATAAATGACTATGTTTTCTCCTTGAGAATATCAAAGGACTAAGGAGCTGGCACACAGAGTTGACAGAAAGACCTGCTTCTGGAAGTTTTCTTTCATGAAGGTGGACTAGCAGTGGGATGTTGGACAGATCCCGTCCCTTCCCTGGAATCCAGTTCTCCCATCTGAAAAATAGGAACCTAGGCTAGAAAATCTCTCTGATCTTCCCCAAGTTTGAATGATATGATTCAAGGCCAAACGTTTTAATGGACTCAGTCGAAATAGCCATTGATTCAAACCAAGCATTGGCACACTCTGAAGTTGCCAGATCAAATAAAAGACATCCAGGGCAAGTGTGCCCAATGCCATGCTTGGGGCACTCTAACAACGTACTCTCTTTGTATCTGAAATTCAAACTCAACTGGTAGCAACCTGGCCTGGGCCAAATCCAGTCGGCTGCCTGGTTTTTGTTTTGTTTGTTTTGTTTTGTTTTTGAGATGGAGTCTCGCTCTGTCACCCAGGCTAGAGTACAGTGGCATGATCTCGGCTCACTGCAACCTCCGTCTTCTGGTTTCAAGTGATTCTTCTGCCTCAGCCTCCTGAGTAGCTGGGATTACAGGTGCCCACCACTATGCCCAGCTAATTTTTGTATTTTTAGTGGATATGGAGTTTCACCATGTTGGCCAGGCTGGTCTCGAACTCCTGACCTTGTGATCCACCCACTTGCCTCGGCCTCCCAAAGTGCTGGGATCACAGGCATGAGCCACCTCGCCCAGCCATCTGTCTTTGTAAACAAAGTTTTATTGGCAAACAGCCACACACATTCATTTACATATCATGTGTGGCCGCTTTCCCACTACAACAGCGGGGTTGAGGAACAGAGACCGTCTGGCCAACAGAGCCTTAAATATTTACTATCTGGCCCTTCACACACACACCCACACCCATCCACACACACACACACCCACACCCACCCACCCACACACACACACACACACACACACAATGCGTTTTCTCATCCCTGGTTTAGGTGATGCATGTCACATACAGAACTTATCCAAATGCTGACTTGGTAGTCGGTAACACACAACTTGACTTGGTGGCAGGTTCCCTGTGGAACTTACTGATTAATATGTGTTTGCCTCCCCCACCACACATAGGGGAGAAACTCCTTGATGTTGCTACCTAATGCAATATCAACAGTCCTCAAAGTCTCCGACACTGCACATGCAATAGACATTCAATATCCACTTGTGGATTTATTCACTGATAAACACAGTTCCAGAGGCCTGGGATGTGCCTGAGGGTTGATGACTAGGTGCTGCACAAGGGCCTCTGTGCTGGAGCTTCAGTCCCCACAGGAAGCATAAGAGATGACCAGCCAGGGAACGTGCCTTCGTCTCCATTTCACCACATCTCGAAGGAAGCTAAGATGGTGCCCTATTGATCGGGAATACAGTGCGGGACGCCACATTCAAGACAATTATCTTTCTTGTTAACAGAATAAAGTCCTCAGGGAAGATTTAGCATGTCAGTTCTCAGAAAGCACTGTCCGATTGGCAACTTTGTTCAATTAAGCAAATATTTTTCATAGGCAAAAGCTAAAGCTTTTAATTTCTCAGACACAATGGAAATATCGGCTGGATTTCTTGAGGTCTAACGCTGAAGACAACATCTTAAGCCTGGAATCACATGAACTACTCTGTCCTGCCTTAAATCCTCTATTGAAGTCTTTCCCAAGGGCTTTGAAAGGGGCCGCTTACTCATCTTGCAAAGAAACCCCGAAGATAGGCCTTATTCCTCCATTTCAAAGGAAGAATAGGAAGCTTTTTAAATCTCACAAAGGAGGCAAGAAGCAGCAATCTCCCCAGCTGACAAGGGCGGGCAGCTGGGGTGTGAGGAAGAATTTGAGAAGAACCTTAAAAAGGGGGTGGGTGGAGACCAGGGAAGCTGTCGGCAGCCCCTGGCCGGATCAACATGGCAGCCCTCTGGTGCTTCTGCAGGGCTCAAACATCTGAGCAAGAAGAGAGCAGCTTGTGGGTGAGCACCAACCGCTTTCCAAAGGCTAGTGCTTGTCTGACCACTTCAAAAGCAGAATTTTGAATCTTCCTAGAAGTTCCCAGTCAAGATAAGTCTAATGGCAGAGCCCTGGGCTCAGCCCAGAATGCCACAGTTTTGCTCATTTTTTGCCACCTGCACCCAAGCCCCTTGGGCACCTCCATTCCATTATCTGCCAAAATGGGGGCAGACAAGGTGTGGAATTCACACAGGACTTTGAAAAGTCAAGGGTGCTCCAGCGGTATTTATTTTCTCCTCCAAGCCCCCTCTTTCTTCTCCCCTTTGCAATCCTGCCGTATTCCTGATTCAGTGGCACTACAGTTGAAGGAAACCCAAATTTACAAAGTCATCCTCGCACAGAGAATCAGGAGCAATCAATCCTCTTTACAACTGCTTCACTGCTTTATGGAAGAACAGTTGACTCTTGTAATGCCTTCAAAGTAAGATTACTTTTCCCGCATTTTTCAAGAATAAGACTGTTGTATAGATGAATGTGTCTCCTATGACTCGGCTATTTCACACTCAAGTGAGGAGGTTTACTTGACCAACAGTGGCTTAAGCAGGAACTTTAAGCTAATGTGTTATATTTATTTTCTTGGAGTGGCCCACCAAACACACCATGAGGGCTCTGTTCTTTGTTCAGCGTATGACCCAAGGCCTTTTGATGGCTCCAGCAGGATACTTTGCATTCTTGTTATTTCCTTTTCTCTAAGTAGAGTGGCAAAAAAACTGGAATGGGATTCAGAAAACCTGGGTTCAGGCCTTAGGTCTCCACTGTAGAGCTCTTCGACCTTTGGCCATTCCACCTTCCTCCAGACCACCATATGCTAGTCTTGAACCACGTCTAGGATGGGAGGTCCGAGGGACGAGGGCCATGGCTGATGAGGGATGCTTCCCACAGTGCTGTGCAGATCCCTGTCGGCAAAGTTCTCAGGTATGCACCATGCAGACATGGTGTTCTGTGAGTCCACAGCCAAGACGGTGGAATGGAAACTTCCCCTACTTATCCTCCCTCCAAAAAGCACCCGTTACCAGGGCCAGTGCTCCCCACCTTGACTGTGTGGACAGTCCTGTTGACATGCACAGTCTGATTTAGCGGGGCTGAGGTGGGGCCTGAGATGCTGCACTTCTAGGAAGCTCCTGGGTGAGGCGGATGCTACAGGTCCATGGGCCACACTTTGAGTAGTGAGGACTGAAGCCATGGAACAGGAGAGACTGCACTTCCACAAGGGAACTTGGTCGTAGTCACTCGGGACAGACGGTCACTTTCCACTTCTTGAGGCAGCTTGCTCCAACAGGCGAGACATGAGGCCCGATCTCCACCAGCCATCCCTCAGAAGGGGGCCTTCCACTCTCACAGAATGGCAGGAAGAGAAGGGTAAATCTGCTGTTTTCACAACAGCCAAAGTCCCATGAAGTGTTCAGGGATGGGAGGTAACCTCAGGCAGCGTCCAGGGTCCGGCTTACGCCATCCGCAGGGCATATTTAGTGACCATGAGGTCGGAGGATGGGCTATGTCAGCTTCATAGGCCTCAAAGCAAAGTTCAAGAAGCCAGTCTCGGCCGGGCACGGTGGCTCGCGCCTGTAATCCCAGCACTTTGGGAGGCTGAGGCAGGCAGATCACGAGGTCAGGAGATTGAGACCATCTGGCTAACACGGTGAAACCCCTTCTCTACTAAAAATGCAAAAAATGAGCCAGGCATGGTGGCAGGCACCTGTAGTCTCAGCTACTCGGGAGGCTGAGGCAGGAGAATGGTGTGAATCTGGGAGATGGAGCTTGCAGTGAGCTGAGATCGTGCCACTGCACTCCAGCCTGGGCGACAGATCCAGACTCCGTCTCAAAAAAAAAAAAAGAAAGGAAAAAAAAGAAACCAGTTTCACTGCAGTTCTCCATGTGGCCCCAGGTTCTCATCTCCATGTGGCCCCAGGTTCTCATCTCCTTAGGGCACCTTGAGCCCAAGTTGAGAAAACCTTGGGACTGGATGTGGGTGTTCCCACCAGAGAACCCCTGCCTTGCCAGAAACGCTGTGAAATGAACCATGGTAATTTCATTATAAGGGTTTTATCCTGTGATTCAATTAAAGATTCCAGAAGATTTGATATTTGTGAGATAGGAAATTCTATTTACCTTCTTATCTCCACCTCTCATTCCTGACAAAATACTGTGGTCTTTGGATTATCTTCCAGTCCTCTAGCAGGTGGCTGACTTGGGACTTGAATTGAAGTACTTCAGTCTAAGCCTTACTCTGTTCCTTTCTTTCCCTACTTTGTTAGGCTACATACTATGTTACGTGATGAAAATCCCTAGTGGGTGAACATACTTGGTGCATTACTGCAAAAATAGGAGCGGCCAACAAAGCCGAGTTCATTCACCTTCAGGGCAAAGAACCAATCTCATCCGTGTATGCAGGTTGTGCCTGAGAGAGCAAAAATAATAATTCACAGGCACTGAAGCTGCCCCAGGGAAGGCCCCATGGGAGGGCGGCCGGGCAGGGCGTGTGGCAGCAGAGTGTTTTGCTGGTCGTGAAGGGAATGGCCAAGTTCAGGTAATGGGAGAAGCTGAGCCCGCCTGGACAGGATGAATCACTTTTCTCACAGCTTCCCATAGTTATTCAAGAACTTGCTCTGTACCTAGCACTAGGCAGGCCACATATTTTAATCTTAATTTTTATTTTAAGTTCTGGGGTACATGCGCAGGATGTGCACATTTGTTACAGGGGTAAACGTGTACCATAGTGGCTTGCTGCACCTGCCAACTTATCACTTAGGTGTTTTTATTTTTATTATTTATTTATTTATTTATTTATTTATTGAGATGGAGTCTCACTCTGTCACCTGGCTGGAGTGCAATGGCACAATCTCGGCTCGCTAAAACCTCTGCCTCCCGGGTTCAAGCGATTCTCCCACCTCAGCCTCCTGAGTAGCTGGGATTACAGGTGTCTGCCACCATGCTTGGCAAATTTTTTGTATCTTTAGTAGAGATGGGCTTTCACCATGTTGGCCAGGCTGGTCTCAAACTCCTGACCTCAGGTGATCCACCTGCCTCGGCCTCCCAAAGTGCTGGGATTACAGGCGTGAGCCACTGTGCCTGGCCACTTAGGTTTTTTAGAAGGTCCTGAGTGATCATTTGCTCCAGAGACTGTCCAGAAGTCATTGAAATAAATCGCCTATGTCTAAGGTTGTCAGATAAAATACAGGATGCCCAATTAAATCCAAATTTTAGATCAAGAAGACATACATTTTTAGTATTTCCCAAATATTGCATGGAGAATACTTATTCAAAAAAGTATTCATTGTTCATCTGAAATTCGAATTTAACTTAGCGTCCTATATTTTTATTTTCTAAGTCTGGCCACCTTCCCCACATCCTGTGAAACATGTTTGCTTTCAGTCTCGCCCCCAGATCTGCCCCTCCTGGTGGAGGGGGTTTGGGAGGCTCTAAACCATGCCGACTTTCCCTCAACAGAGAACGTTAGAAAGGCAAGAAGGTTTGATTCAAAACTTCTGTTTAGCATTTATACATATGTCTCTGTTTGGAAGTACTAAGAAAACCTTAAAGTGTAAATATCTTTATTTAAATTGCTCACTTCTTAGACATGGAGAAAAAGCAATTACCTAAAAGTGGAAACGAAGTGGTTTCTTGGAAATAGAAAGTACGACTCATGTTACAGACAAGGAAGTGTGCGTGAATGTTGAATCACACCTTCGCCATCAGCCATCGTGGTCTACATCCCCCTCTTGAGGAAGGGCCTCCCCCAGACAGTCCCACAAGCCCCAGCCCTGGCGTCACGTCACGCCTGCCCCCTACCCCTGCTCCAAGCATGTCAATCATTCTTGACTATGGGGGTTCCTCTCCATTTTCATCTCTCAAGCTCCACTCCCTCCTCAGTGCTGAGCCAGGCTCTCGGCTTTGCTTGAAGCCCCATCAGCCCACCCTGGGTTCTCCCTACAGACCTCACCCATCTCCTTTCATCTGTCTGTAATCCATCCTTCTGCCATCAGCAAGTGACCTTTCCAAAACCCAGACCCAGTTAAAGTCCACAGCCAACCATTCCCCACCTCTCCTGCCACCCACATGTGCTTCTTGGCTCTGCCGTGAGACATCCTTGCAGTGCCGTAAGCAGTCACCTTCCTACCTGCCTCTGTGCCTGTTACCCAGACAATCCCCCGGCAGAAGCAAGCTTCCCTTTCAGCTCTGCCCAAATAACCACATCAGTCCCTCAAGGTCCTAGTGAGACCCGGGCCCCTCAGTGGGGTCTGTGCCAGGTACCTGTGCACACCCCAGCCACAGCCCCAACACACTGGTGTCAGGCAGCCCTGGCTCATCTCTCTTTCTCCTAAGCAAACAGCTCCTTGAGGACAGGATCATGACATATGTACATTTATGTCCCCACTACAGAAACTTAGTACTTGACATATAGCAAAGGCTCAGTAAGTAAATACATGGAGGAAGGTAGCCAGCCTTCAAGGTGGCCCCAACAACCCATGCCTCCCAGGATTTAAGCACTGCGTAATCCTCTCCCACTTTGAATTAGGACTGGGCCCATGTGACTGGTAGAATGTGATACAATGGGACTTCCAAAGCTGAGTCACAGAAGACTCGAGAGTTCCGCCCAGATCATGTGGGTGGCTTGCTTTGGAGGGAGCAGCCACCATGCCAGGAGGATGCTCAAGCAGCCCCAAGGAGAAGGCCATGCAGAGAGGACGGAAGCAGCCAGTGACAACTTGCCAGACACAGGTTGCGCCCCTTTGGAAATGGATTCTCCAGCCCCTATTGGGCCTTTGGATGATGTAGCCTCAGCTGATATCTGACTGGAACTGTATGAAAGGCTTCACATGACAACGGTCCGGTCAGGTCCTTCTGAAATGCCTGACCCACAGAGACACTGTGAGATGAAAGGTGATGATGGCTGTTGTAAGCCATTAATTTTTGTGATGATTTATTATGCAGCATTAGGTAACAAAAATGAACACACACAGTCACACTCATGGTCACACAAACACATATTGGTGTAAAATAATTATACTCATTTTTATAATGCACCCCAAGTCATTCCTTCCTTCATTTACTTAAACATCTTTTATATAACACTGACCAAGACCTGGTTCCAAATGGCTTATCTATTTCTGAAACACAGAGCGATTTCTGTGTCTGTTTTTTTAAAAAGTCATCTCCAGGGCATTACTTGGGTCTGTTCTACCAAATAGGGCAGGAATATAGGCTTCAGATACAACATTTTGAGGGTGAAACAAAACGTTTTCTCATCTTTCTGGTGGGCTTCTGCGTCTTGCACACAAGCACATCAGGCTCCTCAGAGAGGGGACCTTCCCCCTGCCTTTGGTATAGATTGTTTTTGAGGGGTCTGGCTCTATCTGACTCGTCATGCTCATCAGCACATCCCATTTGGCTGAACTTAATTTCATGAGCACCTCCTGTGGCCAGTGGCCAGCCCAGGGAGCTCAGAGCAAGAAGAGGACCCTGACCCTCTAGGGCCCTGACTTCTCCTTGGGAAATGAGGCATGACTCCAAAACGACACATGACTAAGACAAAATGCAAAGTACAGAGAAGGCAGGGCTGGGAGGCGGCCTTGGGGGTCTCATTTCTTCAGATGGCAAGAAGCAGAAACGAGCACCCAGCGCTGGCAAGGCTGGTCCTACCCTCCAGGGAGAGGGGCCGGCTGACCTCAGGCTACGGGGCTCTTCGGGACTGCTCTGCCTGCCCCAAAACATCCCCCAGGGAACAGGGCTGAAAATCATCCACTGGTCCTTGATGACACACGCAGTCCTGGGAAAGTGCCAGGTGGGGTCAGGAGCTGGGAATTCTATTGTAAGTTTTGCTGCCGGCAAGAGGCCGATTTGCACCCCGGGATGTTCTGAGACTCCACAAGATAAAAGACGTGACATGCTTTAGAAAGTTAGTGAGGATCACAGACCAAATAGGCACCAGGTCTGGAACTCCTCCATGGCTCTTCCCACCTTCAGTTCCTGGGAGCACAGGCAGCTAGGCGACGTCCCCGCCATTCGGCATGGGACTCTCTGTCCTCGCATTTCCAAGGTCTGCACCGCCGTGACCCCCTACCGTAGCAAGCGAGGCTGGTGGCAGCACAGAGATGCAGTGTCACCGAGGTCTCCAACTTTAGAAGCTGAGCGGAGGCTCATGCCCGGCACCGGCCACCACCCTCTCCAGGCCCCTCTTGTAGGAATGATGTGTCCTCAGCTTCTGTCCCTGTCCTCCTCCTGCTCAACCAAAATATCTCCCAGCCAAGTGACACATGGAAAGGAGCTAATAAATTCATGCCAGGATGTATGTGACAAATGATAACTTAATAACTTCTGTTTCCTAAGGATAATTTAATAGGAGCTAATCCCTTTATCGACAGAAGTGCAATAGAAAGAAGGACTGTCCCAGGCCTTTGGCAGGCGACTGCAGAGGCTGTTTGGAAGAGAGGGCCTCTCTGCACACCTGGCAGCCCTGACGGCGCGGCTCCCACCTGGCTCTGTGCATCCTGCCCATGAGAGTCCTCTGCAGCTGCCGGCGCTGGGGGGACAACACACCCCTGCATTGGGCTCCATCTTACCCTGATGTCTAGGCCAGTGGCAGTGGCTTCAGCCCAAACAACACCCACATTATAGGCATTGCTTGTGGATCTAAGGTATAGCAGCAAAGCATTTGGATTGCTTCAGAGGACAGGAGTATGGGCTTGAGATACAACCTTTTGAGGGCTGAGCCAAAACGCTTTCTCATCTTTCTTGTCAGTTTCTGCATTTTGCATACAAGGACATTAGGGTCCTCAGAGAGGGAATCTTTTCCCTACCTTTGGAAAAGAGCAAAAACCCAGGCTTTCATCTCATAACCCTCAATCTAGCCAACTAAATCCCCAATTAGCAATTCAAAAAGATTAATTTGCACTCTTCTCTGCTCTTGAGCACAGCTCCAGATAGGGCTGGTGGGGTTTTCAGCATCTTATTTTTGTAACCAATTAAAGGGAACTAGCTGGATTTTCACAGAAGAGGCTGATATTTTAGAGGTTTTTGCCCCCCAGATTATAACTATGCCTTGTGCATTCAAACACAGGGCATCCAAACAGGAAGATCCTTGGAGACAGCTCGATGAGTCCAAACCTCCCACTTTCCAGATGAGACCACTGAGGCCAGAGGGGCTCTCTGGAGACCCCAACTGCCTCTTTTCCCCTGGGTTGGTGTGATAGTTCCATTGCAGTTGCAGATTTCACTGACAGAAGATGACATTATGGGAGTTTTCATTCACTTTCTAAAAGAATTTTAGGGCCATTATATTTTTCAATAAAGCTTTTATTTGTGGATCATCTTAGATTTACGGAAAAAGTTGCAAAGACAGTACAGAGAGATCCCGTATCCCCCCAATCCAACATCCCCCAGTGTTACCCAAGACATGTGGTTCAAAACAAACATTAACATGGTCTAGAGTTCCGTGAAGCATCTCTAGGAACAGACCCCCGATTCCATGTGTTTTCCCACTGATGTCCTCTTTTGGTTTCAGGATCCCACAGGTCATTTTATTTTAGCATTCTAAAATCTATAAAGAGACCAAAGACCTTCCCTGCCCAAACCAGCATCACACCCTCACCTTATTAGTGTAGGCGGCTGGTGACTAAGTCGCTGGTTCATTCATTAGAGTCCAAGACACACTTATCCATCACAGCGATCATGCCTGTAAGAAAACTCTTCTTACTGCACTCCTACCTGGAACTGAAAGATGATGTGTTCGGCTTCAATAGATCCTGCTCGTCACATCAGGGACAGTAGTCAATACTTTTGTATTTGGACACTGGGAATCAAGGCAGAAGATCTAACAGAAGATACAAAATAATTATAATACATTAATTACAATAGCACCATGAACACAGTGTTGCGCTTTCTCTGTTCTCTCTGGCTGCAGCCAGGAAAGGACTCAGACCAAGAAGAACTGCTGGTGTGAGGACGTGGCCGTGCTGGCCTCATGCAGTCCTTCCTGCATTCATTAGTTGAGCAATGCAGAATCTGTATTGACGTGAAGTTCAAGACAAAATAAATAAAGATACATTTGTAAATTCAAATATAATTCTTCATTCACTTTACTAAAACCAAGACAGAAAGTCTGTTTTTTACACAAAGAATTCATCTTAGCAATAACACGCTATGTGAACAACAACAATGAAAATTCTTTCTGGCAGCATTGGTAGAAAAAAATTAATAAAGTATAGAATCTTGGTAATCGTCAAGGGACCCTCTCCCAGTCCCACCAGAGAGAAACCACTCACTCCACCCCAGGGCAGTGTCCACCCTCAACAGGAGACAAAGAACTAGAGGAGGGAGGGTGTAAGGGAGGGCGAAGACGGCCTCGCCCGGGGTGTGTTGGCCCAGCTGAGAGGGACACTTGTGTAGCCGGCAGCATGAAGGGAGGCGCTATTCATGCTGCCGGGGGGCTCTGTCTCAGGCAAGGCCATGGATCCCAGCACAGTGGCCGTGGCTTCAAATGGGAAGGTGTTATCTCCCTACACAGGGCTGCCTTCTGAAACACCAGCTCAGCCCTCCTGTCAGGAACACAGCACCCAGAGGGGCAGGCAGCCAAAGAGGAGTCCCCTCCATGTTTCCTGCCAAGGCTGCAGAGGACCAACCTGTGCTAGCGTAAAGCCATCCACTCAAGTGTCCAGCCCAGATGGATTTACCATTCCGTGTTTAGAATCACAGCCCGTACCATCCAAAAGGACCTTAAAGACCACCCAGTCCAGCGCCTCAGCTGGGACCTCATCCCAATCAGATTACCAGTGAGCTCCACATGAAACGCTCAGCTCCGAGGTCTCCCTTGGCGCCTTCTCGTCCCAATCAGTTATGTTTTCCTCCTCAATAGTAGAAGGAGAAGAATCTATTCAAGACAATCTATCAAATCTCAGTAAGAACACTGAGAGTTTGTGGTTCCTGAACTATGACCCGTTCCCCACTGCCTCCACTTATGCCTGATGCAAGTTCTGCCCCTGGTGGGTGCAGCCAAGAACATAGGGCTCCCTTTTTCTCTAGCAGCCAGGCTAGGTTTTGTTTTCTCCCTGGAAGGGGCAGGCCACCAGCACCTCAACTCTGAGTTGCAGAAGCTTTACTGCAGTCAGGAGCAGCTGAAGATCTGGGGCTCCCTCCTCCACCCAGGCCCCATTCATAAGATGGAAACGCTAGCTCAGGTGCAGCACACCAGCAACACTGGGCTGTCACCCAGCACACTCAGGGCAGAGGTTCCATATCAGAAGAGGCAAGTCAAGAAGACCCGAGGCCAACACCCCCACCCAATGCCCTACTTGTAAAACAGGGGTGCTACTCAAGAGAAGTAGGCTGCTGTTCCCCTAGCTCCAGAGAGAGGATGCAGAGGCCTTGCCCAGGGGATAGAGACAGGCTTTCAGAACAGAGAGCCCTGTAGCTCTTCTCAAGAGAATGACTTTCTTTGGAACAGTGTGAGGAAGTTCAAGCCTAAAGGTGCTGTCAAAAACAATGGATATTTTGGTATTAAGAAATCAAGAGGCCGGTAGCTCCATGAGTACAAGCTAAACTATAGACCAGCTAGTGGTTTACCAAATAGAACCAGGGAAAAACAGTTAAGAAGCCATGCTGAGACTGGAACAAGACTCAAAGACAGGCCCCAAAGAACAGCCCTGCAAAGAAGCATAAATGAAATTGAAACTGACTGTGGAGAAACTCATGCCCAGGGCATTGTCAGAAACAATAGAGCAGTAAGCCAGCATTAGCAGTAGCTAACAGCTGAGTGTGATACCAACAGAGGAAGACAACTTACAGAGATAAGGCAAAAAGAGACAGTCAAAGAGAGGCCCACTGAAACCCCTGTCAGCCCAAGGTGACTGTGCACATGCCCAAGGCAGTGACATCAGAGGCTTCACACTGTGAAGGTAACAGTCTTGACTGAAATGGTCCAGCCAGATTACTAAACAAGCACAAGCAAACTACAAGCCCTGAGGAGGGAGAAATCAGAATCCAGACTTGCGACAATCTATTCTCTTAAGTGTCCAGTTTTCCACAAAAAAATTATAAGACATATAAAGAAATAGGAAACTGTGACCCATATATAGAAAAAAAAAATCAGGCAACAGAAATCACTCTTGAAAAGACTCATGTGTCTGACTTAACCAAGATTTCAAAGCAGCTACTATAAGTATGTTCAAAGAGCTAAATGAAACCATGCTTAAAGAAGTAAAGGAAGATATTATAATTATGTCTCATCAAATGAAGAATATCAATAAAGAAATGGATATTATATTAAAAAAATAAAATAAAAATTCTGGATTTGAAAAGTACAATTGCCGAGATAAAAAAAATCACTGGAGGCATTCAATAGTTGATTTTAGTTGGCAGGAGAATCAGAAAACTTGGAGATAGATTGATGCAGATTATTTAGTCTAAATAAAAACGAAGGAAGAGAATGAACGTAGCCTCAAAGAAATGTGGGACAAAAAAAGCACACCAACATATGCACACTGAGAACACCAGGAAGAGAGGAGGGGGAGAAAGGAGTAGAAAAATGTTTGAAGAAATAGTAACTAAAAACTTCCCAAATTTGATGAAATATATTAACCTACACATCTAAGACATGCAGCCATCTTTAAGTGGGATACATGCAAAGAGATCAGACACATACATCATAGTAAAAATGCTGAAAGACAAACAGAAAATCTTGAAATTCGTGAGAGAAAAATGATTCATCACATGAAAGGGAGCTCCAAGAAAGTAACAGATAATTTATCATGAGACATAATGGAGGCCAGAAGGCAGTAGATGACATATTCAAGGTGTTGAAAAGAAAAAAAAAATGCTCTATCAATCGAAACTTTTATATCTAGCAAAACTATCTTTGAAAAATGGTGGTGAGGTAGACATTTCTGGATAAATAAAATATGATGGATTTGTTGCTAGAACACACACCTTACAAGAAATCCTGAAGAAAGTTCTTCAAACTAAAAACAAGTGACACCAGGTCCTAATTCAAATTTACTAAAAATAAAAAGAGCACTGGTAGAAGTAACAATGTAAGTAACTGTAAATGATAGTACAATTACATAGTTCTTCTTTCATCTCCTAATTTTAAAAGCAATTGTGTAAAACAATATGAATATTATTCTATTGTTGGGCCTATAATATATGGCTATGTAATATATTTGACAACAATAATGTAAAGGAGGTGGGTAATGATAAGCAGTATTAGAATAAGCAAATAACACCAGATGGTAACTTGAATCCATCTGGTGGATAAATTATAGCATAATAATTAAATTATTATATATTAATAATTATAATTTATTATAGCTATTATAATTAATTAGAACAAGAATAAATTAGAACAAGAAATGGTATATAACAACACTAACATAATAAACAAAAAATATGCATGCTTACTCTCCCTTCTTTTAGCTTCTTTAAAAGATGTTCAATTAAAGTTATGTATGCATAATGACATTTTGATCAATAACAGGCCATGCATATGTCGGTGATCCCATAACCTTATAATGGAGCTCAAAAATTTCTATTGCCTAGTGACATCATAGCCATTGTGATGTCATAGTGCAATGCATCACTCGTGTTTACGGCCATGCTGATGTAAACAAACCTACTGTACTGACAGTCATAAAAGTATAGAACATACAGTTATGTATAGTACAGAATGATTAATGATAATAAACAGCTATGTTACTAGCTTATATATTTATCATGCCATACTTTTATTGTTACTTTAGAATGTGCCCCTTCTACTTACAAAAAAAGTAAACTGTAAAACAGCTTAGGGCAGGTCCTTCGGGAAGTCTTCCAGAAGAAAGCATTGTTCTCACAGGCGCTGGCAGCTCCATGCGTGTGATTACCCAGAAGATCTTCTGGTGGAACAAGATGCGAAGGTGGAAGGCAGTGATACTGAGTGTCCTGGCCCTGTGTAGGCCAAGGCTAATGTGAGTGTTTGCATCTTTGTTTTTAACAAAAAATGTTTTAAGTTTTAAAAACATTTTAATGATAAAAGCTTATAGAATAAGGATATAAAGAAAGAAAATATTTTTGTTCAGCTGTAAGCTAAGTGTTACTACAAAGGAGGTGAAAATTTTTTTTAAGTTTATCAAGTAAAAACATTACAGTAGGCTAAAGTTAATTTATTATGAAAGAAGGAAATTTTTTAATAATTTAGCGTAGCCTGAGTATCTTGTGTTCATAAAGTGTAAAGTGGTGCACAGTAATGTCCCAGGCCCTCATGTTCACTCACCATTCACTCACTGACACACACAGAGCAACTTCCAGTCTGGCAAGCTCTATTTCTGCTAAGTGTTCTAGCAGAACAGGTGCACCATTTTTTATCTTTAATACCATATTTTTACTGTACCTTTCCTATATTTAGATATGTTCAGATACACACATACTTACCATTGAGTTACAATTGCCTGTAATGTTCAGTACAGTAACTTGCTGCACAGGTTTGTATCCTAGGAGCAAAAGGCTATGCCATGTAGCCTAGGTGTGTGGTAGGCTAGATCATCTCTGTTTGTATAAGTACACGCCATGATGTTCACACAACAAAATTGTCCAATGACACATTACTCAGAATATATCCCCATCATTAGGTGATGCCTAACTATATGTAGAATAATTATAACAATGCATTAGTGGATTTGGGACATATATATATAAATGTGATATGTGTAATATGTGTACTAATAGCACAAAAAGAGGAGGGGGGATAGAACTAATATCTCAATATTACACTGAATTGTTAGAAACCTGAAGTAGATTCTAAGGTAAGATATAACTTGTAAATCCTAGGGCAATTACTAAGAAAACAATTTTTTAAATGTAGGGTGAAAAAATCATTACAAAATTAAAATGTTGTAGAATATATTCACTTAGTGCAATGGAAATCTATAGAGGAGAAACAGAAGAACAAACCGGTACACCAGACATAGGGAAAACTAAAAACAAATTGATAGGGCCGGGTACGGTGGCTCACACCTGTAATCCCAGCACTTTGGGAAGCCAAGGCAGGTGGATCACCTGAAGTCGGGAGTTTGAGACCAGCCTGACCAACATGGAGAAACCCCATCTCTACTAAAAAAATAAGTAAAAAATTAAAAAAATACCTAGGCATGGTGGTGTATGCCTGTAGTCCCAGCTACTCAGGAGGCCGGGGCAGGAGAATCACTTGAACCCAGGAGGTGGAGGTTGCGGTGAGCCGAGATCGTGCCATTGCACTCCAGCCTGGGCAATAAGAGCAAAACTCCATCTCAAAAAAACAAAACAAACAAAACAAAATGATAGACATAAGTCAAACCATATTAATATAGACACTGAAAGTGAATGGATTAACAATCCAATCAAAAGATAGAGATTGTCAAAATGGATTTGTTTTAAATAAGATCTAACTATTCTGTCTATAAGAGATGCACATTTGATTCAAAGACACAAATAGGTTCAAAGTCAAAAGGAAGGGGAAAAGTATGCCATGAAAATAGTACCCATAAAAGACCTGGAGTGGCTTTATTATAACATCAGAACAGATAGACTTTAAAACAGGAAAAAATGCTACCAGACATAAAGAGGGGCCCTTGCTCCATCGGTAATATAGAATGGCTGTCAACTTGTATACACTATCAATGGAGCCCAGAGATACACAAAGCCAAAGCTGACAGAATTCAAGTTAGAAATAGATAATTCAGCAACCGTGGTTGGAGACTTTATTAGTCTACCTTCAATAATCAATAATGGATGCAACTAGTCAGACCAACAGACAAATAGAAGACTTTAATAACACTATAAACCAACCAGACCTAACAGGCATCTACAGAACACTCCACTCAGCAACACCAGAATGCACATTATTTTTAAGCATATATGGGCAATTCTTCAAGATCGACAATCCGTTAAGGCCATAGAAAAACCCAATAAGTGTTAAAGATGTATGTTATGCAAAGTAAGTTCTCCAACATAGACAGAATGAAATTATAAATGAATAACAGAAATAAATGTAAATTTTAACATATGTAGAAATTAAACAATGTAGTCCTAAATAATAAATGTGTAAATAAAGAAATCCCAAGGGAAATTAAAAACTACTTCAAGAGAAATGCAAGTAAAAAAACACAACATACTATAATGTACGTGATGCAGCTAAAGCAGTACTTAGAGGGTCATTTGTAGCTATAACAATCCACACTAAAAAAGAAGAGAGACCTCACACTGATATTATAACTTTCCACCTTAAAACACTAGAAGAGCAAACTAAAACTAAAGCAAGCAGAAAAAAACAGTAAAGAGTAGATAAGAAATAAGTTAAATAGAAAATAGAAAAAAATAAGACAACCAAAAGTTCTTTGGAAAAAAAAAAATTGACACACTGTTATCTAGAAGATTCATATTACTAAAATCAGGAATGAACATGTGACGTCACTACCAACTTTACAGAAATAAAAAAGTATTATTAGGAGAGTACTGTGAAGAACTACATGGCAGGAAACTAGACAATTCAGGTGAAATGGACAAATGTCTAGAAAGACACAAACTACCAAAATTGCCTCAAGAAGAAATAGAAAATCTGAATAAACCTATAATGAGTAACAGAATTAATTAATAATTTTTAAACTTCCAGCAAAGAAAATCCCAGTCCCAGATGTTTTCACTGGTTTCATTGAGTTCTACAAAATATTTCTGAAAGAATTAATAAGGATTATTCATAAACTATTTTTAAAATGTTATTTCAAAACTTAATCCTAAAACTTCCTCTCCGAGGCCGGTATCACCCTGATTTCAAAGCCGGAAAAACAAATCACAAGGTAAGTATAGACCAATGTCTCTTATGAATATAAATGCAAAAATCTGCAACAAAATAGAAGCAGAGAGAATTCAGCAACATATAAAAATGGTTATACTCCATGACCAAGTGGGACTTACCCGAGAAATGCAAAGTTGGCCCAAAATATGAAAGTTAATCAATGTTATACAACATATTAATAAGAAAAAGAATAACATGAACTTATCACTAGATACAGGGAACACATATGATGAAATCTGACACGCTTTCATGATAAAATGGTCAACAAACTAGGGATAAAAGGGAAATTCCTCAACCCAACAAAGAGCATCTATGGAACACCCACCCCTAACATCGTACTTAATGGTGATGGACTGAATGCTTTTTCTAAAATCAGGAACAAGACAAAGACATCCATTCTCACCACTTCTATTCAACATTGTACTGGAGGCTCCAGCCAGGGCAACTAGGCAAGAAAAAGAAATAAAAGGCATCCAGATTTGAAAACAAGTAAAACTATTTATTTTCACAGATGACATAATAATCTTGTATGTAGAAAATCCTAGTGAATCCACTCAAAAAGTATTCACACTGATAAACAAGTTCAGTAAAGTTGCAAGATACAAAATTAATATACAAAAAGCCATTGTATTTCTATAAGCTAGCAAAGAACAATCTGAAAATGGAATTAAGAAAGCAAATGCATTTACAATAGTATGAAAAAGAAGAAAATACTTAGGAACAAGCTTAACAAAGGAAATAGAAAACTTGTACCTTGGAAACTACAAAACATTTTGAAAGAAATTAAAGAAGATCTAATAAATGGCAAGTCATCTCATGTCCATGGGTTGAAAAGCTTAGTGTTGTTAAATGCAACACTCCTCAAGTTAACCTATAGATTCAGCACAATTTCTATAAATATTGCAGCTGCCTTTTTTGCATAAATTGACAAGCTGATTCTAAAATTCATATGGAAATGCAAGTGCCCATAATAGTGTAATCAATCTTGAAAAAAAAAGTTGGAGAACTCACACTTCCTGTCTTAAAATTTCCCACAAAGCTACAGTAATCAACAGAGTGTGGTGCTGGTGTAAGGACAGATGTATAGGATATCAAGATTGAGTTGAGAGTTTAAAAATAAACCCTCACATTCTATAGTTACCTGATTTCCAACAAGGGTCCCAAGAAAATTCAATGGGGAGAAAATAGTATTTTTAACCAATGGTGCTGGGACAACTGGATATCCACATGCAAAAGAATGAAATTGGACTTCTACCTCACACCATACACAAAAATTAACTCAGAGTGGATTATAGTCATAATTGTAAAAGCTAAAATTATAAAACTCTTGGAAGGAAACATAGGATCAAATTCTCATAACTTTACACTAGGCAATGTTTTCTTAGCTATGACACCAAAAACGTGACAACAACTATTAGATAGTTGGGACTTCATCAAAATTTTAAACTTTTGTGTTTCAAAGGACACAATCAAGGAGATGAAAAAGACAATCCACAGAATGGGAGGAAATATTTGCAAATCATGTATCTGGTAAGGAACTGGCATGCAGAATATATGCCATACAGGATATATATGGCATGTATATGGAATACAGGATATGGCATACAGGATATGGCTTATAGGATATATATACAGGAAAGACTCTCAAAACACAATGATAAAAAAGACAATCCAATTTAAAAATGAGTGAAGAACTTGAATAGACAATTCTCCAAAGAAGATATACAAAGTACCAAAAAGCACATGCAAAGATGTCCCACACCCCTGGCCGTTAGAGAAATGCAAGCCTAAGCTGCAATGAGGTCCCGCTGCAATGAGGTCCCACTGCAAACCCACTAAGATGGCTATAATCCAAAAGGCCAACTATCAGGAGTGTCAGCAGAGATGTGTAGAAAGCACGGTCCTCACACACTGCTGGGGAAAAGATAAAATGTGTTGCAGGTTTGGAAAACAGTTTAGCTGCACCTCGAAAATGTTAAACACAGTTTCCACGTGACCCAGTCATGCCACCACTAAGCACATAACCTAGAGTGAAATATAACCAAGTGAAAACACACGACCACACAAAAACTTGTGTGTGGATCTTCATAACGGTATGACGGCAGTCTCCCATTGTCTGCAGGGGACATGCGCCAAGACTCCCAGTGGATGGCTGAAACTGAGATTAGTACTGAACCCTATATAGACTATGCTTTTTTGATATGCTGGCCAAAACAGCTACAATGTGGCTAATAGGGAGGTGGCGGATCCAATGCAGATCTGCTGGACAAAGCAATGATGCAGGCCGGGTGCGGTGGCTCACACCTGGAATCCTAGCACTTTGGGAGGCCAACGCGGGTGGATCACCTGAGGTCAGGAGTTCGAGACCAGCCTGACCAACATGGTGAAACCCGGTCTCTACTAAAAATACAAAAAATTAGCCAGGCGTGGTGGCAGGTGCCTGTAAACCCAGCTACTTGGGAGGCTGAGGCAGGATAATCATTTGAACCCAGGAGGCAGAGGTTAAAGTAAGCCGAGATTGCACCATTGCACTCCAGCCTGGGCAACAGGAGCAAAACTCCATCTGAAAAAAAAAAAAAAAAAAAAAAAGATGATGCTTATCCCAGGCAGGATAGGGCAGGATGGCACAAGATATTATCACAAGACTCAGAATGGCAGACAACTTAGAACTTATGAATTGTTTTCTTCTGGAATTTTCCATTTAAAATTTTTGGACCAGGGTTGACTATAAGTAACTGAAACCATGGAAAGCAAAACTGCAGGCAAGGGGGGACCACTGTGTTCCTAATAGCTATAAAGAGAAAACCCAAAATCTATCAACCGATAAACAAGCAAAATGTAGTATATCCATACAACGTAATGTTATGCAATAATAAACAGGAATGAACAACAACATGAATGAGCCTTGAAAAGATTATGCTAAGTGAAAGAAAAGACTACATATTGTAAGATTCTATTTATATTTAAAACAATACCAAACAGGGAACGCCATAAAGACAGAAAGTCTCTAGGTGGTTGTCTATAGCTGGGTAGGTTGGAAGGAATGGAAAGGACTGGGAGGAGGTCTGGGGCTTCTTTGGGGTTGATGCTCTGAAGTTGGCTGTGCTGGCAGCTATGCAAGTCTGTGAGTAGAATACACTAAAAACCATTCAACTGTGCAATTTAGATTTGCAAACTGCATTAAATGTGAGTAATAACCTCATAAAGCTGCGTGTAATATCTCACAAACACATATGTGAGAATCCAGACATCCTGTCTTAAGCCAGACATGAAAGACATTTGTAAAAATATAAATCAATGCCACAGTCCTACTTGTATAAAAATACCGTATGTCATGGGATTATTATTAGTATTTTTATATGAATTAATACACGTCTTAAATTTTTCAGTTTTAATTCCCAATACAGTAAACTCAGTGATTTTTAAGGATGTGACAGGGTCTTGAAACCAAAATGTTTGAAAACTGCGAAGTCAGAGGAAGGTGTCCCAGCAAGGCAATGTCAGTGGGGTTAAAGGAGGGGAGGGAGACAGGCCAGTGGCTGCCTCCTCTGGCGATGCCTTCAGAGGGGACTGCCTCCGAGGCACCTGATGCTTCTCAGAGCATGAGAAGCTGAGGGACAGGCCATCGGGGCTGTAGTTATTCAAAAGTTTTGAGAGGCGCGGTCCTGGGTCTAAGGGTAGGATTGGCCCTTGATGCCCTGGACACCCTCCTTCTGCTGCAAAGAGAGGACGTGACTTCGGGGACGCACAAGTGGGGCAGTGGGACACTGAGGAGCCCTGCGGGAAGCTGCACCTTCTCCCTGCTGTGGGGGGCCTGCGAGGGAAATGAAGCAGGGCCTCTTCAGGATGAGGACAGGGGACACTTGAGGAACAGAAGGGACTTGGGCAGGGATGTGCAGCGGGCTTGCTGGCACCGCTGGGCCCAGGAGACCGACAGTCCTGGATGCTCCAGGAATCTGTCTGCTCCGTGGTGCGGCTCTCCCACTGCTGGAGGCTTCTTGGCACATGCAGCCATTGTGGGGTGGCTCTGATAGCTGTGACCCCTCCACCTGGGGCTCCCTCAGAAATAGCCTCCGTCCGCCACTGGGGAGGCCTGTTCCAGAAACCAGTGGGGACAGACAGGAGCTGTCTTAGGATAAGTCATAGGGCCCAGGGCATGGATGCCACTGTCCGAGCTGGCACAGAAGACGGGGCCCATGTCTTCTGCCCTGCAAGTGGGTGCCGGTGAGGTAGGGGTGCACCTCTGCCCTGTGCAACCACACTGTTCCACTAGATTTTCCTGGACCAGATGCCGCCACCAGAGCTGAACCCATGCCCTTTCCAGCCATGCGAGGCCAAGCCTGCGCCCCGGCAGCACCGACTTCTCGTGTACCCGTCGGGCCGGCTGGAGAAGCACTGAGGGCTCCTGGACCTGGGCACGCCCTTCCTGCTCCATCCCCCGGCTACCTCAGTTGTAAAACAGAGCCGATGGTGAATGGCGCACGCTTTCCAGAGTCTGTGCTCAGAGGGATTGGGGTCCTTGGGGACAATGCAGAGAACATGTGTTCATTCCCAAGTGACAGGTGACATCCCCGTCAACACCTGACATCCCCGTCATCTTGCTCCGGGCTTGTCCCCAAGCAGGCCCAGCTCTGCGCTCCTCGTTCACGCCATGAGTGGAGGGGTTCTCTGTGGAAGCTCAGAGCGTGAGGTGAGGAGTACTCAGAGCAGACTCTTGTTTAGGGGTGAGGAAGCAATCCTCATCCTACTCAGACGCGCTCCAGAAGGCACCCTTCTGGGACGTGTCCTGCCAAGCGACGGGAGCCCCAAGGAGGTCTCTGAAAACTCCAAGCTGTTCTGCAAAGCCAGGCACACAGGCTGACGTCCGGGCGGTCACTGAGGGATATGCCTAAGCGCTTCCCAGCCGGCCTTGTTGTGCAACCTCTTCCTCCCTGGGAACTGTGACACCAGGATATCAATGGCAAAGTCAATGGTGAAGTCAGTGGCGATTGTGGCTCCACGCTTGGTCCCGCAACACCTCTTACCTCTATGCAGCTAAAAATAAGTTCCATGCTCGTTTCCAAAACAGGAAGAGCTATGAAAATTGACAGCAGCCGGGTGAGGTGAGTGAATGCGGGTAGGGGTGTCTAGAGAGCCCCATTCTGCCCCGACGCTGTGCACCGTAGGGTGAGCTGTATATCCTCAGTCTCTCCATCTGCAAAGTGAAGGGGCTGCAGGGAAGGACCCCTTGGGTCCCTCTGTGTCAGACGAGGGGCAGCCTCTGTTTAAGGCATGAGAGGAGCCCTGTCATGGTCTCCCTAACTGACAGTTGATAAAGATAAATGATCAGGTCCGGGGGCCATTAGCTAGCTCCCGGGCCCCTGCTGGGAGCGCAGGGCTGGAGCGTGCGTTCAAAAAGCCCATTTTCCATCCCAGCACTTCTGTCTGTTTGAATTACAGGACTCACCCGTCCCCTCCTGCTGGCCGCCGCCTCCCCTCAGCCCACCCTTCGGCTCTGCTTTTGGAGTCTGTGCTGGAGACAGACTCGGCCTGCTTCTTTTCTCCTTCTCCTTATGCACTGAAAACTGGCTGCTGTCGCATTTTGCCAAAATTGCTCTTAAAAGACCCTAAGATTGAAAAGTGGGAGTGGGCAGCCCAAAGACACCCTGACTCCCTCCAGCACCCTAGCAAATTCGCCCGCTGGACCAACAAGCACCATTTGCCCGAGTGACATTTTTGTTTTAGGGATCTTTTTAAATTCGCACTGCAAGACCAGACTGGCCTCAAGGCAGTCACTGCCTGAGCCTCAGACCATCATTAGAAACACTGCTCAGTCATCAGTGCTCCAGGTCTCTGCAAAGCGGTCCTGGGATGCATCTCCAGACTCCTCCCAGCCTCCCTTCCCAGGGAGCAGCGTCGGGAGAGAACAAGAGCAGGCAGCTGGGAGCCACCTCTGCAGAGCTGCTGCATCCTGGTTACCTCAGGAACCACTGCTCACCCAAGGCGCCCTGCTCACAGCCCTGCATCCAAGGCACTTCACAGCTCAGAGTCACCGCTGAACCCAACCCTTCCTTCTAGCGTCTTCTCCAAGCAGCCCCCTTCCCTCCCCATGTGAAGGGCCAAGGAGGAAAGAGAGCTGAAGTCTGGGAAGGATTCTGCTTGTCAGTCATTCCCCCCGATTAGGTACCTGTGCCCTAAGCACTTGGCACTGGGTGTGTTTCTTATCAATCTAGATGATACATTTGGGTTTGAATGAACCATAAAATGCCCCAATCTTGGCAGGGAGGCATCTTTGCTTTAGGAAGAAAAAGGAAACAATCCAGTTTATGAAGGTAAAGTTGAGCGGGTGGTGCTTTTTGATAAGGACACCCATAAAATGAGTAAGAACACGTTTTGTAGGTGCTGGAATCTTTAGCAGGAGGTCACCTGGGAGGCTGCAGAGGGGAGGGAGAGCTGATCTGTACAGGGGGCAGCCAGTGAGCAGGAAATGCCCCAGCACCGACAGGAAGGAGGGCCGCCTTCTGACACAGGGCGGGCTGGAGACATCCCAGGTGACAGTGATGATGACGGGGTAGCTACCACTTACTGAAGGCCTCCCGCATGCCATGCACTGAACTGTGGCTCACCCACATGCTCTCATTTAACCTCAGCCAGCAGCCTGTGTCACCACTGCCCCCGTTTCACAGACGAGGAAACCAAGGCCAACTGCGGTCAATTCACGCAGCCAAGATTACACAACCAGGAAGTAGCCAGGCTGAGCCTCGAACCCAGATCTGTTCGATTCCAAAGATCATGACCTTCGCCGCCATGCTCTGCTGGTTCAGCAGGTGCTCATTATGACGTCAATTATACTTTATTTATGAATTCATTTAGTTTTTAGTTTTTATGTTCCTTGAAAACATGTGAATGTGGTTCACATAGAAACCTCCACGGCAATGTTCATAAGCTCCAGGGTGGATTTGTGTCATGTCAACCCCTACCCTCACAGCAGCCCTGCCATCAGCAGGACCAGGCCAGAGGGCCACAAGGGAAGGCAGCTCCAACTCCCACCTACTTCCCTCTGGGCCTGAAATGAAGCCCTGACCTCTGCACAGTCACTGTGGCCCTTTTGTGCCATTGCTCTGATTGTCAGAGCCATTCTCTGCACCCAGCACACCGGCAGAAGCGTCAGGTTCCAACACGATCCCACTTCCTTGTTTGACTTCCAGCCCGGGGCTGCTGTGGCCCGCTCCCACGGGAGCCTCACCGTGACCTCGCAGTGGTTTCATAAGTTTTAATGAGTAAATTCCAGACTTAGCCCCATGCACACATAAGACACCCACGGCACACACCCACGGAAACAGCGTGACTTGGGTGGCTGTGGGTTTGCTCCGAGAGGAGACCCAGGTAGGCCCAGGCAGTGTGGCGGGGCCCTGGGATGGCAAACGCCAGGACACCAGGGGAGACCAGCGCTTGGCAAAATGCATGGCATAACTTGGGCAAGACAGCATTGCAACAAATGATTGTGTGGAAGAAAAGACAGCGCCCTTAACCCCATGAAACAGAGTTAACTGGGAGGTTTGGAAAGTATCTTTAGGAGCCACTCAGCCGAGCTGTCCCTGGTCTGCAATCCACAGAGAGAAACAAGGGGCTACGGCTGCAAAGATGCTGATGAACGAGGGGAGAGGCGAGGATGCCACTGCGGGACCGCGGCACCCAGGCCTGGGAAACACAGGTGCCATTGGATTCCCTGGGAAGCCAGAGGGTGACAGCTTGTTGCCAGCCGAACGAAGAGAAAAACAGACAAAGATCAAGGAAGAGGAGGGGGCTCCCATGGAGGGGCTGGGAGGCCACCCTACTGACTCCCAACCCTACTGATGAAACTGAGACCCACAAAGGGGAAAGGGCGGCCCAAGTCCCCAGCCACACCCTGCCGAGCTGGGGCAAGCAGGACGCTGTACCTGTAGCTCTCTGCAGCCACCCTGTCACAGATGACACGTGTAATCCTTTCACATGTCAAACTTCGCCAGGTTTTTCCCTCCACAAATCATCCCCATGGAGAGAGATTCTCTCCCAGCACCATGGGAGACGGTGAGGACCCCAAGCATAAATGAGCGCATCCCAGAACACCCAGCGTGCAGGGGAACAGGGGGCGACAGAGAACGCCCGGTGTGCAGAGGAACCAGGGACAACAGAGAACACCCGGCGTGCAGGGGAACCGGGAACAACAGGCAAGGGCTGTGCCTGGGGAGGGGACTCTGCCCTGGGACTGCCGCCCTCCAGGACTCTGCCATCTTGTCACACAAAGATGTTCCTTTTCCTGTGCGCCAGGACGAGTAAAAGGCTTGGCAGCACTGTCCTAAAGGATGGCCTGACGTCTGGCAGCCCTGGCTCTTCCCGTGCGAGGATTCCTCCCAAGGGGCAGAGATCCTCACCAGCTCCTGACATAGCCTTCGGGGGCTCCTAGGCTTTCCCAAAGAGCTTGGTCTTGGTGCTGTTTGGTCTCAGCCACACAGCATCACGTCTGTGAGTGATGATGAGTCACGCACAGGCTCAGCCCTGGTGGGGCAAGAGAAGAGGAGGCGAGAGGTGACGGCTGTACGATGTGGTCCCTACCCTCCATCCCCTGAAAGAGAAGAGGAACCAGAGTCTGGGCTGCTGCAATGAGCCCAGCTGGTCAGTGAGTACCTGGGGAAAGACAACAGGGGCAGCGCCCTGCAGAGGCCGGGGCACGGCAAGCGGCCAAGACAGGGCCTGTTGGATTTTTGAAGCCAACCAGATAGAAGAAGGAAGGAAGAGCGTGGTGTCAAGGTTCACTCCCAGCTTAATGCGTTCAGCTTGGCAGACGGAAATGATCCAAACCGAGAGGGAGTCTGTAGAAGGCTGTGGGGATGCAGGAGGCTGAGCCTCGCTCTGGGTTGATGTCCAGACCCATGCAGGACATCCAGGCATGGATGGGTCTGGTGGTGTTTGTGCGTAGGACCTGGTGCCCAGGAGAGAGGCCAGCCAGGCCTGTGGAGTTGGCTGTTACAGACAGAGGGGCGTAGAGTCGTGGCTGGGAGCCCATCTACTGAGAGCAAGTTGGGGTGAGCAGTGAGGCGACCCAGGGACCCTGACACCTACTGAGGAGGAGGCAAGAAGAGACAAGGAGTCGAAGCTCACGTGGGGTGTTGATGCCACAGCGCAGGCCAGGCCAGCAAACTCCAGGCCTCAAGGGCCTGAGAACAGCCCCGCTTTGAGAAGCCCTGCACTGTGAATGAGAAACTGGCGGGCGGCTCCACACCAATGCGATTGAGGAGCAGAAACACGCGCAAACACTGCAGTGCCACTCGCGTGTGCTTGCTGACAATTTGGGTGATTTAGAATGTGCTGGTTTATCCTATTCTTCTTAGGTTAATGGAAAAATAGTGTTGCCAAAGGCCTCACAGATGGCATCTGACTGCAGGCCCCAGCCCAGGCAGCCTCACCTGTGGGCCAAGAGCCCTTCCCACTCGTGCACGCGAGACTCCCCACTAGTGAAGGAGGAACAGAAGCGGGCTCTGTCGTCTCCCCTGTCCCTCTGATTCTTCCCTTGAGAAATTCCCGAGGAACCCAAGCCCCGCTGAGAATGGCCAAAGAGAAGAAGGACAAAGTCTCGTACAATCTATTTTTGAACACGACCCGCCATACCTAGGGCTCGGTACCAGGGGTCCCGGACACTCCTTCACTGGACTGTGGCCCCCGGGGTTCCAGGGCCCCAGCACCAATGTGGCCTCTATCTACCCACACCCGGAACCATCCAGTGTCCTCCTCCCTCCAGTTCCGGGACAAGCCCCAGCCACCTTCCCCTCCCAGGGTCTTGGATAACCCTGCTCCCCTGCCGTCCAGGGCGTCAGGTCACCCCTGGGTCCTCCTGGTCTCAAGTGGGCTCTGCACAGAAGTCAGGAGAACACATTCTCCCCAGACTTGTATTTCCAGAGTTCACTCAGCCCCAGGCAGCACAGCCTGGCTCAGGATCCTATAGCTGACCTGGGGCCCCGCTTTGAGGGAGCAGCGGGCAGCCTGGTGGGAACCACATCAAGTCAGCCAAGGCTGGGCCTTCTCACCAGCCGAGGCTGGAGCGACATAGGGCAGCCAGCCCCCGCCCCGCCCTGGGAACCCACAAAGACCCAGGGACCCACAAAGGCTTGTGGACGGCCCTGGACCAGGGTCCTCTCCTCCTTCTTGCAGGGACACAAAAGTAGGGAAGAGGTGGTGGGAAGGAAGCTGAAAGGTTAGGCACACCCCAAGAGAGCTAGCACACACCAGGGCGACAGGGGAAAGGCAGACAGACCTGAGCCTGGTGAACCTGCCGGTGCCTCCCACTCAGCCTGGCAAAGGTGCGCCTGGGTCCACTATGGGCCAGACCCAGAAACCCAGGCAGCTGCAGATGTTCACACAGCCCGACTCAAAATGGGCCAAATCCCACCTGCACCGGGGATGCAATCCCACCCTGCAGCCTCCGAGGAGGGACGGCCCGTCCAGCTGAGGGCTGGGACCTGTGACCTGGCGCTGCTGGCGGGCTCCCAGGTGGGCCTCTGCCTCATGCACCTTGACCACGTGTGCGCTCCTCCCGAGGGGGCCGCACCTTAATTAAACATGGACTTTTCCCGTGCTTGTTGTCCTCGTCCTCCTTTTTAAAGAACATTGAGTGGTAAAATTCAGGCCACGGGCAGAGCAGTCCCAGTGCCCAGACCGAGGGATGCGCCCCTCCGGACCTCAACCAGAGCAGTTCTCGCAGCTGTCCTCTGAGGCCCCACAGCTCCAACCGTCTGTGCCGATGGAGAAGATGGTTTTCCAATCCCCCACGGAGCATGTGGCCAGGCGGGGGCGCGGGGGCTTCCGGGCATCCCCCCAGGGCAGGGCAGCCTCCTGGGAGCCCCCCACCCCCGCGGTTCCACGCGCCTGGGCCCCTCCTGGAAGACCCGGGATCCGGCCCCGCCCACTGCCGAGTCAAGTCCAAACCTCGCTCCTCTTCCGAAGCGTCTTTCATGTGGTTTCTGTCTAATCTGAAAACGCCTCCCTTCCCCATTGTCTTTGTATTTGTGAGCTGTTTCTTAAGTCACCTTTTGAAAAATCTGGTGCCGAAGAACACAGGTATTTCACGTGTGCACAGTGCCCGTGTCTACAAAGAATTTGGATTTCACCCCACGAAGGAAGGGAGCTGCGAGCTGTGTGCGTGCAGAGCTGGACTCTGCTAAGAGGCAGGGCAAGGTTGGGGAGCGGTCTCTCTCTGGGCTTCAGTTATCCAAGCTGGGGGAGAAGGGCACACGTCCGTCCACGGGCTCCTGCACAGCGGGCCCTGCGCCCAGCACACATGGCCGAGAGTCCTTGAGTGCTGTTCATTAGGGCTCCATCACCATGCAGGAGAGACCTGCTCGCCCTGGCATTAAGAAGAGGAACCAGGCTCAGGGAGGCTTGGGGACTCCTGGGTGGCAGAATCGGTGCTGGCCCCAGGCCTGGCTGACTGCCACACGCCATCTGGGCCCTTCCAGCACCCCCAGAACAGAGGCCGCCTGTCTGAACATCCCTGTGTCTCAGAGCCGAGAGCCAGTGAGCTTCAGCGGCTCGAAGCTCTTTACTCACTCACAGTTCAGCAGCCTCAGAACCCAACGACAGCTCTGGGTGCTGCTGCGGGGAGCAGGGCAGTGAGGACGCAAAGTGCCACAAATTCCTCCTGAGCACGGAGGAGGCCGCCTGCCTCCCATGTCACCCCGTGTGTGGAGGACAGCATGGAGGGACGGCTACGCACGCTGCACACGCGTCCATCAAATCTGCTTTCTTGTTCCTGCCAGGAGCCGCAGAGCCTGCCTTAGAACTTCCCCCGCGATGGATCTAAATGATATTTAAGGTTTGACAAGTTACACTTGTGGTTTTCAAAAGAAATCATTTTTTTGTGAAGAATTACCTTTCTTGGCATAAAATAATTGGAAAGTACCCGGATATCTCAATAAAACACATCAAAAGTAACTTTCTCCAGCTTGTTTTGACACGTCCACTTGTGGTTTCTGTCAACTTTAGCTAAACATCAGGTTTTCTCAGACAGAACAAACCATTAAAATATTCAACAGAAAAAGCAAATAGATATAATTCCTTTCTGTTTGCCTCTTTTCAAATAAAAGGCAATATTGAAAGGAGAGGCCAGCCCAATTCAAAGCACATTTTTCTGATTCATACACTTGCCATAATGATTTGCATAGGATGTAAATGTCTAAGCCCTGGACCCTGTCATTTTTTTAAATGGTGCATTGTAAAGCTGAAGCATACGAAGCCAGTTTGGTATTTACAGAGGTCTGTCCAGTTCTGTGGAGTCTGATAAATGTTAGAGGAAACGTGTATGGGTTTGAGATTAGAACGTTAGAGGGAGGACCTAAAGCAAACACCTTCCCATGAGAGAAGAAGGGAGTCTGTCCTGTTGCCCCCAGACCCTCTGCTCCTCACGCCTCACGAGAGGACAACAGACACACGAGCCTCCAGAAGGAGGACCCCGGTCCCAGACAGAAGAGCTAGCGCCTCGTGGCAGGACTGCCACTCGGGCTGGCTTTGCAGCTGGGCACGGGGTTTCCTGACAGCTGAAGCGAAACAGGAAACTTGTCCAGGGGCATAATTTTCATTTTCTAACAGAAAGAAAACTTCTAAATTTGTCCAAAGAACAAAAAAGCAGAAAGCAAAACCGACTTTTTCCTGGAGCTAAATTGGAGTGGGAATCTGTGTTAGGCCATCCTTGCGGTGCTCTAAAGGCGCCCACCTGCAGCTGGGGAATTCATAAAGACAAGAGGCTTGATTGGCTCGAGGTTCTGCAGGCTGCAAGCATGGCACCAGCATCTGCTTCTGGCGAGGCCTCAAGAAGTTTCCAATCATGGTGGAGGGTGAAGGGGGAGCAGGTGCATCTCACGGTGAGAGAGGCAGTGAGTCAGGGGGTGCCATGCACTTTTAAACGACCAGCTCTCATGTGAACTCAGAGTGGGCACTCACTCATCACCAAGGAGATGGTGCTGAACTATCCATGAGGGACCCGCCCCCAGGACCCAGACACCTCCCACCAGGCTCTGTCTCCACCAGTGGGAATCACATTTCAACATGAGACCTGGAGGAGCAAACATCCAAGCCATATCAAAATCTGTGATGACAGGTCTTATGCCAAGGCTGCCTGGTGATACCCAACAGTGCCCTCAAGAAGAGTTCTGAAACAAAAAGACACAAAACCTCTGTCCAGCCAGGCGTGGTGGCTCACACCTGTAATCCTAGCACTTCGGGAGACCGAGGCAGGCAGATCACTTAAGGTCAGGAGTTCGAGACCAGCCTGGCCAACATGGTGAAACTCTGTGTCTACCAAAAATATAAAAATTAGCTGGGCATGGTGGCACACACCTGTAATCCCAGCTACTCAGGAGGCTGAGGCAGGAGAATTGCTTGAACCCGGGAGGAGAAGTTGCAGTGAGCCAAAATTGTGCCACTGCACTCCAGCCTGAGCAATAAGGGGAGACTCCATCTCGAAAAAAGAGACACAAAGTTTCTGGCCAAAGGACCCTTTCTTTCCCAAGCATCTCCCAGGATGCTGAGTGGCTATGCTGGGACAATCACCCAATGTGAGTGAGAGGGAAAAGTTGGGAAACTCTAAGCCCCCTGCCCCACCCCCACCCCCACCCTCTCTCGCAGTCTGAGGAGGGGTCTTTGCTGCTCATGGACTTACCAATATTTTGTGGGAAAATTGGGTAATACGAAGAGGAGAAAGATGGAAGCCAAGAGGAGACAGAAGTGCTCTGAATGGGCACACGGAAGATGGGAGCCATGTCAAGGACACCAGGCAGCCACTGTGGGGCATGGCCTCAGGGACGTGATGGTGACGGTCCCGTGCAGCCGCCCTGTGTCAGAGCCCCCACGTCCCACCACTGGTCTGTGAGCCTGGCGTGCTCTCACTTCAGTCCTCGTCACAGCACGGTGAGGCAGTTTCTTGCATTTTGCCCATTTTCCACATATGTGGAAACTGAGGCAGAGGCTCAACACTCCCAAAGCCCAGACAGAAAGTACCAGAGCCTGGATCCATGCCCAGGGAGCCTGTCCCCCTCCCCATGAGCTCAGGCTTCCCGCTGGGGCTCCAGTGTTACAAGATAGCATTCTGCCTTCACCACATCCTCTTTCAGAACTTTGATATAGTAAAAATAGATCAAAACTACTTTTTCCGATGCCTGAAGCTGCATGTGAGCTTCTCTGGATGCAATTTTCTGTTGAGTTTGTGTTATGTAAGAAGTGAATGGCCAGGCACGGTGGCTCACGCCCGTCATCCCAGCACTTTGGGAGGCTGAGATGGGCTGATCACTTGAGGTCAGGAGCTTGAGATCAGCCTGGCCAACGTGGCAAAAACCCATCTCTACTAAAAATACAAAAATTAGCCGGACATGGTGGTGCATGCCTGTAATCCCAGCTACTAAGGAGGCTGAGGCAGGAGAATCATTTGAACCCAAGAGGCAGAGGTTGCAGTGAGCCGAGATCATGCCATTGCACTCCAGCCTGAGTGACAGGAGCGAGAAACTCCATAGAAGAAGAAGAAGGAAGAAGGAAGAAGAAGAAGTGAATGAAGTCATCTACAGGGAAAATGAGGATTATTTTAGACAAACACTTGGTTCAAGGAGTTACTGGGCCCCCAGGAACCTTCATCAGCAATGCCAGGAGAAGGGGCCGAGGCTGGGCTCTGAGGAGGGAGTGCAGCTCAGGCCAAAGGCAGGGGAGAAAAACACAGGCGCTGGAGGGTTCAGGTACAAGGGATCCCAAGGGGGTCAGGCCCAGGGTGGCAGGAAGGCAGGTCTGTGAGGACAGAAGGACCCCGAAGGCAGACAGAGGCTCAGGAGGGAGCTGAGCAGGAAAGATCAATGGGCACACACACAGCTTAGCAGGCTCAGCCTGGACAGAGTGGGCAGCAGATCAGAGGGGCAGGACCAGAGATGGGGACGTTGACAGCCGCAGTGAAGGCCTGAGATAGCAGCACAGGACAGACAGGAAGGAAGAGGGACTGTACTGATTCTAACAAGGAAGGCTCCGTAGGATTTGGGATTGGCTAGATGTGAGGGAAGAGAGGGACAGAGGGAGGGAGACAGAGGGAAGTCCAGGGCGAGGCCCAGGTTTCTGGTTTGGGAGCAGAGCCGGAGGGTGTGTGTACAGCAGAGGAGGAGGGGCTGTTTGCTGAGGGAGAGCCAGGGCCAGGGATGGATGAGGTGGGGCAGGAGTGGGAAGAGGGAGCTGGAGTCAGGTCAGTTGAAGGTGCCCCACGGCCGCCAGGTGAGATGCAGGCCAGCCACCGCGTACAGACCTGGAGCTCAGCAGAGACCCGGTTGGGAACCTCAGGGCAGCATGGCGCATCATGTCACGAGCTCTGTGCTCAGCTGGGGCTGGCTTCGGTCTGAGTTGCGTCTCCAAGTTCCTGCCGAAGTCCTAACCCCAGGACCTCAAAACGTGGCTGTATTTGGAGACAAGGTCTGTAAAGAGATAACTAACTAAGAAGGAGGTCTTTAGGGCGAGCCCTAACCCAGTCTGACTGTCCTTACGGCAAGAGGAGATGTGGACACAGACAGGCACAGACAGGCAGCCTTGTGAAGACACAGGGAGAGGGCGGCCGTCTGCCAGCCAAGGCGAGCCCCAGGAGAAGCCAGCCCTGCCCACACCTGATATCAGACTTCTGGCCTCCACAGCTGGAGCAGATGAATTTCTGGCTCAGTACCTTGTTACAGCCTCGGGAGACCCTCACAAGGCCCAGCACTGAGGGCCCTCACCGCACTGTGTCACCATCCAGTGGAAGAGGCGCACGCCAACGGGCAGAACCTTAGACTACAGAAGGGGCTGATGGAGGCAGGAATGAGGAACACAGAGGACCGAGTGGCAGCCACCACCAATATGGACAACAGGCAGCACCTTAGACTAGAGCAGGGGCTGATGGAGGCAGGAATGAGGAACACAGAGGACCGAGTGGCAGCCACCACCACTATGGACAACGGGCAGCACCTTAGACTACAGAAGGGGCTGATGGAGGCAGGAATGAGGAACACAGAGGACCAAGTGGCAGCCACCACCAATATGGACAACGGGCAGCACCTTAGACTACAGCAGGGGCTGATGGAGGCAGGAATGAGGAACACAGAGGACCGAGTGGCAGCTACCACCACTATGGACAACGGGCAGCACCTTAGACTACAGCAGCGGCTGATGGAGGCAGGAATGAGGAACACAGAGGGCCGAGTGGCAGCCACGAACACCATGGACACGGGCCTTAAGGGGCAAGCCTGGGACTCAAGGCCGGAGGACATGTGGGCTTCCAGGCAGAGATGCCATGTCTGACACTGGGCAGAACTTCAATTCAAAACCTTTCCATGCATTCCCCGTCCTTAGGAAAGGCCAAAGCTGAGGTGATGAAAACACAGTCACCCAGCTGAGCTGGTTGCAAAATGGGCCCCCTATAGCTGAGTGAGAGCACCTATGCAAAGCCCATTTAAGGACAACCATTTAGGTGGTGGCAAATGCTTGTCGGCTGCAGACATCCTTTCTGAGATGTAATTGAAGCTGCTCCTCCAGCCCGAGCGAGCCAGTGGGTCCCACTCCTTGTGAAGATGGCTCGTAATGAAAGGACGGAGGCTGCCTCATCTGCTGTGAGCCATGTGCATCACAGGAAACCCCGCCTCGCCTCAACACCCAGTTCTTTCACTGCAATGTTTGAAGACCGAAAGGAAGGGTGCAGACGTCAGGCCCCAGCCCTGTGTCAGGGCACCTGCCACTGAGGAAGGCCTGCGTTCACACTGCCCTGCAGCCTCCCACAGCTCTGGGGCTTCAGCACCCCCAGCTTCTAACGTCCCCCCTAGAAGACAGTGAGAAGGACCGGCCCTGGGGTTTCTAGGGCCGGCAGAGGTTGTAGCACACAGTAGGTGGTGCAGAGAGGAGGGTTACTGATTTTACTAGAGACGATGGAGACGATGATAAGACCAGCCCCAAAATGGGAGCCCACCCTTCTCCCCAGCTCCAGTGCTTCCCCCTGAGCTCAGGCCCAACACCACTCCCATCATCTCCCCGACTCTCCTCTTGCCTTACTCAGCCCATGCCCTCCTCCAAGGTCAGTTCCTCCAGGGCCAGCTCCTCCCCAGCTGCTCCTCCAGGGCCAGCTCCTCCCCAGCTGCTCCTCCAGGGACAGCTCCTCCCCAGCTGCTTCTTCAAGGTCAGATCCTCCCCAGCTATTTCTCCAGGGTCAGGTCCTCCCCAGCCTAGCCGTGTTCTGAAACTTGCCTCTGAGGACACTTCAGATCAAAGTATACATAGGGTGGTTAGGTTGGGCTCAAATGTTCTGCAGAGTGAACCAAATGGTGATAGATCCACAAGCCCTGCAAACAGCCTTAAATTGCTCTCAGTGGTTTTCAGGACACAGTGGAGCCAGGGCAGGTGCCCTCCCCACCCCAAAGACCCCACCCAGAAGCCTCACCCCCAGATTGCTCAGAATGCCCCTTCTTCTCCCCCACCCTTGCCCCACAGCTCCACAGCCTCAGACCTCAGTTTCCCTTCTGATTCCTATTGTACTGCCAGTCCATGCTACTCAACACCCCCCTGTGTGCTCATACTGACCTGGGAGAGCCATTAAAGGCAAGAGGCCATGTTCCTCCCTCCTTCCCCCACGACCCTGGAAACAGAGCCCAGCACATGGCAGGAACCTGGTACCTGTCAAATGAGCAAATGAATGGACAGATTCCAGTTTCTCGAACATACCAATTACTAGGGCCAGCAATGAGCAGAAAGAGAAATGAAGCTGAGCCTGGGGCTTCGCATAACTCCAGCAGGAGTCGGACAGGAAGAGCTCTGTACTCCGTGGCAGAATCCCTCATCTTGGTTCCTGGATATATTATTTTAGTTTGGGCCTTTCAATTTGGGTTGTGTGTGGAATAGATGTGTTAGCTTAGAGTTTGTCACCATAACATAAAAAGTGCTAGAAAACAGATGAGGGCTAGCTAAAATGAAGGCTAAGAATAGAATCTAATTTATGCAAGTTGATTATACTTGTAGCAAGAGTGATAATTAGAGATATTTTGAAAAAAAGAGAACCTGAAGGTGGAGATAATTGGAAGATTCTTTCTGCTAGGCTACTAGATAGGAAAGAATGAGATCTTTAATTACATTAATAATAAAATAATTATTGATAGTCACAAATAATATCTCTGCTTGATTCAGGGAAGCACATGACCTTCCAGAACTACCTAATCAATGTAAAACCTAAAAAGGTTTTTTTTTAAATAATTCAGGCAAACTCTAAAGTGAATGAGTCAGTCATTGGAGGAGCAGGGGGCTGCTGTCTTCCTGAAACCTGAAATGGCGAACTTTCCAGCCTGAAGGGAAGGAAGGCCAGGAGCGGGAGTGGCAGGGAGGAATGCAACACCAGCCCTGGGCAAGCCTGGCAGCGATGCCCAGCCCTCTTGCCCTCCAGCAGGGGTCCATGGCCTTGTAGGAAAATGAATGGAACCCTACAGTGGAGCACGTGACACATGACAGGTGCCTCTCCTGCTCCGTTCCTGTCCATAGGTCATTTCCAAATCCTCTTTCAGCTCAAAGAACATGGATGTGTAACCATTCTCCTCACTTTGTAACTGAAAAAGTGCTTTCTTCTCACTCAACTCACTGTGAGGGGGCTTCTCAGAGAATGGCTGTAGCTAGCAGGCCTTCCAGGAGTCCACCCTTTTCCCCAGCTCCAGAGCTTCCACCTGAGCTCAGTCCCAACATTGCTCCCATCATCTCCCCAACTCTCCTCTTCCCTACCTCAGCCCATGCCCTCCTCCGAGGTCAGCTCCTCCAGGGGCGGCTTCTCCCCAGCTGCTCCTCCAGGACCAGCCCTTCCCCAGCTGCTCCTCCAGGGACATCTTCTCCCCAGCTGCTCCTCCAGGGACATCTTCTCCCCAGCTGCTCCTCCAGGGACCAGCTTCTCCCCAGCTGCTCCTCCAGGGCAGCTCCTCCCCAGCTGCTCCTCCAGGGACAGCTCCTCCCCAGCTGCTCCTCCAGGGACAGCTCCTCCCCAGCTGCTCCTCCAGGGACAGCTCCTCCCCAGCTGCTCCTCCAGGGACAGCTCCTCCCCAGCTGCTCCTCCAGGGACAGCTCCTCCCCAGCTGCTCCTCCAGGGCAGCTCCTCCCCAGCTGCTCCTCCAGGGACAGCTCCTCCCCAGCTGCTCCTCCAGGGACCAGCTTCTCCCCAGTTGCTCCTCCAGGGCCAGCTCCTCCCCAGCTGCTTCTCCAGGGCCAGCTCCTCCCCAGCTGCTCCTCCAGGGCCAGCTCCTCCCCAGCTGCTCCTCCAGGGCCAGCAGCTCTTCAGCTGTTCCTCTAGGTTCAACTCCTCCCTAGCTCCGTGTAGCACCTCCCTTCTGAAAGACTTGATTAGTGCCTGCTTCCCTGTGATTGGAGGTTCAGAGCTGATGGAAGCACAAAAGTCCTTTTCTGGGTAAAGTCTTCCAAAAAGCCATTTTCTAAGTAAATCACTCTCCTGTGCGGATGCTCTCAGTGAGCAATGGACAAGGGCCAAACTCCCCAGCACAAGAGGCAGAGCCCCTCACTACCTGGACCAGCCCACCTGGCCATTCCTCACCCTCACCCCCTCCCTCATAACCCCTCCCTTGAAGCAGGACCTTCCCATCATCCCTTCATTCCTAGAAGGCTTGTCCTCATCCTTCAAGACCCTGCAGATGTCACCACATTGGGACACCTCCCACAGTCACATGTGTCTACACAGCACACAGGAGCCCAGAACACAGGACAGTGCAGAGGCAGCACCCATGTACTCATCTCTCTTCCACCAGACTCTGGCCTACTTGAGGGCTGGGGCCTTAACTGACCCCTGCAGCCTTCCCAGGGAAGGGCAAGGGCCCAGCACTCCATAAATGCTTGGAATGGATAAATGTGCTTTGCCACAAAACAAAATTTAAGGAACCTTAAAGAGACAAACCATGGAAACCATTGTCAAGCAGTTGACAGGTCATAGGGTGAAAAATTTTAAAACAGAGTGGGCAGAGAGTGTGGGATTCGTAATTAGCATTTGCTTTGCACCTTCTTATCTGCCAGGCACTGGACAAAGTGCTATCCAAGCCTCGGCCAGGGTGGGTGGGGAGGGGGGCATTCATAGATTCTTGATCTCTGGTCTTGTTTCCAAAGACATGTAGGCCATGTCTCTTGAGAATCCAAATGCTTTGCAGAAGTCTGAGATTCTCATTCATGGATGGCTCCTGCTGAGCCTTCATAGGCTGCACTGGCCAATCTCCATTTTCCAGAGCAAACAAAACAAACAATAGAAAATCCTGCAGCTAAGACTCACGTCCCAGGCTCCTTAATGTTTCTCCTCCAACTTGCTGTTCTTGCCCACCCCAGCTGTTCCAAAGGACACATCCACGGCTCAGAAGTGCTCACCAACAGGCTGCAGACAGCCAGAAATGACAAGGGAAGAGTGTGTCCCTCCATCTGGGCACTTGAGATTTTAAGACTTAAAAGCATTTACAGCGACCAGGATTGACATTTCAAACCCAGATCTAGACGGAGAAGGTGACTCTCCCCCAGCAGGACCTGAGGCTGCCGCCCCATCTGTCAGCCTTGCTGTAAACAGCCACAGAACTTCAGGCTGAATTCAACAGGAAACACGGATCCAGTGAGTGGGTCTGTGGGCTGAGCTGAGCTCTCACCAGGGCTCTGGTGCATCTGCCGAAGGTTACTTAGGGGGCTGTCAGCTGGGCTGGACTGGCTTGCAAGTCTAGGGGTTACCTGATGGCTACGATGGGTGCCTTGAGCTAGGACCAACCAGAGACCCAGCACGGCCCCAGCTGCCTCCCTGGAGAAGACCAGCCCCAGCACTTCCCCAGGCCATGGCCGAGGGGCCAAGGAGAGCTCAGTGGTGGACAAGGCAAGTCACCTGGCCAAGCTCAGGGCAGGGAAAGGGCAGGTCAAAGACACCCCAAAGGATGTGACCAGGGAGGGGCAAAGCACTGGGACCACTGGACTGGCTCTATCAGCCTGACAGCCCCACACACCTGATGCTTCTCTCTTTTCAACTGGACTGACACTCTCAGCCTGACAGCCCCACACACCTGAAGCTCCTCTCTCCACAATGGTCCTTCTACTAAGCATGGCCCAACTTTTTTTTCTCTTTTGAGTTCCACCTGCCCCAGAAAGGCTGCACACAGACTGTGGGAAAATCAGACTGAATGATCTCCTGAGCTGCTTCCTTGCAACCCTCCCCTCTGTGGGGCTGTCACACTACGCCCAGCAGCTCTGCCTCCCACATACCCTCCTCAGATCCACCCAGCCCACCCAGACAAAGTACTGCCCCAAGGGGGACACTTTGCTTTGTGTCTGTTTCACATCTCTGCCTTTTGGAAGGAATCATCTTACATGATGTGTGATCGCCACAGATCTGACAGTGATGGTGTCTGGGGAGCCACCTCATCCCAGGAGGTGTGGGTCAGGCTGGTGGGTCAGAGCAGCTGCCCTCACAGCCATGGTGATTGGTCCGGGGCAGGGGTCTGGTGCGTGCTGCCAGGCAGGGCCAGTCACAGCCCTGCTCAAGGATTGATGTGCACCCCTGGGGGCGTGGGGTTTCCTTGTTCTGAGCTTGCTGGTTATGAATCTTAGAGATTGGAGCTGCCAGCTTTTGTACCCAAGAAAAATTCCCCAGAGAAAGCAGGCACAACAGAAGAAAGCAAAGGCCAGTGTTCAGGGAAGGTGCTTCTAGATGAAGCTGCACCTTCCAGGCTCTTCCAGCACAGGAAGCTTTGAACTGTTTTGCCTTGGGCGGGTTTCTGTCACTTGCAACCTAAGCAGTCTTGGTTAATATGCACTCCCTGAATACATTTGGAGCAGGACTCTCATACTGTATTAGTCTGTTCTCATGCTGCTAATAAAGACATACCTGAGACTGGGTAATGTATAAAAAGAGGTTTAATGGACTTATAGTTCCACATGCCTGGGGAGGCCTCACAATCAGGGTGGAAGGTGAAAGAGGAGCAAAGGCACATCTTATATGGCAGCAGGCAAGAGGGCATGTGAAGGGGAACTGCCCTTTATAAAACCATCAGATCTGCTGAGACTTATTCTCTGTCATGAGAACAGCACGGGAAAGACCCACCCCCATGATTCAATCACCTCCCACCGGGTCCCTCCCATGACACGTGGGGATTATGGGAGCTACAATTCAAGATGAGATTTGGGTGGGGACACAGCCAAATCATATCTCCTGCCCTCCCTGTTTGTTGCTGCCTCTGTAGTTGTTACTGTTGCTTTCATGTTCTTTTCTCTAACTCCTTCTTCCAAATTCAGCCCATCTTTCCAAGTATGGCCCAGGCCCCATCCCCCTGCCTCAGGCAGTCAGATCTCATCACCCCCCAACCCTCACTCCCAGGACACGGGTGGGCTCTGTTGCCCTCTGACCAAATCGCCCTTCCCCAGGGAGGCAGACAGCGTGAGGCCTCTTGCTGTGAACCTCGGTCTTTCAACACAGAGCATAGTCTGTGAGCAACAGATATGCTCTTGTGATGAGGCATAGATACCATTTTCCATCCTTTTAGAGACAATCAACTAAGACCGCATCTTCTTGCAGGGTGGCAGCCACCGTTCTGTCCCATCCAGAACCTTCACAAACACGAGGGCTGTGGTCGGATTGAGTGAGGACTTCCCTTGTGTCCCAAGTCCCCTCACCCTTCACGCAGAGCCAGCCACGTCACACCTCCCTCATCTCATGGTCCTCCAGCCTCTTCCACTGCACTGTGGCCACAGGGTGTGCTGCATACATCCTTGGACTCTGACCTAGCTCTTTTCAAAGTCTTTATCATGCAGCTCTATCTTTGAAGCCATGTAGGTGAAGAATTAAATTTCTGTGCTTTGTGGCCCAATTCATTGGAGTGGAGAATAGGTTTATCTCTATCACACTCAAAATTTATAGGCCTTCCCACTCACAGAATGACATTCTTCAAGAGTGTCATAGGTCCCAGCTCCCACGATACTCCTCCCTGTCCTCTTTCAGAGCATCCCATGGAGTTAAGGGACTTAGCATACTATTGCGTAGGTGTTGTTCACCTTCTGCAACCCCGGATGAACGTTATGCTCACAAAGGTCTTGTTTCATGTCAATAAAACATGTCACAAGCTACTCAAGGGTTAGTGGCTTGAAGGAAACTCCAACCTGGAATTCTGTGGGCTGGGAATTGGACCTGGCCTGGCTGGGCAGCTGGACTCCTCTCAGAGGCTGGATGGTCTGGAATGGTTCCTGTCACAAGCCTGGGGTCGGGTGTGCAGAGGGCCAGCTGTGCATTAGCCAGAATGCCCCAGCTGTCTTCCATGTGCCTCTCAGGTTCCCGCAGGCCAACTCAGGTTGGCTGTCGTGGTCTAAGGGTTCCAACAGTGGCAAGAGAGCCCAGCTGCAATGTCCAGCACTCTCCATGTCTACACCACCACTGTCCCATGGCTGAAGCAAGTCACGAGGTGGAGCCCAGCCTCACTGTGGGAGGACACTGCCTTGGATGTCTAAGAGAAAGGAGGGTGCTTTCAGGCATTTTCACAAATAACCACAGAACCTGTTTGCTAGGGCTGTCGTGACGACTGGATAAGAGCCCTGCATGCATGCACATGCACACACACATGCACACACACATGCACAGGCACACACATGTGCACGCACACACACACAGGCACACACGCGTGTACACACATGCATGCACACACACACACACGCATGCACACACCCACACACACACACACACACAGAGCTAAACCAGAACTCCAATGCCCAGTAATACGGTACTGCTGTTTTGTTTTTTTTTGTATTCATATTGTGGATTCCTTGCACCTGCCACGATGCCTGCATGTAGAAATTGTTCACTATGTGTTTAGTTGATGAATCTCTGTGGCTTCACCTGGACTTCTTGGCCATCCAGGCCGCCCAGGATCTTCCAGGTGAGCTGCTTGGATGACTTGATTCCAAAGAGCTTCTTGTCCATTGTCCACTGCTTGGGGTTGTGTTTTGCAGTTTAGCAAAATTTTTGATATTTGTAAGACAATGCCCAGGAATGTGGAAATGGCTTCATGTCCCAGCACTCCCGGGACCAGAGTTCTCATGTGCTCTTCTCCTCTAGCACCTGACGGTCCACCTGTGCAGGAGATCCAGGCCAGCTCTGAACCCTCATGGAGAGAACACCATGAGGGCCTCGCTAACTGTCAGGTGGGGGCCAGCTGCCGAGGCGCGTCGGCACAGAACAACCATGCAGCACTTAAGTCCTTTGGTAAAACACATGCTCCTGAAAGGTGGTTCAGGTTCCTTTTCACCTGGAAGAAAATTGAGGCTCAGAGACATCGAGGGATGTCTAATAATCGCAGAGCAACTGAGAGGCAGAGGCAGACGCAGACCCTGGGACTCCCGGGCAACCCTAGGCTCTTTTCCCCACTCACCATCCACCTCCATCTAGCAGTAAGAAAAGAGCTGCATGCCTGGGGACCTCTGGGGAAAGGCAGGGCTGTACCTGTGTCCCATGAGTGAGCCACATACCAGGAGCCGTCTGAAAGAGTCCACCCAGGGACGGAAGGCTGTGAGAGCCTGCTGGGCCACCAGGTGCATGCTGGTTATGACACCTCCCCAAACCCCATGCCCCTTTCCTTAGAATCCGCCTTGCTTCATGGATGAGCAAGGGTGCCCTGTCCTCAGCGAGCCACACTCTACAGGGGAATAGTCAGCACCCCCAGGAGGTAGGGGAGCTGCAGAGAAAATAAAGCACAGAGGGGGACAGGAAGACCAAGTCAGGGCACAAGCTAGGGTGGCCAGGAAGCCCTTAAGACCAGAAGAAGGCCAGGGAAGAGCTACCCAGGCCCAGGTATCTCTGCAGAGGCACAGAGGATTGGAGGCGGGCACCCCCATGGAGGGCCCACTTGGCTTTGCCATGGCAGCTGGAGTGGGACAGCCAGGGCAGGATGGCGAAGAGATGTGGCTGGAGAGCAGCGTCCCGGAGGCCACCGTGGGGTTGGAAACCTGCAGGGTGAGCTCAATCACGCTGGCCGGCTGCTGCTTTGGAAAAACCTCCAGAAGCAAAATTCAAAGCTGTGGTCATGGTGAGGAGGCTCCTGCAAAGACCAGATGGGAAATGATGGAAGCCATGGGGTAGAGGCAGAGGCTGGATCCCGACACAGTGCACTGGCTTCAGAGCTCTCAAGTCTGCTGGCACACGGCACCCTCCATTGGGGCTGGTTCTGTCCTATGGGAGGTGAGTCCCTCCTTGGGGACTGACTTTCTCCTATGGGGCTGTGTGGCACACGATTCCCCAGATCCTTGGGATCCCCAGAGTGCTGGCTTCTTCATGCTAATGTTGACTGACAGCTTCAGGATGGAGCCGTTCACCTGAAAGATGGGCATGACCAGGTGCTTGGAGTGGTTTTTTCCTACTTAATTCCAATTCTTAGAACACAGCTCCTAGAACCCAAGTGCAAGCCTCTCCCTTGTTTGGCATTCCCTGAGATGGAGTGACATAACATGAATTCCATCAGGGCCAACTTCATGGCCCAGTGTGAGTCTGGCATCCCAGGGTACAAGGTCACACCCTTATCTTTCGAATGTTGTGACCACCACCCTCTGCCCAGCCCAATTCACCCTCCCACCCATGCTGCGCCCAGCCCCATCCTGAAATCTGTTTTCAATCCAGGGGCTAGGCAGCTGTCCCCCTACTTGTCACCCACCACAGACCAAGCCCTGGCAGTGGGGCAGTGCTGTTGGGTTCTTCCTGAGTAGTCACCAGGAACCTGACGGAGTGACGCACCCAGGCACCAGGTGGGCAGCACCCCAGCTCCACGGGGCCTTCTTAGGTAACATTGCATAGCCGACCTCTTAGCCAGCATGGGCAAAAGTAGCCATGGAAACAAGACACAGGTCTTTCAGGAGTCCTTTTGGAGGCTCTGCCCATACCCGGCGTTTCCCCTCTAGGCCTCACCTATGCCGCAGCCTTGCGGGGAGCAAGGAGCCTGGAGCTGCACCCCCTCCCCAGCTCTGCCCACCCTGGGCAGGGTTTGGCCACGATTCTCAGCTGCTCGGCTCCAGGGTTGCCTTTGTGTGAAAGGCGATACAACCACATGGCCTCCAGGACTGACCCCAGGGAGCCCTCTGCACATGCCAGCCCCTGTTCCTTCAGGGGGGTCTGCAAGCTTGGAGCAAATCTGGCTTGCACACACTGTCGGGAAGGATCCAAGCGGTTGCTGAATAAGGGCTGAGCTCGAGCAGATTATTAAGCAGCAAGACAAATTCTCCTGTGTATCTGGCTCTGGTTTTTATTTTTAGCAAGAAACACACACACACACACACACACACACACACACACACACACGTGTGTTTTGGGGGAAGGGCTCCATTTCTCCAAAGCCACCCTTAGGATGATGTGTGTCCACATCTCCACCTGGGTCTGCGGGCATAAGTGCATGTCAGTCACCTGTGAGCTCACAAACCCCACGGCTGCTCCAGCTTCATTCACACCAGACATCCCAAAGCCGGGGCTCTGGGAGCAGGACGTGAGCATCCAGCCACATAGGTCTCTGCAGAGGGTCCCCATGCTGCACCAGGGACCCATCCTGTGCTCAGACAAAGATTCCACATGCCTCCTGGACTGCACAGTGCCCAGCCCCAGGCCTCTTTTCTTCTTCAAGGAAATCACTGTAAAAGCATTGTGCAGTGTAGATATTCGGGAGCCAATGAGACTTTGGAAAGATGTTAGGTCCAGGAGGTGGAAAGAGTGACAAATTAGAGAGTGACTTTAGAGTCCCAGGGATGGCCCTACCTGCCCTTCCCCCTGAAGGAGTGGCGTGTGAGCAGCCTGCACTCAGCTGAAGCTCAGCAGTGAGACCCAAGCCCTGGGGGCCAGTGTGGGTGCAGATACCCGGAAGAAGCCAGCACCTCTCAGATACACCACGCGCTGCAACACCTAGCCAAGGGTAAAGTCAGCATCTTGGCTTTTTAGCCAGGTAAAGTGGCATAAAATCAGCAAACTTCTCCAAGAAGCTTTCAGGAAATATGAAAACATTCACCTTCTGAAACTGGGATTGCAGTAAGAACTAGGTTCTTTCAAATAAACATAAATATTCCCTGTGAGGGGCAAGGAGAGAGATGTAAGGCGTGGGGATAAGAGGAGATAGATAGATAGATACAGATGGAAAGATAGATTAGATAGATAATAATACATAAATAGATGATATATGATAGATAATAGAGATATATAATAGATAATAGATACATAAATAGATGATAGATAGCTACATAGATTGTACATAGACAGATGATAGGAGATAGATATAGATAGATGATAGATAGGATGGGTGGATGGATGGATGAATGGATGGATGGGTAAATGGGTAGGTGGATGAGTGGGTGGGTAGGTAGACGGACGGGTGGGTGGATGAGTGGGTGGGTGGGTGGATGGATGGATGGATTGATGGATGGGTAGATAGATGGGTGGATGGGTAGGTAGATGGATGGATGGATGGATGGATGGATGGATGGATGAATAAATGGGTGAATGGATAGATGGGTGGGTGGATGGATGGATGGTTGGATGAGTGGGTAGATGGATGGGTGGATGGATGGATGGGTGGGTGGGTAGATGGATGGTTGGATGAGTGGATGGATGGATGGATGGATGGAGGAATGGATGAATAAATGGGTGAATGGGTAGATGGGTGGATGGATGGATGGATGGATGGATGGATAGGTAGATGGATGGGTGGATGGGTGGATGGGTGGATGGATGAATGGGTGGGTAGGTAGATAGATGGGTGGAAGGGTGGGTGGATGGGAGGGTGGGTGGGTAGGTGGATGGGTGGATGAGTGGGTGGGTGGATGGATGGATAGATGGATGGATGGGCGGGTGGATGATGGAGATAAAAGAGGAGCCCTGCACAGGTCACTCGTGTCACTGTGCTCTGAACTGAAGCTTACAACTAATTCAAGCTTTATACCTGAGTTCCAAAATCAACAATATCAAAATTATGAATTCCTGCCAGAAATGAAAAACTTGCTATAATGTGGGTTTCCACAAAGCTGCCTATGCAGAAGGTTGGGGAAAAGCCGGGGAGTCTGAAACGCTGGAATCCTGGTCTGGCTTTGCCTTCAGGAGCCGTGTGCCCCCATCGCTGTTCTCAGCCATAGGAACCTGGCTCTCCTTCCTGCAGAGTAGCATCACCAGCCCTACCAGTGGCCAATGCCACCCTCCCCTCACTGCAATAAGGGTCACAAGCACCGGCAGGCCATAGGAATTCCAGCCTAATGCCTGAATTCCCTTCCAGCGCCCTGGAATTCCTCCATCTCTGGGTCCCCTGTGTTTCAGGGCTCCTCCATCTCAGGGTTTCCTCGTCTGACTCGGGGCCACAGTGCCCCCGCTGCAGCCCTCCCCACTCTCCACTCTTGGGGCCACAGTGCCCACGCTGCAGCCCTCCCCACTCTCCACTCTCGGGGCCACAGTGCCCGTGCTGTGGGGGATGCTTCTTCTTGGGGTTCCTCTGTCTCAGGGGCTTCTCATCAGTCTCGGGGCCGCAATGCCCACACTGCAGCCCTCCCCGCTCTCCACTGTCGCTGCCCTTCAGCAGCAGGTCTTCCTCTTGTGGTGCACCAGGTGGTTTCTGTCCTTTGATAATTTGGTGTCCTATCCAAGGAGGACAATTCGACCCTGGTGTCAGAAAAGAACGCGTGGCTAACTGGTAGGCAATTTTGTCTCAGAAATATAGCTGTCTTTTTTATCAGAAACACAGCGAGTGTCTGGAAATTCTCATCTGATTTGGCTCTGATGGGAAAGAAAAACTAGGAGAGGATTCTCCTCACTTGGGTCCCGGAGAGGGGCCAGGATGGACTTGCAGGAGTGCAGACCCTGCTGGAGAACTGGAGAGACCCGGAGGGCTAACCCCACAGAACAGGTGATTGAGAGAGAAGCCCTAGGTGGAACCTCTCCGTGGGGTCCTGGAGGACCACCTCAGCTGCTTTGTGTTTCAAACAAACTTCTCTGTTTCACAATTCCAAGAAGTACCTACGCAAACCTGGGTCTGCTGCAGGGTGTAGTTCCCTGAGGAGCTTTGTGGTGTTGATATTCCGCGCTATCTCTCGCCCCTGTCTGATAATGACGGGTGGATCCCAAAGGTCATTCGGAGGCATCCCAGCTTCCACAGCAAGGCGTCGCAGGGTCTCCCTTCTGACTTCCTAACCCAGTGGAGAGGGGTGAGGGGCTCCACACTCATTCTCTCCTCTCCTTACTGAGCGACCCCAGCACTTTGCAGGCAGCGTTGTGCACAGATGCTTTTAACCTGAGTCTCCCCTTCCCCTGCAGCTGGTGTGGCCTCTGTGATGCAGCTACATCCAGGGGCGGAACGGAGGACTAACAGGGACTTCTGGAAACTTCTGACTTTCCCAGTTTGGGTGCTGTGTTTCTTTCTTCTCTTTCTCCTCCTCCTCCTTCTTTTCTTTCCTTTTCCTGTTTCTCATTCTTCTTCTTCCTCTTCTGGAGAAAGTGGACGTGAGGCAGGAGGTGGAGCAACCATTTTGTGGCCATGAGGCATTTGTGAGGACAAGAGGAATAGAAAAATAGGACTCAGAGTGCGAGGCCACCACACAGGTGCTGCTCTAGCCCCGGCTGCCACTGCCTGGTGAGTGTGCCTGGTGGCCCAGCCACTGCAGTGAGGTACCTGCTACCTTCACCCACATACAGTCCCTCAAACAGAAAGGGAACTGTTTCCATCTTGGCAGAACAAACCCCCATATGAAAATAACTTGGCCCTGGGTTTCGGAAAACTCAGTAAGCATTATACTTAGTACTTATCACTGCTCAGAACAGAGTGAATTTTGAGAAGCACTTCCACTTTGCTGGGAGACAAATCTCACTCAAGACCTTTAGGGGACAAGACACCAGCAGCACGGGCACTGGCATGAAGATGACTAAGGGGCTAAAACTAAGAGATGAGGTGTTAGGAGAAAGCCACTAGGAATTATCCAGAAAGCCAGCCTCTTTGGAGAAGGTACGATCTGTGATGAAACTTGTTTTAACTGGAAAAGGCCAGCAAAACTAGGATGTAACAAGTCCTATTAAGAGAGGGCACGCCTGTTTGCTTACTCTATGGGTGCAGCCAACTCAATTTATCCAAAATTCCAGCAAACAGAAAGCACTAATAAAGATTATTTTCATCTACAGCTGTAGACCTATGCAATGCTAATTGATGTTTATTAAGACATCTTTGGGGAAACAGAAAAACCCCAAAGGACCTTATTATCCAAAGAGTCAATTACTTCCAAATTGTTTGGATGTTAAGAGTAAGTTAGTGCATTGTCAATTCACATTCAGGCTGGTATTTGTAGAATAAATGAAGATGCTGCATCTTCTGCTCAGTCTGTTAATTATGTTCCCCACAAACTTATCCCTACAGAGAATCTGTGACTAGATAGTAATTTGCTTAGATTCAGTCTGCATATTAAATGATCATCTGCTTTTCCCCCTTTGTTTTTGCTTTATTTCTCTTTTGTTTTCCTTATTTATATTCAGTTACTTCTTTCAGCATCCTAAAAAGCAAACGGCTACTGTAATTAATTTCTAATAGATCATATGGATGCAGAGATCATGTAGGAAGTCAATGTTTTTAGCCCAGTTCTGCAGAATGTCCTCACAAGCTCAACTCCATCATTATTCAGCAGGCATTCATGTCAAAGGCAAATTCATTTCTGGCAAAATGGGAAAAAGATTATTTTGAATTCATGAAAAATGAAAGGACTTTGCTCAAAATTGGTAACCTGTCATAGATTTGTTACTGTGAGTTTTTCAAAAACAAGATATAACCTAAGCCCTATGGGCATTTGACTAGCACGACCTAAGTCAGCCATCCTTTTTCCCAAACTCCCAGTGCACAGGGGGCTTGGGATGTCAGAGAATCACAGCATCTTAGTATACTGGACTGAGAACAGGTATGAGCCACTGCTACTGTCATCCTGAAACCCAAAAGGATAATGAATATTTCAACAAATGACCAAAACATGAACACCAATGCCTTTGACAAAAGGCAAATGAATTATTTACACAAATGGGAAGCTGAAACTGGCTAGTGGTATTTTCCGATACCAAACATACGGGGGAAAAGAATCCTTGGATACCAATTTGCCTGAGAACAACACAATTCCATAGAATGCCACAAGAGACACTTCAGTGACCACCCCAACTCTCTCGCAGGGCAGCCTGCTCCAGGGGACTCTGACTTCCTACCATGTTGGGAGTTTCTTCTTCCACTGCCCAAGTCGTGTCAGAGCCCATGGGGAAGGCAATCCCACTCTGACACAGCAGCAGCAGCCTGATGTGGGACGTGTGCTTTTTATTCTCCTCTTGCCTCTTCCTCACCTCCACGGTCTGACTCCAACTCCATCTAGTTTCTTCAGTAGTTCTGCATGTCTTGCAATAATTAAATAAAGATCAATATTTTTATGCACCTGTTTCAGTTGAAAGTTATTCTTGTAATGTGCTTAGAGCTGAATAGCGGCTTAGGTGTCACTCATTTCAAACTCTTCCTTTACACAGATGAGAAAACTGAGACCCAAAGAGGAGAAATGACTTATTCAAAGTCATGCAACTAGAGGGTATGAAGCCAAGACTAGAATCCACATCTCCAAAAGCCCATAGCAGTATTTTTTCTTTATACCACTTTATCTCAATTGTACTTTAGGATGCAAGGGAGGTATGATTTGGCTCACTGTTTCAATGACCTTAAAGAAACTTCTGAACCAAAGGTTAATACCAGCCGGACTCTGTTACAACACAGGCTTTTAAATCTACTATATTTTAAAATCTGCAAGATTTAAAATTCACTATAAAAGAAATAATGTTCCCTTCCTCAAAACAATTTAAAGTGGAGGCCAGGCGCGGTGGCTCATGCCTGTAATCCCAACGCTTGGGGAGGCCGAGGGGGGTGGATCACCTGAGGTCAGGAGTTCGAGACCAGCCTGGCCAACATGGTGAAACCCCGTCTCTCCTAAAAATACAAAAATTAGCCGGGTGTGGTGGCAGGTGCCTGTAATCCCAGCTACTTGGGAGACTGAGGCAGGAGAATTGCTTAAACCCAGGAGATGGAGGTTGCAGTGAGCTGAGATCTCACCATTGCATTCTAGCCTGGGCGACAGAGTGAGACTCTGTCAAAAAAGAAAAAAAAAAAAGAAAAAGTAGAATTTCCATATAATCCAGCAAGCACTCTTCTGGGTATACTTACAAAAGAATTAAAAGTGGGATGTCAAATTGATATTTGCACATCTGTGTTCATAGCAGCACTAGTCACAACAGCCAAGGGGTTGAAGCCACTCAAGTGTCCATCGTCGGATGGACAGATAAGAAGCCTTGGTCTCTAAGCACCACGCAATATCTTTTGGTCTTAAAAAGGAAGGAAATTCTGGCACCTGCTACAATGCAGATGAACCTTGAGGACATTACGCTGAGTGAAGTGAGCCAGACACAGAAGGACAACTACTGAATGATTCCATTTATATGAGGTCCCTAGAATAGTCAAATTCATAGAGACAGAAAGCAGAATGATAAGAGCCAATGGCCAGGGAGTAAGAGAGTCGAGACGTGTTTAATGGGTGCAGAGTTCTAGTTTTGCAAGATGAAAAAATTCAAGTGATCCATTGCACAACAATGTGACTATATTTTACATACTAAACTGTACACGTGGTAAATTTTGGTTATGTGTTTTTTTCACAATTACATTTTAAAAATTTTTAATAAATACTGTTTCTTAAATATAACCTTCAGATATAATCCAAGCTCAAGATAATACGACCCCTGATGCAGACGTGCCTGCTCAGATAAGCATTACAATGTGAGATGCAATTTTTCATCGGAGTCGGCTGTAGAGACATCCAACAAGAAAACACAAGGAATGTCTCTTTTTCTCTTCAAATATCACCAAAAGAAATATTTTTGTTTCACTTTCCCAGGTTTCAAATCTGCTAGGAAGAAAGCAACTCTAAGACCTTTCTCTCTGCTACATAATATAACTGAGACTACTAATTAAAGTTTCACCGAGAAGGCTTTTGGACAGATGGTTTCACTATTTTAATTAAGTATATATATTAGACTGTTGGAATTAATATATTTGACACGACAGATGTTTTCTGTGCTCATTTAGAATTTTTAGTCATTTACTATCTATGTCGGAATTAGGGCCCCTTGTGAATTTTATTCTGTTCAATTTTGCAGTTTATTCGTATTTTGTCATGTTACTGTTATTACTGAGTAATCTCAAGTATAATATATACAAAGGAAACTTTAAGGAAATAGAAAGTGCTTTTTTGTAGGCATTAGAACTGATTTTAGTTAGGATGAGCCATTTAGTGACCACAAATTCAACTGTGGCATCTTGTGACTCCAGTCACAGTCCAGGAGGGGTTTCTCTGTGCGTTCTTACTGTGCGTCCATCTGCGCCCCTTTCCAGCCACAAAGCGGCTACCAGATTTAAAAGCCTTCTGTGCTCACACCATCCTGAACCTCCGCCTGTCCCTGCCTCTCATTGCCCTGTTCCCTCCACCATCCTACTACCAAACCTTTCTTCCTAAAGTCCTGCTGTCTGCATGGAGCCTACAAAGTCTCCACGTCCCCTGACCGCAAGCCTGAGCTCCTCTTTGTGGTTCCCAAGAGCATGGGTGTTCAGCCCTCCCCAAGCTGCTCAACCTCCCACACCGTCAGTGTTCTGGCCGCCATCTCATCTCGCTCCTCCTCATTTCCATGTGGGAGGGACTCAGCCCCAGTCGCAGCTTGCACCCCCTCTTGAATCCTCTCCCACCTCCTCACCCCTCCTCAGGCTTCCTGAGCAACAACACTCAGGGCACACTCCTGAGTGTCTGCCCAAGAGAAGGGCCAGCTCATGTCCGCACAAAGACTCGTAACAAGGGTCTGTGCCATCAATATTCATACTGGAAACAATTCACACATATTCAAACTGAAACAATATTCAAACTGGAAACAATTCAAGCCTCCAGCTGATGAATGGATATGTAAAATGTGGTTCCTCCATACAGTGGGTTTCTCTTCAGCAATAAAAAAGAATAAACTGCTAATGCCTGCTAGGACATGGATGAACCTCAAACATGATGCTGAGTGAAGAAGCCAGTCTCAAAAGATCCCGGACTGCCTGATTCCCATCTACGTGAATGTCCAGAAAAGGCAAATGTGTAGGAATGGAAAACCGGTTCGCGGTTGCCTGGGCTGGGGCGAGAATGGAGATTGAGTACAGATGGGCATTAGGGCCTTTCTGAGGGACGGAAATGTTGGAAACTGAATTGTAGTAGCAGTTGCATAATTATGTATTTTTTTTTACAAACCATTGACTTATACACTTAAAATAGGTGAACCCACAGCATGTACAATTATTATCACTATTACTAACGCAAAAAAATTTTAAACTTTAAAATATGTTTTAAAACCTGGTAACGTCCTTCCCCTCTCTACCACATCCCTTCTGTGAACTTCAGGAACACTTAGGTATGGTGCCGCATGGTGGTGGGCCGTGGGGTCCTTCCTAGTTTGTGCTGGTCTTGTGGTTTAGGGAGTTTACTTTCTTACTTGAGAAAACAGCGTGAGAACCTTGAGTGGTTAACTTCCCTTTGCTTTCTTCCCAGTGTGGACCCTGGTCGGGGGCTCCAAGCCATCCAGAGTCTGGCCCCACCCTTCCTTCTCCAAGATCAGCAGGAGCTCAGCCAGGGTCAGGTGAGACGCCCAGCCACTGCCCAGGCTGCCTCCTCTGTTTCTTTTGTTCTTCCCTGCCTGGGAGCAGGTATCCCACCTTCCTTTCTTCCTATAGGAAACCAAGCCATTCCCCAGCCCATATTAAATCCCATATTCTCCCTTTTTTGACATCACCTAGCACTCACCTTCCCCTGACTTCTAGCAGCACTCACCCCACCCGGGGAGCAGGTCCCCCCTGTCCAAGCGTGAGGAGCCCTGGACCCATTTACGTCTGCCTTTCTTGATGTTCCTGGGGCACCTGGGAGGAGCCTGGAAGAGAATCTCTGTAAATAAAGTCGATGGCTCATGCTCATCAACAGCCTGCAGACCCAGCCCTGGGGCGGCCACATGCTTAGGCTCAGACTGTAGGGGTCGTCCACCCCACCCTCACCTCCTGTCTGAATTCCCCTGGATCTTGCCCTCCAGGTGGGATCCCATGGTCTGCTCTTGACACCCCCGTGGGCAGGGAAATTCTACTTTTTGGAGCAGTCCATTCCAATTTGTGAAAGCTCTTGCTGATGGAAACTTCTTCCCTGTCTGGAGCCCACCATGACCCACCCCCACGACCCGTCCCCTCCACCTGTTGTCACAGGGATGCCCTTAAGGCCACACAAAATGACTGCAGCCCTTCTTCCCACTGACAGTCCTTCCTACCTCCTCAGTTTTCATCCGTTCCATGCAAAATTCTAGAACTCCTCAGCACTGGGCCACTCTCCACTGGGCAAGCACCACCATCTCCATCTGTTGCACTGGGATGCAAACAGCGAGCCCAGGGACCCACCATGGCCTGGCCAGCCTGAGCAAGCAGCACCACTGTGGCCGTGCCGGTGCCCGTGCTGCCCTCACTGTGGCCGTGCCGGTGCCCGTGCTGCCCTCACTGTGGCCGAGTGAAGAGTGAAGGGGCACCGTGCTGAGCCGTCGGCCTCCGTCCCTGAAGACACTCACTTCTTTTTCACCTGGCTGCTTAGCTATACTCTCCTGCCTTGTGCTAGCCGACTTGGAATTTGGGGAACTAAATTCAGAATGGTCCCTGCATCCCTCTCCAGCACTGGCAGGACCACCATGGCAGGCAGATCTCGAGTTGTCACCTTTTCCCTGGGGGGTGGCATCCTGCCCCTGTCCTGCAGCAGGCCCAGGCATCCTCCCAGCTCCACCTTCCACAGTGTTTAGATGTGCACTTTCCATGATTTATCCAAGTCATGGCTGTCATCAGTTATAAGTCAGTTTAGGAACAAATAACAGAAACTTGGTCTGACTTAACAAACATAAAATCCCATATTCTTGTTTTTCTGTGTCATAAAAACGAGCCTGGAGATAGGTGAGGCCTGCCAGTGAGGTGGTCAGGGCCCTGCCCTCCCCACGGTCCACAGTCCCATCCTCAGCACAGCTGCCTCTGGGCACAGACCGCTGTGGGCACGTCCCTCTGCCAAGGACAGAGAAGATGTTCAGGAGCAGGGAAGGGCTTTCCCAGGAGCCTCTGCCTTCCCGTTAGAGGAAGGGGCACCCGCCCGTGTTGTTCCGCCTGAATGCCACTGCCTGGAGCTGAAAGGAAGCTTAGAAAATTGAGTGTTTGGTAGGGCACTCAATTGTTCCCTGAGAAAAATCAGATTCTACACTTAAGGAAGAGTGTGGCAAGGACATTGTGTGCTCCACCAGCAGCCTCAGTCACAAGAAAAACTGTCAGAGAGAGGAGAGCCCTGGGGCTCCCAGTGGGGGCTTGCTCCAGACCTGTGTGGGAGTCAGCTTGGCTATCTGAACAAAATCCCACGATGTGGCTACGGATGGGGCGGCTTACACACAGAAGTTCATTTCTCACAGCTCCAGAGGCTGCAAGACCAACAGCAAGCTGTGGGCAGGGCTGGCCCCCTCCAGTGCCTTCCTCCCTGTCTCTTCCCTGGGTCCTCGCAGGGTCAGCCTTCTGGGTGTGTCTGTGTCCTTATCTCCTCTTCTTATAAGGACGTGGGTCAGATGGGATCAGGGCCCACCCTAATACTCCATTTTACTTTAATTAACTCTTGAAATGCCCTATCTCCAAATACAGTTACATTCTCAGGTCCTAGGGGTCAGGACTTCAACATGTGAATTGGGGGGTGAACTTAACTCAGCCGCAGCGACTGACAATGACCTATCATCCCTCCGTGAGGCTGCCAGCCTTACCCTGATGCGTCCACATGGGCGTTCTTGCCCAGACGTGTCCACACGGGCATTCTGCAGACTGCATTTACACACTCCCCCATAAATATACGTATTGGTCTGAACTTGTTTTTTAAGAGAACTTAGGAAAATCCAGACACAGTATGTCCACAACCTTACCTGATCCAATAATTCTAAATAATCCTTTCTAGAATCATACAGTACATGGAGCCATTAATTAGATGGTTATTTTTATACTTGTTATCCCAATCTGTCATAACTAAAACCAAGTTTAACCTACACACCGTGAAGTAGGAAACTATTAAGTACCCAGAAAACTGACTCAATTCTCTACTAAATATAGGTACAGAGGTTCCTACGGCTACACCCTTCTTGGATACAAATGGCCCCAGCTTTTAGGATAAAAAGCATTCCTGTAAATCATGTAAGACAGATGGCTGTGAGCCTGCGCTTCTGAATTCAGGTTCCAGAGAATGATGGGCATCATTAGTGGGCAAAAACTGAAGGAATTTTTTTAATAGCCGCCAAAGGCTTAGAAGAAGCCGGGGCTGGAGGCTTCAGTGGGAAGAGTTCTCCCTCTCTGCCTGCATTTCCCACAGAGCACCTCTCCCGTTTACTGCTTGGGGCTCTCCAGGGCTTCCTGGATACCTGGTGGGCATAGAAGGCCTTGAGGCCTGGACCAAGCCTCTCTCCTTCCACTCAGCGTGGAGGCTAAGACGTCCATCCTCACCAGGGTCTTGCCCTCGGAGAGATGCCACTCTAAACTTCCTGGAGGGAACGTGCTGAACACCCAGGCCTGGACAACCGAGGAGAAGGAAGAGGAAGAACAGATTAAAAACTTCCCTGCGTCAGGCTGAGAAAAGAAAAGGAAAAAAAAAAAAAAAGGAAGTGAAGCCTCAGCTCAACCAGCTTGCATACTTGAATAACGTGCAGAAATGAAAATCTTGAGTTTCAGGTAAAGTTCATATCTGTGCCACTGGCTCAGGTGCCCTACAGGCCCCATTCCTGGACTGCACACCTCGTTTACCTGGGACTGAGCAAAACCCAGGGGAGGACCCAGGTGTCAAGGCTGAAGCTGCTGCATGCAGGCAACCTGCATCCTACCCAGCGCTGAACACACAGATCCCACTCCGTCTTCACGGAACTCGTGGTCAGGGCAGAGGGACACGTTAAATATGAGTATTTCTTTCCCTCTGGGGATGACAGTTACAGATCCCAATCCATCTTCACAGAACTCGCGGCCAGGGCAGAGGGACACGTTAAATATGAGTGTTTGCTTTCCTTTGGGTATGACAGTTGCATATCGTTGATAAGGGATTTAGAACACAAAGGATTTGAAAGCAGGGTGAATTTCGTCCAGGATCTAGCAAACAGTCAGTGATCAAAAATGTTTCTTCAAGCTCTTCCTGAATAAACTCAATACTGTGAATATCCAAAGGGCTGAGTTTTCTGAGATGAGGCTAGACAAGTCCTGTAGGAGACAGAGTGGACAAGTGTGTCACAGCCCCTCGAACCATTGTGCACCCAGTTTCACTGAGATGAGACAAGTGTCCTGCAGAATAGACCAGCACAGCGTGATCAATACTTTGAGTGATCCCAGGTCACCCTGCAGAGGAGTGGGCTATGAGAGGAGTAACAGCATCAGCCCAGCTCTGGATGAGGTGAGGGATCTTAAAAGACACACTTAGCTCACGGAACCAACTACATTCTCCTCTGAAAAGGGAAAGAAAAATGTAAACAGGAAGTCAGAATTTCTTCTTGAGAAGTTAGTCCCTTTAGGGAGCAGAAATGGGCTAAAATAGACAAAGAAACTAAAATTAAGTCATTTAAGAATTTCATGAAAATAAAAGGGTCATCATCATCAATCACGATTTTGATAAAATTTCATAAATATCTTGTGGAAGCTCCTTCCCATGTTACAAGAGCCCTGGAGGGAAGACGGACGTGCAGTTGGCTGATGGGGAAGCTTTGGGAATCCTGACTCTGTCAAGGCTGCCACGCTCAGCAAAAGCAGACTTAGAAGCTAGACCAGGTCCTGGACCCAAAGGTCTTTCTGGAAAAACTGCTAGACGTGCATTAGGCAACGAAAGAGCAAAGGGGCATATTCAGCTTCAACTGCTCTTCAAAAAGAGAGGAACAGAAAGGATTTTACACTGTGGAGAATATTTCATAAGACTGTGTGAAAAGAACAGACAGAAAGGCCCTACCTGTGCTTGGTTTTTAAAGCTACCTTCCTCATTGCTTAGAAATAGGCATACAGGCCAAGCGCAGTGGCTCTTGCCTGTAATCCCAGCACTTTGGGAGGCTGAGGCGAGCAGATCACGAGGTCAAGAGATTGAGACCATCCTGGCCAACATGGTGATACCCCATCTCTACTAAAAATACAAAAATTAGCCAGGCGTGGTGGTGCATGCCTGTAATCCCAGCTACTCGGGAAGCTGAGGCAGGAGAATCGCTTGAACCCCAGGAGGTGGAGGTTGCAGTGAGCTGAGATCTTGCCACTGTACTCCAGCCTAGGCAACAAGAGCAAAACTCCGTCTGAAAAAAAAAAAAAAAAAAAAAAAAAAAAAGGCAGGCAGCCCAGCCCGGTACCTTCAGAGAGGAACACGTTCATCCCCACCACCACCACCAAGTGCTGGTGAAAATGGAGAGCCCTGGGATGAAAAGTCCATGACTCAAGTCCGCCGCGGCGTACTGCCTTCTGGGTGCTCAGAGCTCTCCAAGCCTTATCTCCTCCAACCGTCACAGCACACTTGGAGCAGCGCCACTTTACAGACGGCATCCGAGAGCTTTAGAAAAGTTAACTCACCCCTTGTCAAATGGCTCTTCATTGTGGAGCCCGGCTTTGCACTGGGACAGTCGGACTGCAGAGCTGCTCCTCTAAACCCTAGAGGAGGAACGTTAAGCAGAGAGGACTTGGGTGTGCAGCCACCATTCCAGGGGTGCAGAGAGAATGTGGAATACTCATCTCTAGTCACGAGAAGCTTAACTACCTGGTGGAATTACCAGCCAGGCACGCACGAAACAGTTAAGCCATAATGTAAGGTGGCAGGTAACAAAATGTGAACATGAACGATAAAGTGGGTCCGACCAGACACCTCCAGCCCAGGATCAACTTCTGCTATGATGCCAGTCCTCAGCGAGAGCTCTGTGATGGGCCGCCTTCTGGCTCCCATCCTTCCCCACCTGCATCCGTGCCTTCTGCCATGGAACTCTGCATCCCTCTTTCTAAAATGGTTGAGCCAATTTCCTTTACTCTTGGGTCTGAAATCAGTGATAGGATGTGTTTTGGATCATACAGCAGTTCACAGAAACATGGCCTGTGGATCCCCGAGGGTCCCCAAGCATTCTCTGGGGATCCATGATGTAAAAATTATTTTTGCAATAACACCTAGATGTCGTGTACCTTTTTCACTGTTGGTATTCTGAAATGTGTCAACATTTGGAAGATCTGCATGACTCAGTGAATTAATATGAATTCACTCAGGGAATTAACATGACCCTTACTATTTTAAGGTATGTTTCTTTTATACCCAGTTTATTGAAGGTTTTTTGTATCATAAAGGTATGCTGAATTTTATCAAATGCTTTTTCAGCAGCTACTGAAATTATTTTGTCAAATGCTTTTTCTGCAATGTGAACAGAACATTAACAGAATCAAGAACATTAATAGAACTGAGAACAAAAATCATGTGATCATTTCAATACTTATTGGTTTGCATATGTAGAATCAACCTTGCACCCTGGGGTGAAACCCACTTGATCATGGTGAATGATCTTTTTGATGTGCTGTTTAATTCAGTTGGCTAGTATTTTGTTGAGGATTTGTGCATCTATGTTCATCAGTGATCTTGGCCTGTAGTTTTCTTTTTTGTTGTTGTATCCTTATCTGGTTTGGGTATCATGGTAATGCTAGCCTTGTAGAATGAGTTCGAAAGATGAAAAGGTTCTGCGCAAGGCCAGGCATGGTGGCTCATGCCTGTAATCCCAGAGCTTTAGGAGGCCAAGGTAGGAGGATCACTTGAGGCCATGAGTTCAAGACCAGCCAGGGCAACACCATAAGACTGTCTCCCCCATCAAAAAAAAAAAAAAAAAAAAAAAGTTTCTACACAGTAAACAAAACAATCAACAAAGTGAAGATGAAGATACAACCTACAGAATAGCAGAAAATATTTGCAAATTCTTTATCTGACAAGGGATTAATAAGCAAAATATATAAGGAGCTCAAATAGCAAAAAAACAAATAATCTGATTTTAAAATGGCCAAAAGATCTGAACAGACATTTCTTGACAGAATACATACACATGGTAAACAGGTATAGGAAAAAAATGTTCAACATCACTAATCATCAGAGAAATGTAAGTCAAAACCAGAGTGAAGTATCACTTCACCTCAGTCAGAATGTTTTTTCTCCAAAAGACAGCCAATAACAGATGCTGGTGAGAATGTGGAGAAAGGGGAAACCCTTGTTCACCATTGGCAGGAATGTGAATTTTCACAGCCATGGTAGAGAACACTATGGAGGTTCCTCAAAAAACTAAACGTAGAACCACCATATGATCCAGCAATCCCTCTGTTGGGTATATATTTAAATCTGCACTCCCATGCTTATTGCAGCACTATTCACAATAGTCAAAATATGGGATCAACCTAAGTGTCCATCTGTGGATGAATGGATAAAGAAAATGAGGTATAAATACACAATGGAATATTATTCAGCCATAAAAAAGAATGAAATCCTGTCATTTGCAGCAACATGATGTTAAGTGAAATAAGCCAAGCACAGAAAGACAAATATCACATGTTCTCACTCATACACAGGGGCTAAAAAAGAGAACCTCATGAAGATAGAGACTGGGTTGGTGGTTACTGGAGGCTGGGAAGGGTAGGGGAGGTGGGTGGAGAAAAACAAAGGCTGATTAAGGGTATAAACCTACACATAGAAGAAATCAGACATGGTGTTTGATAGATCAGTAGGGTGATTATAGTTAACATTAATCGGTTGTTTTGAAATAGCTAGGAGAGAATAATGCAATTGTTCTTAGCATAAAGAAAAGATAAATATTTAAGGTAATGGATATCCCCATTACCCCAATTTGATTATGTGAGTGTATCAAATTATCACATGTACCCTGAAAATAAGTACATCTAATAGGTGTCAGTAAAAAGTAAATAATTTTTTTAAAAAGAGAATAGATGTCTGAGTCGTTTCCACCACATGGCTATTGTATACTGTTGTTATTAACGTGGGTATAAAAATCACTATTTGAGATCCTACTTTTATTTCCTTTGGGTATGTAACCAGAAGTGGCACTGCTGGATCCTATGATAGTTCTATCTTTAATTTTTTGAGGAATGACCATACTGGTTTACATAGTGGCCACACCATTTTACATTCTCACCAACTTTACATTAAGTTTTCGATTTCTCTACACCCTTGTCGACACTTTGTTTTTCTTATTGTAGCCATCCTAATGGATGTCAGGCGATATTTCATTGTGGTTTTGATTTTCATTTATCTAATGTTAGTGATATTGAGCATCTTTTCATGTGCTTATTTGGCCATTTGTATATCCTCTTTGAAGAAATGTCTATTCAAGGCCTTTGCCCACTTTTAAATTGAGTTACTTATTTTGTTGTTGTAGCTGAGATTTAAATGTTCTTTATATATTCTGGATATTAACCCCTCACCAGATACATAATTTGCAAATATTTTCTCTCATTCTGGCAGGTTGCCTTTTTACTGTGTTGACTGTGTACTTTGATACACAGAAGTTTTTAAGTATGATGTAGTCCCAATTCTCTATTTTTGCTTTTGTCACCTGTGCTTTTAATGCCATATGCAAAAAATCATGCCAAATCAATGCATGAAGTTTTCCCCTATGTTTCCTTCTAGAAATTTTATACTTTTTGGTATTATAGCTAGTTCTTTAATCCAGTTTTAGTAGATTTTTGTATATAGTGTAAAGTTAGGGTCCAACTTCGTTCTTTTGCATATAAATATCTAATTTTTCCAAAATCATTTGTTGAAGAGGCTGTCCTTTCCCCATTAAGTGGTCTTGGCACCCTCACCAAAGATCATTTGACTATATATGTGAAGATTTATTTCCAAGATTTATATTCTATTCTATTTTTCTATATCTTTGTGACAATATCATGCTGTTTTAATTACTGTAGCTTTTTAATTACTGTAGTTTTGAAACCAGAAAGTGTGAGCCCTCCAACATTGTTCTTTTACAAGATTGTTTTGTCTACTCAGGGTTCCTTGAGAGTCCATGTAAATTTTAGAATGGATTTTCCTATGTTTGAAAAAAAATTGGGTTTTGACAGGGATTGCATAGAATCTATAGTATTGACATCTTAACAATATTGTCTTTCAATCCATGAACATGGGATGTGTTTTCATCATCTAATTGTGTCTTCTTTAACAGCTTTCATCAACATTTTCTAGTCTTCAGTGCAGTTTTAACATTTTGTTTACAAGTCCCTCACCTCCTTGGTTAAGTTTATTCCCCAAAAGATTATTTTTTTAAAAAATGACTGCATCTAAGCAGGAGGGGGTTCTTCTTCCATTTTCTCCTTTCCTTAGTCAATGCTAAAGTCTAAATAACTGCTACATGGTATTTAATTGTTCCTTTTTAAGAAACCATACTTGCAGGTCAAAATAGCCTTAATAATTGTGTATTGTCAGCTTACTTCAAAGCAGCTCACGTAGATTCCAGCCCAAGACCAGGACCACCCGGGACCAAGAAAGCACATTCTCCAAAGACAACTTTCACTGCAAAGATTAGCTGTGTATAACTGGCGACCATTGGAAAACTGAAGATGAAGGACTGTATTTTTTTTTTAAGTTTTCCAGCATGGATAATGCAGTTAGACTGAGCCCTGAGATTGCTAATTACAACAATCTCAATAAATACAAATAACTCTAACCCATCATGCCACTGGTCTTTGGAGCAAAATAGGAGCAATTATATTTCAAGTAAGTCAGTTCAAAGGCATGACTAAGTCTTTACAAGGAGCCAAATTGTCCATGGGTGTTGAGTGGCTACGAAACATGACGCCCTTCATCTCTGCCAAGGAGCAGGTTCAGGTGTGCGCAGCTGGGTTTGGCCGCCAGCCTTACCTTGGGAGAACAAGTGCTATAGTCCCAGGTCAGACTCCAGGCTGAGCTCAGAACATCAAAGGAAGTCAGTGGTGGAGAGTGACTCATCCTGAGAGCAGCAACATCATCTTGACATCCAAGTACTGTGCATTTTGGATGAAGCTTCCCCTCAACCCTAACGCCATCATAGCCAGGCGGAGGCCTTGAGGAAAGCTCCCCGGTCCAGCAGGCTCACCTTTCACACAACTGTACCTCATCCTTGAACCTCGCCTGCACAGTCCAGCCAGCCCACTGCTGCTGTGCTCCCAAAGGGACGGGGACAAAACATGACAGAGGCCATGGGGCCTGAGCAGGCAAAGGAGTCCTTTACAATTTCTCTTCAGCATGAACCGGTGACATCCCACAGGACAACAAAGACTTATCATGCGAGTAGCTCAAGAGCAGACACAGAATGCCAACTCAGATGTGTCCTTACATGGGCGCTGGGTGAGAGGAGAAGGCAGGTAAGGCCTCAGCCTTCTGAGCACGAGCGGCCAGCCCTGCCAGGCAGTTGACCCAGGCAGTGACAGCAAGCGACAGAGGTCCCTGTCCCAACCCCTCCCCCAGGGTTTCCCCAGCCCTGGGAAGCCACCACTGGGGAGATGCTAGCACCCTCATGTTGGTGCCCCTCCTCCCGTGGTCATGAAGAAACAACAAGCAGGCTCTGACCTCTTGAGGACACACTGGGGAGCAAAAGCAAGAGTAATCAGCGAGATGGGCCGGAGTCCAGCCCGCAGCACAGGGCTCGCCCAGGTGCTCCCTGCTGAGTCTGAGTCCAGCCAACAGCAGCTTGGAAATCAACTGACAAGTTGCTGATCTGAGAGTTATCCATGGTCCCAGGTAACCTGGAAACTGGTGTAGCTCAGAAGAGACACCCACAGACCTATATTGAGAGAAAAGGGGAGTCAGAAGGTATTTAACATTTTTTAACAATTGTGACATTAATTGTGATGCTCATCAGTGCAGGTCCCAGGAGGTGGCTGCCTGGAGAGTGGATCTGATGAGGATCCCACAGTTCCTCCTGCCCACAGCCCTCCCCGCCAGCCTCAGGGTCCCCTCCCCAACAAGGGTCACTCCTCCTGACCAAAGGAAAGGACAAGATGCTGACCGCAGGGTCCCTGCTGAAACCATGTCTTTCCCGGAAAGGGAAAGAAGGGCTGCCACACCCCTGACTCCACTTACCTATGAGCAGGGACACGCCACTTCCTCGGGTTCAAATCCTAACTCAGCCACTTACTGGCTGTGTTGGGGGATTAAAGAGCTCGTTCATATAAACCCCTTCTATGAGAGTCTGCCAGGCACATGGCCGGCCTTAGGCCTTTGTCTGTGGTTATGATTGTTATCTTCGTTAGTCGTCACTTAGAGAGAGACGTGCAGAGCTGCTGTGACGTGGTGTGGAAGACAGCAGAATCAGCAAACACTGAGTTAGAATAGTCGAGGTCAACGGCACAGCTGGGGGTGTGCATGAAATGGGAAGGGGCCACAGCCAAAGGGGCCTCAAAGAGGAGGAAGGCAGGGAGAGCCAGGGAAAAGTTGCCATCCAGCGGGGAGCCCATGGGAACACACGATGGAGGGCCCTGGATGGCCCAAGTACCTGCCGTGCCTCCTGGACCCCCAGCTCCTCCTCTAATAAGCTGTGCTGCCCTGAGGGGGTCAGACAACTCTTCGGAGCTGGGTTCCCTGGAAGGCCCAGCCATCACCCTTCCACCTAAATGGAGGCCTGCAAATCACCAAGACCTCCTTGGTCTCAAAGCTTGGAGCCAGCAGGACATGCAATTGTCTGTGAGCACAGAGCAAGACCACAGCTGGGCCAAACGGTGGCCGCCTCAAAATATGATGTGAGAGAGACTGGCAGGGCCCGCCTTCCCCAAATCATCCACGACATTTGTAAAAACCCCACCACTACGGCTTCATCCCTGTGGATTCATCCTACCACTGTCAGGTGTCAGGAGTCCCTGCCACACGCAGGTTTATACACTGTTGCCTAAACTCTCCAAATTCATCTGAAGCGAGCTCATCACAGCCGCTGTAAGCCCCTACCCTCCACCCTGTCTCTTACCTGGCAGAATACTCATGGTCCACGTGTCTGCAAGCCTGGACCTCAGCCTCAGTGCTCCTTCTCCTCTGCGGCACCCCGTCCCCCCGGCTCTGACGCTTCACTTCCTCCGTGTTTCTTGAACCTCCCCTTTCTCCCAGCCTACATGAGAATCTGGACACCACCGGCCCGATGGCCTCAGAGCCGGGTCCCCAAGCAGGTTCCGGAGGATGCCCTCTGCTCATCCACCCTCTGCAAAGGCCCCCAAGCAGCCTCTCTGTGAGGCTGCACCCCGCAAAGCTGGCATTTGTCTTGGCCCTAAATGGCCGAATATTGTCTATTTCACGTGGTTCAACCCATAAGCAGTGGAGACGACTGCAGAGGTCCTGTTTGGAATCCTCAGTAGCTCCATTTGCCAAGCTGCTTAGCTGCCTAGCTCCAGCCTGTCCTTCCACACTACCCAGCAGCATGAAACACGCAGCTTCCAGAACTCTCCCTGCATTTCGTCTTGGCTGTGACTTGGCTGTGCAGCCCTTTTGCCTGGCCTTATCCACATGTTCTCCTCTCTCTTCCCATTCATCCTTAAGACCCAGCCTAGCTGTCACCTCCTCCAGAAAGCCTTCCTTGACCAACCGTCGTCCACAGTAAGTAGTACCCGTGCTCCTAAAGCTTCCCTGGGATTAATATTGCACTGATCACATTGGCTTCAGTGATGTTTTTCCTTCCACTTCCTGCTCTAGTGTAGAACTCACAGGGCGGGGACAAGGTTTTCATATACCCAGCACGGGGAACAGCAGCCCTTGGTTAACATGTACTGAATGAATCACAGGAAGTGGTGGCTGGAGCTCATTCACACTAGCATGTAAATGACTAATATACATCCTTTCCTGAAAACAACCCTTGATGGAGGAGAGGAAGGGGAAATCCCAGAGCCCCGGGCAAGTGAAGCCAGGGAAGCAGCCCCACCTGGAGAGGGACAGGTCCAGGGAGTTGGGAGGCCCAGCTTCAACCCTGGTTATGAAGGTGGGCTCGGTTCTGCACGCCTCCTAAATGGCTTGGGTGGAGGGAATCGGGGTTCCTATTTGAACAACTGAGAGGCCCTTAAGGCAGTTGCTAAATGGAAAACTTCTCAAAGGGACTGGGAAACGTGGGCAGCTCTGGAAATCGGAGCATCCAAGCAGGAAGCAGCTGAGCAGGTGAACTCCAACTGCCTCTGCTCCAAGCGGCTGGCTTCCCTGCAAACCGCAGTCCTGCCCCCACGCCCACGCACACTGCGGATTGGCACTTCACACAGACTAATTAACAAATAGCAGGGCGATTAAATCACGCAGCCCGTGGTATTTTCCTAACTCCTCTCAGTGGCGGCAGAGCATGAAAGTGAAATCAGGAGCTCTCCCCAGAGGCCCCGCTGCCGACCGCAGGCCACTCTTCAGAAGGAGCAGCAGCCACCGAAGAGGCACAGCCCTCATGCACTCCAGAGACCATGGGCAGCTGCCTCCATGGCCGTGTCCTGCCCTGTCTCCCCTCCCAGCCCTGGGCTGGCTCTGGCCCCCGAGGAGTAGACAGTAGGTCCCTGTCACTGTGGCTTTCCTTGCTTTCTGTCCCTGGGTCTTGCCCCTTGTGCCGAGCTGCTGGCTGCCCCCCTCAGCTCCCACCCACCTCCTCTCAGGGCACAGCTGCTCCAAAGCTGCCCCTGTCCTTCCTCCCCTTGCTCCTGGCATGCACACTGGGTCCCGCCTGGACACTCACCCTCTTGGTTATCTTCTCTCCTGCTGGTCAAGCACCCCTTTCTGCTGGGGTTCATCTCCTCTGAGCTCTGTCCTCTTTTCTTTACACGGCAAACAGAGGACACAGCTGCCCCTCGTTCAAATGCCAGGAGAAGGCTCCCAGCCAGCATTCCAGACAGAACACTCCAGGTGCTCCATGACACACGGACAGATCCTTGCAGAGAAGTGAGACGTTCTAGAGCCTGGACAATTCCATAAATGGCCGTGAGGACTTTGCTTTAAGGACTTTGCTCTCGGAAGCTGGATTTTCCCTCTATGAGTTAGAATTCCATGACAACATGGCACCCAAAACACAGATGCTGTTTACCTCTGTTCATACAGTCAAGCTCATTAAAATTCATTAAAGCCACCGACTATCATTCTACTGAAAATCACTTATAACAAATCAGACTTACAACAGATTTTGATGTTGCATAGTATTCAATTTGATCAAATCAGTCAAGACGTTGAAAGCTCCCATAAGGGGAAGAAGGAGGGCGATGTAGAAATATAAAGGGGTAAAATGACGGTACAATGGCCAGAGTGCAGAGTGCGCAGAAACCGGAATTCACCTTCCTGAAGGCCAGCTCAGGGCAGGATTCTAACACACACACACACACACACACACACACACACGCTCAGGCATTCATGCACATGTACACACGCATGCACACGTGTGCACATGCATGCACATAAGCACACAGTGGCTTCACATTGCTGCTCGATGACTCCTTTCTGACATGAAAACGCTACTTTGCACTTTTCACCCTCTCCCCAACTATGAATTCCTGCATACTTATCCCCAGAAATTAGAATTCACATGGCAGATAATAGAATTTCTGCCAATTAGTTCACTTATCTAACAAGGTAGGCTCTTTCTCTACTGGAAATGGTCATCTGTAGGTTATCATAACATTTCACATGGGCTTCTTCCGGGGAACGGGAAGGAACAAGGACAGTCAGCAATTGTCTCCAGAGCATCGCCTTGCTGGTTTAAATGCTCCAGGAAGTGTTTGCCGTGGGACCAACGGCAGGTAGGGGCACAGGTGGAGTGTGCTGGGGACAGGAGGGGCTGCCTGGGAAGGTAAAAAGGAATGGGAAGAAAGAGAGGGACTATCCCAGCGAGGAGCAGTGTGATCTTGATACCTTCAATGCCTGTGAGCCAAGCATTCAGGATTTATTTCTACCCCAATTATCCTAAGAGAGGCAATGGCCTCATTCAGTGCCATGGAGAAATGGGCTCTAGCTCCTAGATGACAATGGCGGCCAGCCTCTGCGGATGGACAGGAGAGCTGCCAGAGAGAGCCAGGGCCATCCTAGTGGCGGTTGCGAGCCTCACCCCAACCCGCTCCAAACCCACCCCGGAGGCAGGTGCTGCCAACGCCACGTAAAGCACCTGCTGAGGTCTGGGAAAGGCCACGCCCATAATCACGGCAGGGCGTTTGTTGTGCTTCTGAGAGTCAGCCCATTACTCCTGCTGAGACGCCAGCATCTAAGTGCACCAAGAATGCTGTGACTAAGGGCTATTAACTGGGTGGCCCTAGTTGGACTGGAGAAATTGCCTGACTCTCAAAAAGTTCCCCATCTTGTTCCTTTCCAAAGGGTAAGTGTAATGTAGACGTGTGTCATCATTTGTATTGGAAGACACGCTGGCCGCTTCACTGAGTCAGGCTTTCACTGAAACATAATAGCTACTCACCTCCGAAAACAGAAACTATACTGCACTACACTATTCCATATTATACTCTGTGGTGCTGTGCCGTGCTATACTGTGTAATATTATACTGGACTACACTGTATTATGCTATACTATACTACACTATGTTATACTATACTACACAATACTGCATTATACTGTGTGTACTACACTTTCCTATGCTGCACTACACTATGTTATACAACACGATACTATACGATGCTATGCTATACTACACCACACCACGCCATACTGTATTATCCTCTACCACACTGTGTTATGCTACAATACACTACACTATGCCACACTATGCCATATTATACTATACCATACTACATTCCACTACACTACAATATGCTACACTATGCTATGTTATATTATACCACACTATATTATGCTACACTATAGTACACTTGCTACACTATACTGTATCATACTATACTACCCATGCTATACTATGCTATAAAACAATACACTATGCTATGCTACACTATGCTATATTATACTATACTGTGCTCTATTATGCTACACTATTCTACCCTACATTCACTATACTATACACTATACTGCCCTATATACACTATATTATACAGTGCTGTTTTATACTACACTGTACTATATTGTGCTACACTATGCTATGCTATATTATATTAAACTATACCACACTATGTTATGCTACATTATACTATACAATGCTGTATTTTACCATACTGTACTATGTTACGCTACACTAAACTATGCTATGTTATGCTATATTATACTATACCACACTATATTATAATACACTACACCACACTGTGCTACATTATACTGTACCATAATATATTACACTACACCACACTATGCTATGCTATGCTATGTTATACTGTACTGTAGTATATTATACCACACTACACCACACGATGCTACACTGTGCTACATTATACTGTACCATGCTGTTTCTACACTACACCCCACTATCCTACACTATGCCATATTATACTGTATAAGCCTATATGCTACACAATACACTATGCTACACTATACTATACTTTCTTATAGTGTACTATACTATGCTACACAATGCTAAACTTTACTATACAATGCTATATTACACTATACTGTACTATATTATGCTATACTATGCACGCTATACTATATTACATTATACCACACTATATTATGCTACATGATACTACACTATGCCATGCTATACTATACCACATTATATTATGCTACACTATACTACGCTGTGCTACACTATGCTATATTATACTCTTATACCATACTGTAGTATATGATCCTACACTATACAGTACTGTGCTATGCTACACTATATTATACTGTGCCTGACTATATTATGCTACACTATACTACACTGTGCTATATTATACTATACCACACTACATTATGCTACACGAAACTACATTATGCTACACTATACCATACAATGCTATCTTATACTATACTGTACTATATTATGCTACACTATGCTACACTATGCTACATTATAGTATACCACAGTATATTACATTAAACGATACTACACCATGCTACACTATACTATACAATGCTATCTTACACCATACTGTACTATATTATGCTACACTATGCTACGCTATGCTACATTATAGTATACCACAGTATATTACATTAAACGATACTACACCATGCTACACTATACCATACAATGCTATCTTACACTATACTGTACTGTATTATGCTACACTATGCTACGCTATGCTACACTATACTATACCACAGTATATTACATTAAACCATACTACACCATGCTACACTATACCATACAATGCTATCTTACACTATACTGTACTGTATTATGCTACACTATGCTATGCTATGCTACATTATAGTATACCACAGTATATGACATTAAATGATACTACACCATGCTACACTATACTATACAATGCTATCTTATACTATACTGTGCTGTACTATGCTACGCTATGCTAGATTCCACTATACCACACTATAGTATGCTTCACTGCACTACACTATACCACACTACATGACACTACACTACACTACACTCTATGATGCTGTACTACATTGCACTGCATTACTCTATGCTGCTCTGCTCTATAGTGACCACACTACTCCACACCGCACCATACTGTACTCTTCTTTCATAGCACGTCTCCAGTGCAGAAGAAGGAACAAGGTCTGGAGTCAGGAATGGACACGCGCATGATTTAAGGCAGGCCTCACCTCCCTCTGCACCTGCCTTTTATCTATCAAACAGGGACCGTAACATGTCTCTCATCTGTGGGCCAGAGCTGTTATAGTGACCAGATGTAGTCTGAGAAGCCACTTCGAGAAGTGTGAGGCTCCGTCCGCAGAGCCCTGTGATCCTTCAAACTGTGTACGTCGGAATTCACTGAACATCATCTATCTATTGGGTGACTGTCTCACTGACCCCCTCTCTCTTCTTTCCTCTTTTTCTTCAATACTGTTTGACCAAATTAGGAAAGGTTTGAACCCCATTTTTTAAAATCTGAGGTGGCCACAGCAGCTGCCCCAGCCCCACACCTGTCTGGCCCTGTTGTGGAGCTGGCTGCACTGCCCTCGCATGTTACCGCTGACGTTTCTGTGGAGCCTCCGGCCTGCACAAGCACATAGGGTGTGACAGGCTCCTGAGGCTGCCATCGCGGAGGACCGCAAACCTTACATGCGGCTTAAAACAACAGAAATGTCCTCCCTCACAATCCCAGGGTCCAGAGGCCTGAAATCAAGGTGTTGGCAGGGCCCTGTTCCCTCGGAGGCTCTGGATGGAATGTCCCCTCAACCTTCCCAGCTTCTGTGGCTGCCGTCGGTCCTGGGAGTCACCAGGCTTGCAGCTGCACGGTTCCCATCTCTGCCTATAGTGCTATGCTATACTATATTATATCATATTGGACTACACTATATTATGCTATGCTATACTGCACTGTGCTATACAACACTACACTATACGATACTATGCTGTACTACACTACACCACGCCATACTATATTATACCCTACCACACTGTATTATGCCACACTATGTTGTGTCATTGTGTCATATTCTACTGTACTTGGTATAGCACTTGGTAGAGTGCAGTGTAGTATAACAGCATGCTGTGGCATTGCCGTTACATGGCCTTCTCTCTGTGTGTCCATGCGCTCTTCCCTCCTTAGCAAACACAGTCATTGGATTAAGGGCCCATGTAAAGACCTCATATTAACTTGAGCATATCTGGAAAGACCCTATGCCCAAATAAAGTCACATTCATAGGTACTGGCATCAGGATGTCAGCATAGTTTTAGGGGGACATGATTCAACCCACAACACTGAGAGATTATCCCAGAAGCACCTCTGTCGTCCCCTGTCCCTAGAAACACTGTCACCCTGACAGGATAGGTGCCCCTGGGGAGGGGAGGCAAGCACCCTGTGGCTTTCCTCCAGGTAGGAAGGAAGCAGTGGGTGACAGTAGTTTGTCCACTTTGGGGGAGGCCACCCATCTCGGTGGGTCTTCCTTTCCTCATCTGTACGTGTTCACCCCCCACATGAACCAGCAGAGGTGCTTAAGAAGCAAAGGAACTAATTACAGAAAAAGGAGTCACAAGTCTCAAGACCTAGTTAACATGGGAGGAGTTGGGTGGAGGGACCGGCTTGGTGGCCATTCACCTACAAGCTCATGGAAGCTTCGGTCAGTGATGACAGTGATAAGAGGGACCAGGTGGGAGACAGCCCACCATGGAGAGCAGGGAGGGCACTGCGTCGTGCTGCCACCTGCCCCACAGCATCCCAGGACCACCTCCAGGGTGGGTTTCCAGCAGGTTGGATGCTCTCGATGGAAGGACACCAGATGCTGCCACGTTGGGTTTCACTGTGCACAACAGACCCACAGACCAACTTCCTACCGGGGAAGAGCACGGGGAGAAGGTGGGGAGTTGGGTTTCCTGCATCTGGCTGCAGTGGGGAGCACCTGCACCTTTCCTGCATGGGGTCATGTGCTGTGCTGTTGCATTTCCAACAGGTACAGCCAGTTGCATGAGCAAACCTTGTAGTGGACGAAGCAAAGGAAACGGATCATGGTTTTGCCATCTTGATGACTGCCGTTCTGTGTGTACACATCTGGAAATGTGCTAGTCACACCATTTATTTAACTCCTAGAACTTTAACAAACTCTGCTGTCAAGTTAAAGTAACTGTTCATCTTCTAAGAGATTCACTCAGGGCTGGCCAGGTCAGCTAGAACACTGAGTCCTTGCAGAACAAACTGCTACTGAGATGGAGACCCCTTCCCCAGCCCACAGCCGGTAAAAAACCAAACACAACTGGAAGACTGTGGACGTCACTGCATTTGGGATGGAGGGAGGAGCATCCAGCTAGTGGTCCACAAGGAAACAGCATCTCTCCAAAACCAGGGACACGGCAGCAGGCCCGACACGACCTCCACAACCTCGGCCGCAGCAGGCATCGATCAGGGGCCTCTGCAGCGTGCTTGGCCACTGCGTGGTGGCAGGAAGACTGGACCCTCGATTCACTTTGCTTCTGGACGTCCTGGTGGCTAATGAGATGGTAGCATTTCCTCCACTGGTAAGCACCAGCAGCAGGGCACTGTTGAGAGGACAATGGTCCTTCCACGCCGGCTTCATACTCCCCTGTGGACTCCCTACACCTCCATCCACTGACAGCCTGAGAATGGTCATATGTGTGCACACTAGACAAGCTAAAGCTACCTCGCTGTGGGTAAGACGGTGGACTCTGATGTCGTATCCAAGTTCAAATCTCTACCCACTGTGTCCCTGCTGTGATGGGGAAGTTGGTCTCCCCGTCTTCGCCATGGGAGCACTGTCATGCTGACCCCGCTGTGCTGATGTGGTAAGTGCTGAGATAACACCAAGTCAAGGACATGGCCGAGCATCTGGTGCTTGGAAGAGCCAGAAGGACAGTGGACATTAGGGTCCTCACTATCATCGTCCTGCCCCCACCCCACCATCCGTTTGCCCTTCTGATGGGCGCCTGCTCCTCTCCTGACAGGTGCAGCCACTAAGCAGCCCTGTCAGGAGGTGGAGGGCAGGAGGAAGGAGTGCCAAGAGTGTTCTCCTCCCAGGCCACCCCCGACTCAGGGGCACAGCCAATCCCAGTGCGGGGCATCTCCTCCGGCTGAGCTCCCGTGGGACAGCTTCACAGTCCTGCTCCCACGAGGGACATCCCTGCACCCCACTCTAGCACTTGCTGGTCTCTATGTGACCCCCTGCTAAGAACCTGCTTCGAGTTCTTAGCTCTTCCACACTCATGTGAGAAAATGCTCCGGATTAATCTCTTCCTGCCATGAGCACTCAGGATGGCTTTCTGATTGGACCCGAATCAGTACTGGGCGTAGTCTTCTCTCTAGAAACCAAAGGTCCTGCAGTCTTGAAGGTCTCCATCCCCGGAGAGTGAGGTGAGGCTCAGTGATACAAGGCGCCCTCGCAGGGGTGGCCATGGTGGGTCTGCAGTCTCTGCCAGACTACAGTGTCGGCAATCAGCCCTCAGAGCCCTCGGAGCCCTCAGGGCCCTTGGCCACCAGGAGGCCCTGACTAGGCAGATGGAGTCTTTGTTACAGAGCTGGGCCCAAGGGGAGGGGCAGATGTGTGCCGGGGACTGAGGGCTGCGGAACCACCCTGGAAGCAAATATTTATTTCTGCAACAATCTCCATTCCCCAGAGTGCAGATAAGATTAGTGTAGCACTGCAGATAAAGAAAAATCGAATTTCACCTGTTGCCCTTGGCCCCACCTAGGCTCAGCCCCTACCCATCTCAGCCACAGGGGCAACCCTTGTGCAGGTGGAGCCCAATGGCCTCCCCCACTGCCCCAACAGAGCTGCTCGTGCAGCCATCAGCAACGCAGCTCCCACTGCTGAGAACAGCCGCCTGCTAAAGACCTCGGAAAAGCCAGAGGAAAAATGCAGGCAGACAGGAACCGAGGCAGCCGGGCAGCTGGGCAGACCTGGGCAGAGTGGGCGGTGACGCTGCAGTGGCACAGGAGGGCCTCTTGTGTGTCCCCCCAACCATCCAACGTGCTCTGCTCATTGCCCCTGCAGACAGGACAGGACCTGCTCGGGCCCCACTCATGCACAGCAGGCTCTTCCTTGGAGCCATCCTCCCCGGGCTCTCGGGGGTTCCTCTCAGCCTCCCTGGGAGCTCCTTCCAGCTCATTGGTGGCTTCTCTGTCACGCTGGCGAGCACTGCATCCCCCACCCCTGGCAGGGCTCCCTTTTCTCCTCTCTCCCTGACATCTCCCTACCACCCACTACCATGGCTTCAGTCTCCACCCATTGCCTTCTCCTAAACTTATGTCCCTTTCTTTTCTTTCTTTCTTCTTCTGTTTTTTTTTAGACAGTTTTGCTCTTGTCACCCAGGCTGGAGTGCAGTGGCGTGATCTCGGCCCCCGCAGCCTCCAGCTCCCAAGTTCAAGCGATTCTCCTGCCTCAGCCTCCAGTGTAGCTGGGATTACAGGTGTCCACCACCACCCCCGGCTAATCTTTGTATTTTTGGTAGAGAAGGGGTTTCACCATGTTGGCCAGGCTGGTTTCAAACTCCTGACCCTCGGGTGATCCACCCATCTCGGCCTCCCAAAGTGCTGGGATTACAGGCGTGAGCCACCGCGCCCAGTCTAAACTTATTTTCAACCCAAATCTTTCCCCCGGGCCCCACTGTGTATTCCCAGGTACCTTCCTATTGAATATCTCCAACCAATTACCCCTTAGACTCATCCAACTTCATCTACCCGAGATGGAGCCCACCCATTCTATGCACCCACATCTGACATGGCTCTCCCTCCCCTGCCTTCTGCACCAGGAGATGCCTGCTCATCCCAAGCCGCTCATGCCGGGACAGGATGTCCTCTCACCACTTTCTCTCACGTGCCCTCACATCCAAGCCCTGTCCCACTCGCGCCAGGCCACATCTGCAGCAAATCCACTTCTCTGCAACATGGTGCTCCAGCCCCAGCCACATCCTTGCTTCCTACCAGGCCACACCAGCTGCCTCCCCGCTGTCTCCCCACCGCTGGGCTTCCCCTGCACCCACGTTATATTTAATACAAGAGCCAGGTGTTCTTTCCAACACCAAAACCAGGTGAGTTTACTGGCTGAGCCCTTCCTGGTCTGTCGCGGACGTGGTCCAGGACTCCCTCCCCACTGTGTTTCTCCCCTCCTGGGCTCCTTACTCACTAAGCCCCCACACCTGGCCCAGGGCAGGCACCGTTAGCAGAGCTGAAGGCTCAGCTTGTGGGCTTGGGGGCTGGCTCAGAAAAGGCAACGTGAGCACACCCACATCTTTGCCTATTTCAGAAGAGGAATTCAGGGCTTTGCAGCCTAAAGCCATCAGACCCAAGAGGACATCCACAGGGATTCTTATCCTTGAAGACGCAGAAGCCCCACCTCATCGCTTGAGGCAGTGAAGGGGAAACCCACCTGCCAGGCACCTGCAGGCTTCCGCTGGCCCCCTTCACTCCCCTCTCCATCCAGTAGTCTTGAGTTCTAAGGATCCTCACAGGTCATAGCTCCAAGCACTCAAGAGAATGGAGGTGTGGGGATCCCAGGCAAAGAAACCACCTGGTGTCACTGAGAGAAGCAGAGGAGGTGGGCAGGGGCCCGGAGTCCCAGACGAACAGACAACCGCGAGGATGTGGGGTCTGAGTGCTCTCCTCATGATCAAACACACTAAACTGTCACCAGAAGACTCCATTCTTAGGCCTGGCTGTGTCACCAACCAGCCAGGTCACTAGGCAGGTCTCCCTGCCCCTCTGGACACAGCTGCCTCTCCTGGCAGAGCTGTGGGTCGAGTTGGAAGCTCACACGGCCCCTTTTGGCTCTGACACTCCACTGTCTGTGAGTCACTCTGGGTTCCGGTGGTTTGTCACTGGGGCTCACAGGGAAACCAAAGAAAGAACAATCGCAGCCCAGGGTAGCGAGTTCATGGGCGCCGGGTCCAGGGCTTGCGTAAGGAGGCCCAGTGACCTTCAGCACCGCGGTGACTCAAGGCGGTACTTTTCCACTGCTGGCAGGCACAAGCCCTCTAACGTGTGGCACCGGCACCTGCATTAAAACAATGTTTTGATGATGTTGCAGGGCTTAGATCCACCCTCAAACATGAAAACAAATAAGAGTCCGGGCCTGATGTTGTCGGAGCAATTCCCTGGATTCCTTGTCGAGTCGAGTCCTGCACGGAGGGACGGTCAGGGCTCGCTGGTTACCCGGCCTTGAGTCACCAGCAGCCTTCTCCCAGAGCCTCTGATTCATGGGCATGTTATTTGGGGAAAGAGTCACAAAGCCATCACCGGCTCCTTCCTCTTGTTCCTCCCAGCTCCACACTTGGCCATCACGGAGTGTTTTTGTTTCGCTGCAGTAATCCAGATAAGCCCTAATTGTTTTCGGATATCCCAAATGAGAGGCATTAAACCATCAGAATTTTCTGCATTCAATGTGTAGGACTAAGTGGCAATTCCTTACAGAATGGGCTTAGGTTCCAGATTCATCTGAAAACAAAACACTTCTAGCTCTGACCCCTGCGGAACAATAAAATCATGTTTTCAGTGTTCCCCTAGGGCCTGGCCAGATCCTCAGGTATCCTCAAAGAATCTGTCCTCCACATCATTTCTGCTCCTGAAGTCGGGGCAGACGGGTTCACCAGCCAACATCCTCTACCGAATCCTGGTTGACCAGCACACTTTTCCTCCCACTGTTTGTAGGTAGAACTTTCCTAGGCCACGCTCACTCTGCTGGCCGTGGACTATGCTCTTTGATGGCAAGGGCAGTCACGTGAGCGTGATGCACGGGGCCTCTGCCATCAGACCCCCCTGTTCCAACCCTGGTGCCCCTGTTCTGCCTGAGGTCAGCAAAATGGGGCACTCACGAATCCTACTTTAGAGGGTTTTCTTCTGAGTACTTAGTGAGTATTCATGTAGAGAAATTAGCCCAGCTCCTTCCCCACAAGGACCTTAACAATCCTGTCCATGATTGTCATCCAGGACAAACTGCTGCTTACTTATAACCAGAAGAGTTAGAACTCGTTCTGAACCTCCTGAGGCCAAACTGCCACAAAATTCCAAACAAATAAAATGTGAATGAATATTTGAAGACAGGGTCTTGGAAGCCCGACTCTTTAAGAGCTTGCTTTTAAGTGAAATATGTACACACACACACACACAAAGTGGAGAGAGGGGGTAAAGCAAAGATGTCCTTGAAACTTAAATCATGCGGCTTTTCCGTCCAAGAAAAACACAGGTCTTCCCTTGACATTTGGAGGCAGTTCCTTGTCTCTATTCCCCCACCCTCTTCTCTGGCATTTCTTTGAGAATAGACTGAAGAAAGGGGCTGTAATGCAGCTATAAATCCAGGTTGTATGCATTAGTAGTATTTGGAGCAGGGGGGATCTCGAGAGAAAGAATCCTGCAGAACTGTGGGCCCAGATGAATAAAAATGTCTTTCTAACTGTTTGGCTACCAAACCAAATAGAAATTAAATGTTCACCCTCCCAGATCTTCCACTTTACTTCGAGAAGCTTTTTGTTGCTCCTGTTTTGGAACCCACCACATTACGTTCAAATGGCACACAAGTGGGTCCCACTCATCGAATACCGTGACCCTGTGTATTCACTGAAGGTCAGCTTCACATAACTCCGAAATAGCAACACCGAAAATCTGAAATGATGGCATCTGAGTTATTTTATATCAAAAGTTACACTTCTTCTTGGAATTGAAGGGGAAAACATCAATAGATTCAACATAAAAACATAAAATTTTGTACATCATCAAAATGTAACATTTAAAAAAATTAAATAGGAATCTTGAGAAGTGCTTGTAATACATGTAGTAAAGAAAGGTGATACGCCAAACTACAAAAGTTACAGAAAAAAAACCACTAAGAGGCAGACAGAAAAATAGAAAAGGCAGCTAAATGGACAGAAAAGGAAATAAAAATCGCTAATAAAAAATTAACTGCATTAGTATAAAAGAAGTACAGTTAAAATAGCAAAGTGGTGTTTTTGCCTATCAAATTAGCCAGGGAATGTTAGGGGTGTGTACACAGCCCTACAGAGGGCTGGTAAGGTATGCTGGCGGGAACATAAATTTATTTAACCTTTCTGCAAAATAATGGACTCACATTAATCACAGACCTTGAAACAACACCCTTGCACTTTGGTACACTAGCTCTAGTGAGAGTAATTTATCTGAATGAACCAAGGAAAAATTGTTAATAAAAACATAGTATTTTGTTGACCAAGACAGGTATCAAAACCTCATTTGTAATAGCAAACATGTGAAATCAAAAAAGCATACCCAAATCATGAAATATTATTAAATCACTTTAAAACCCTGCTTACAAATAATCTTTAAGAGTAGAGGAAAATTATATGACAATACCAGAAGTAAAAATAGAAAAGGAAGAATATTAAATTTTAATAGTCTATAAGCTCAACCATTTAAAAATAGGAATAGGGAAAAGACTGAGGGGAATATATTCATATATCGGAGTAGTCATTTCCATGATCCTCATTTTATTTCTTTTTCTCATTTAAAAAGTTGCTATATTTTTAAAATATTCAATTATAAGCATAGATTCTTTTCCAAATAATTAAAAGGTTTTTGAAGCTATTCTATTCTACAGGAATTCTGAATGTGCTAAAACACTGGTGTAAGGTGAATCCAAAGAGTTGTAAGAAACAAACGCTGCTTCCAGACGTGCACAGGTGAATCCAACATGCGTGCACTTCCAACCTCGTGCATGATTCACCAGCCACCTGTCACTGTGGGGCCTGCCAGCCTTCACCTCACACACCTCCGTGACACGGTGCACTCAGCCACACGCATCTGTCTCCTGCACTAGACACACGGCTCTCAGGGAATATGTCTTATTTCTCCTTGTATCTCCAGGGCCGAGCAGGGTTTGTGCAATGCAGTAAACACTTAATAAATATTTGTTGAATAAATCAATGGCATATACCAGGCATTAAATAACTTCTTGTTGAATAACTCGAAACAAGAACTGTCGGGACCATGACCAGGGCAGCTCCACAGAGCTGATGGGGATTCGTGATCTTCAGCTGGGCCATTTCTGAGTCAGGGGTTTAGAACACACCCCATGGATTGGACAGGTGTCCGGTGGGCAGCAGGGACTCCTCCTCCTTCCCAGCCTACTCCTCCCTCTTGACCCCACACCTGCTCACAGGGTCAGTGGGCCCCTCAGCCCATCACAGGGCCGACTTCATGCCAGCCAGAAAGTTAAAGACTTCCCACAGGATGAGGTCCCAGACCTCCCTGGGATGACAGAGGATGACCAGCCCCACAGCACACCCCAGGCTGCTCCACAAAGCTGGTTTGGAGAGAAGCTTGTGAGGAAGAAGCACAGTTCGGTGACTGCAGCTGGACAGCGGTGTTCTCCAGCGTGCCACATCCCCATGGTCCCTTGCTGGCTCAGGAAATCCCTGCAGCTCCCTTAAATGAAGAATTCTACACAGAAGGACCCATCCTTGCCATGAGAAATTTAGACATCTAGGCTGATAATAACATTTTAAGTCTAGTCCATTCTAATTAAAAAAAAGGACCATGATGATTAAATTCCTACTCACAGAAAATTTAGAAAGCAAGCCATGAAAAACAAGCTCTTCGTTTCCTTACTGATTAGATCAAGGAAAGATACTAACAAGCAGTGGGGAAGTTTCATTTTGTTAGAGGACAGGACATTTTACGAAAATCTTAGAGCCCTTCTGCAGAGCTAAGGTGAGAAAAGACACAGTAATTTTCGCCTTGTTGCCATCCCACAGGCGTACATTTTTTCAGCAAGGTCAAGTATGACTCCCTGATACACGCAGTCTAGTAGTTTGGTGGCTAACAGGCAGTTAAGTGAAGGCTTTTGCTTAAGAGGAAGTATCTGGAACATACTTAAACTAGAGCATGTAACGTGTCTGCCTTTTTTTCATTTTTCTAAGGAAGAAGTAGCATTGTTGTCATATAATAAAAAGCAATTGCACAGGCCTGATATTCAAACTCAATTTCACATCAGCATCTCCTAATTCCTTATCCTGTGTTATATACCAACAATGCCCCTTCCCCACCTCCCACCTGACCCCTCACACCCTTTTTTTAAATACTGTAAAAGGCCCCCTTGTCAAAAGTCAGAAAATGCCAAGTCCAGGCTGAAGCTGGGCAATCTATAGTCTTGAAAAAGAAATTTCTAAGGCAACACAATGCCAAGAGTCCAGGAACATCAGCCTTAGCTGTGAATTTCCTCAGTTTGAGTGAGTTCCCAAAAATATCACTGACAAGAGCTCTTCAGTGCTTGAGAAAGTTAGATCACGAAAGATGGGGAAAAGCCTCTATTTTCTCCCTTCGCTGATTCCTGAATCCTCCTTTGAATCTTTGGAAAATAGTTTTGCAGATGACCTGAGAAACATGATGCAGATACTTTTCAAAACAATCTCTGGGAAACTTCATGCAGATAAAAGAAGGAAACCACCAGGTCTTACAAAGGAACATCGCTGAAGTCACCAGCAGCAACTTGAGACTACCTGCTGTATTTGAACTAGCTGGTTCTACGGAAGAGGCAAGAACAGAAAATGACACAGCACTCATGCCCTCAGAAATTTGACCAGAGGCCAGGTGCAGCGACTCATGCCTGTAATCCCAGCACTTTGGGAGGCCAAGGCGGGTGAATCATTTCAGGTCAGGAGCTCGAGACCAGCCTGGCCAATACGGTGAAACCCAGTCTCTACTAAAAATACAAAAAAAAAAAAAAAAAAAAACCCAGCTGGGCATGGTGGTATGTGTCTGTAATCCCAGCTACTTGAGAGGCTGATGCAGGAGAATTGCTTGAACCCAGGAGGCGGAAGTTGCAGTGAGCAGAGATCCCACTGCTGTACTCCAGCCTGGGCAACAGAGCAAGAGTCTGTCTTGAAAAGGAAAGAAAGAAAGAAAGGAAGAAAGAAAGAAAGAAAGAAGAGAGAGAGAGAGAGAGGGAGGGAGGGAGGGAGAGAAGGAAGGAAGGAAGGAAGGAAAGAAGGAAGGAAAGAAAGAGAAGGAAGGAAGGAAGGAAAGAGAAAGAAGAAACAAAGAAAGAGAAAGAAAGAAAGAGGGAGTGAGGGAGGGGAAAAAGGAATGAAGGAAGGAAAGAGGGAAAGAAAGAAAGAAAGAAAGAAAGAAAGAAAGAAAGAAAGAAAGAAAGAAAGAAAGAAAGAAAGAAAGAAAAAATTTGCCCAGAGTATAGAATAACTAGAATAGAGAATTTTAGGAAAGACTTAGTCCTTATGAAGGATCAAGGGAGAGATCGGACCCATCAAGTTCTACACAACGGACAGTTCTGCCTCCTCCCGCCGCCAAGTGGCACCCAGCACGGAGATACCCAAAAAGCGCCCGTTTCCTCGTCCTGCTCAGCATCCTGCCTACAGCCCCAGGATGCGCCTCCACCTTCAACACAACATTTACAGCTGACAGGGGCTTTGCAGGAAACGATACAATCTGGACGAACCTTTTCAGGAAGATCAAAGCGGCCCATGTTAGCAGAAGAGCGTTTTGATCGGAACCACGAGTTTGGAATCGCGCTGGCGATAGTGTTCTTGCCGTGCGCCAGCTAATGCTGACAGACAGAGGGCGGTTTATCCACGGTAGCCGGGTAGAGGGGACATGCAAGGGCGTTAGGGAAAGACTTCCTTGGAGTCCTGGTGTCACTAAGGATACGGCGAACCGCGTCATCTTAGCCCAGTGCCTTGGACCCTTGAACTTCTGTCTCTGCATCCTATGAGGAGGTTAAAAAAGATAATCCACCTGTCAGGGTTGTGAGGATGAAACACAGCAGCGTGCGGGGAAAGCTTGTGAAAATGTCCTCAGGACGTCCCCGGTGAAGGGCTTCACCCTAACACCTAGTGCAGCGGCAGAGTTGAGTGGATCACAGCTGCCGAAACGCACAGGGAAAGGTCCCTGCGGAGGCTCCTGGGTGGCCCAAAGGGATGAGAGCGCAGAAGGGAACCCGGGGACACGCCTTCTGAATGAAGCAGAGTAAAAGTTGTTGACACCAGCATCGGAACCCAGGGCACCGTTCTCACACCCCTAACAACCGCGGCCAAGGAAGCCAGAGTCAAGGCTAAAGTGTCACTGGTAGAGGGCTGTGACTGCAAGTTGTCCAGGTTCTTGGCGTTTTGAACAAAGAATTGGACAAGGCCAGGCGCCGTGGCTCTCACCTGTAATCCCAGCACTTTGGGAGGCCGAGGTGGGTGGATCACCTGAGATCAGGAGTTCGAGACCAGCCTGGCCAACATGGTGAAACCCTATCTCTACTAAAAATACTGAAATTAGCCGGGCATGGTGGCAGGCGCCTGTAGTCCGAGCTACTCGGGAGGCTGAGACAGGAGAATCGCTTGAACCCAGGAGGCAGAGGTTGCAGTGAGCTGCGATCATGCCACTGCACTCCAGCCCGGGCGACAGAGTGAGACTCTGTCTTAAAAAAAAAAAAAAAAAAAAGATTTGGACAAAACGCCCAGCAAAGCAAAGAAAGAATGAACCAACAAAAGAACAAAAGCAGGGATTTGTTGAAAACAAAAGTACGCTCCACAGTGCAGCGGCTCCAGAGCCCAGATACAGAATCTTCTTGGGTCCAAATACCCTCTAGGGGTTTCCCATTGGCCCCTTCCTGCTCACCTCATGTAAATGAGGTGGTAACCAGCCATCAGTCTGACAGGCTGTGGATAGCAACCATTCAGAGGCTAGAGTGAAGTTACAAAGTTGCAAACAAAGACTGGACCGGCAGTCAGCCTGATTTGTTGGGGACAGCCAGTTTCCCATCTGCCGCACAGAAAAGGTCAAAGGGAGTAGCCTCTGGTCCTTTTGTTATTTAGCATACAAAGCTAGGCTTCTCCTTTCAGTTTAGTTCTAGGAAGTCGTCGTGAAACAGCCTTAGGTCCTCTGCCTCCAGACCCTATTCTCCTGCCTCGGAAGGACTGTTCCCACACCATCTTGATAGGTTTTCACCTTCATTCCTGCAGAAGCTGCCCTGGATGAAGTAAACACTAGCAGCACCCAGTTCTCAAGCTCCATGAAGACCACACCTGGGCCCGTTCTGCTCCTACAAGCTCTGACCAGTAAAATGGCACCTTCCAGTACCCCAGGCTCAGATGGGATGCTGGTGTCCAGGGAGAGGTGAGCACTCATCTACTTTACTTTAGGAGAAAGAACAAGAATAATCTACTGAGCAAAACTGCTTCACCTGATGTCAGGCCTCACATGGCCCTTGCATGTTCTGTGATCCTACACGTCCCTCTAAAACATCTGCTGTGTGCCCAGGGCTACACTAGGTGCTGGATACCATAATGAAACCCAAAACACAGCCCCTGCATCCCAGGCAGATGGAGAAGAATGGCAGCGCGGTTAACGGGAGGGGCGTGTTCACAGCCCCGGAAATACTGCAAATACTGCAGCTACTTCCATCGCAGAACCGTGAGCTTGTTGCCCACTGACACGTAAGCTCCATGAGGGAGGGATTTTTTTACTGATGGATCTCAGAGTGTAGACGAGTATCTGGCGCACAGTAGGATCTTTGCAAATATGTGTTCAGTGGATACACGTATCGTCTTTTGCAAATTATCAAGCTACCTGGTGAATATTTTGGACCAGGAGTTCATGATCATAAAAAAGAGATTTCTAAAACACGTCTGTGCTTAAATGGGGGGAAACAAAAATTATCAACACATTTCCTGTTGAATGTAGGATCATTATTATGTACATTTTAGGTTAGAATGACCACAGCCTCTTGCACCCTAATTCCACCACCATCACCGTGAGAACTTTCTATTATCTTTTTGCATTTATCCTTACTGAAAGAACCCATGCCTGATACCAGACTGAACCATCGAGGTATCTTAACTCTATGTCTTAACTCATAAAAGAAACTGCCCCTGCCCCCTGCCCATCGTCATTTAATAAATCAACAGGTCTGTTTCAGTGGCCTGATGTGTAATGGCATTTATGAGCACTGGCGAAGTTATGAACACTTAACTGAAGCAATTAAGCCATGCCTTGCTCTTATTATTGTAAGAGATTGACTGGTGGTAATTTATTTTTTCCAATGCAGCTGACAAAAAGAGGTAATATTCATACTTACAGGTCATGCGGAATATGGGTATCAAAAAACCACTTCCTGTCATTGTTCATCACTGTGTTCTATTTTTCCTCTGAAAGGGATGGTGAAATATTCTCTTAACACAGATTTGGGTATATTTAGTGAGGCTTTCCTCAGAACCAGGTGCTGCCACGGAATCTCAGAATTCTTCTAGAAACCAGAGCTGGGGCTTTAGGGCCAGTCTCAGCTGAGCCTCTTCACTTATGGAGGAGAACACCAAGACCCATGTAAAGGAAGTGGCTGTCCCTGTTCACCCAGAGCCAGCAGAACAACCCAATTAGATGGTCGCTTCCCTCCAGCCTTCCCAGGGATTCCCCTGGGTGGGTGAGGACGAGTGCAACCCAACACTTCCCAGGTGGAAGGAGGCAAATTGAGCAGAGCCTCAGTATGCCTTCTGGAGTCGGGGTTTCCAGATCAAAAGCCATGAGCTTTTTTTAAATAAGTAATTTAAATAAGTTAAATATTACACATTGTTTTAGATAAAAATGTTAACGTTTTAAAATAAATATACAAACCATCCCCCAAAGGGGTGAACTGATTTATACTCCCCTCTACTAATATACGCTTATTAAAATAACATGTTAGCATTAAAAAATCCCTGCCGGTTTAATGGGCAAAAATGATCTCATTATTACTTTGATTGGTGTTTGTTTACTAGTGAGGATGAGCATTTTCTTACGTTCCAATAGCTTATTGCATTTTTCATTTTGTAAATTGCTAATTTACATGCCAAGTATAGTTTTAATAACATCATGAATGGACCGTGTGGCCTTGGAAAAGTTGCTCAAGGTCTGTGAGCCTCAGCTTTGGGACCTGTCTCTCGGGGTGCCTGTGAGACCTGAACACAGCATGACAGAGACCAGAGTGGGCGCTGAACTCCTGAGCCCCACTGTCTCCCCCAGCACTTCTGTCCATCCAGCTCCTCTGACCTCATCGACAAGAGGAAAGAGAGGACCGAGCCCCTGTGACAGCCCCTCCCCATGGCAGGGGCAGCCACCAGGGCACTGGGGCTCCGGGCAGAGGACATATGCCTGCCGGGTGTTCCTTCAGCCCAAGTCTCCATGAATGAGTCCCTTTTCTGACCCTCTTGTCCCTCGATGGTGCGTGAACAACACAGCATCTTTCCTTCTGTGCTGTTTGGGGGGAATCCCAAAGTCTAGATCAGGGAGATGACACCCTCCCTATTTCACAGCCTTCTCTCTTACATCTCAGAGGGGGCTTGAAAGATGGCATAAGGAAGAGGAGCAGAATGGCGCACATACGTCATGAGCAGTTGGTTGAATCAGTTTCTTGCCTGGGCTACACTGGTCTTTCCTCGGTGAGTGTTTGAGTTGCATGCGTGTGCACGAGTGTGCCTGTGTTCATACGTGAGTGTGTGAATGCTTGTGTGGTCGTGTGTGCATGTGTGCGCTTGTGTGTGAGCGCACGTGTGTGAGTGTGAGAGTGTGCATGCATGTGCATGTGTGCGTGAGACAGTGTTTAATCGAAATACTTGTAAACACTGCCCTGTGTGGTTTCCTTACAGACGCAAACAAATGCCATTTCCTCAGGAGCCAAGAATGAGGTGCTCTTTTCAAATTTTCTGTGCTCCACAGAGCTGTGCTTAGATGCTTCATGCTGCTTCGAAGTTCTGAGGCAAGATCCTAAGATCCTGCAACCTCACAAGCTCACTTACAAAGCATTACTGTAATGCATCCCAGCAAGAAGCTCTGTTTCACTGTAGCTTGGAGCACAAGATTGCCTTGTAAATAGGAAACGATGATGGATGGAAGACAGCAGAGGCTTGTGGAATTTTAACCCTGATGGTAAGGCTGCCGCTAAGAATAACCCTGCTGTGCTTCAGGCCAGGGAGGCTGAGCAGAAAACCCTCTTTTCTCATTGCCCCACCTGCCTCTTCTGGACGCAATCAGCCAAGGAGTGAACAGTCTTGTGGATCCCTTGTCTGCATAGCCTCAGAGCACTCTTGAGCCTGCGTTTTCATCATTCCCAGGCCTCCTGGATGAAACTGAGCAGCCCTTGATGCCTGCAGACAGTCTCCACTGAGCTTTCCTAGTTTATCTTTAAGTCCTGTCCCAAGAGGTTTGTCAGTCTCTGTCAAATAAGACATGTTGCTCACACTGAGACCTTGTTCTTATCCAGGCACAAATAAACTGCTATTTTCCATGATGCTTGGACTTCACTCTTGTTAACTTATTAAGGCCCTAAGGGCCCAGAGGGACAAGTTCTATTGTCATCTGCATTTAGTGAACGGAGTGTGTGGATGTCACACGGCAGAGCCAAGACCCATCACATCTTCAGGCTACATCACCCTGCTCACCGCATGGCTCATGGCAGGTGGCAGGTGAGGGTGACAGTGGAGGCACACTTTCCCTAGGATGCTGTTACAGAGCTCAGGGGATGTGGAAAGGCATCACTTTGGAAGTGTTCCCCACACATTAAAGTTACCTATTCCTGAAGATCCTTACAAATGTTCAACCACTTTGGAGGGATGTATGCATTGCCTCTTATAAAGTAGGTTTTTAAATTTGTCCTAAATCCCCTTCCTCTCAAACGTGTTCTCATTAGAGAACTCCAGGATTTCAGCAGACATATCCACATGCTCGTTTTCAAGGTCCTTCATGATATCAGAGACCTGGAGCCATAACCACTGACTGTTACCAGCCACACCCGTCTCATCTGCAGCCTCTCCAGAAGCAAGGAAGCCAAGCTTCACCTGCCTGTGTGCTGAAGCTGCCTTTACCCTTCTTGATTTGTGTTCTAGTGTTTTATTCACAAAGTCTTTTCCTACCAAGGATCTTTTTAAAAATGTATATTTTCTTTTTAAAAAGTTTTGCTTCACATAATGAGAAATGCCCCTGGAAGTTTTTCTAGCCAATGTGAGTTCGGTATGTAATTTTATTGTTTTTCATTTGGAAAGCAAATTGTCCTAGCTCTATTGTTTGGCTACTCCAACTTTTTTCCCACTTCCCTGCTAGTTTTTAATGGTCACTCTTTCATATAATCACTTATTTATTTAATCTATTGGATGCCTCTAGTATGCCAGGCGCTGTTGTAAGTGCTGCTGATATGACACAAAGGCAGAAAACAGCCCTGCCCTCGTGGAGCGCAGATTTTAGTGGACCTGGAGGATTTTCCAGGCAGAGAAAATACCAAGTACAGGGACAAGAAGCAGAAGTTCTGTGTGTTTGAGACACACTTGAGAAGGCAGTGTGTTGGGAAAATAAATAAGGTAGGAAAAGGATAGAAGACAAGATCAGAAAGGTAGCACCTAGAGCCCAAGCTAAAAATTTCGGGATGCATTTAAGTGTGATGAAAATCCACCAAGAGTGAAATCAGCGAGGCCGATAAGAAAGCTCTTCACACAGTTTAGACAGCAGACAATGGTGGCGGCTTAGACGCATGTGCAATGTATGTAGTGCCCTAGGAAGAGTGACTGGATTTTAGATATCACTTGAAGGTCAAGCTGATGAATTTGTGTATAGTCAGAGGGAAAGGGAGAAGGTTTTTTTTTTTATTGGAGTAATTATGTAAAATAGTGGTGTCGTTTTATTGAAATAGAAATCCTGCAGAAGCAGGTTCAAGGGCAGGAGTAGAAAGTGAAGACAAGAGTTCCATTTCTAAAATGTAAGCTTTACACACTTGTTAGACATGGAGATGTCTTGCAGACAGTTAGGAATGCATTCCAGGAGCTCAGGAGTTAGGGTTGTGGATATAAATGTGGTTGTCTTTAGCACATAGCTGAGAACTAAAGCCATAGCATGAGATGAGGTCACCCAGCACATGAGTATAATTAGAGAAGGTGGATTTGTATTGGCTTTTTTTTTTTTTTTTTTTGTAGACTGCAGTGGGAAAGTCATTGGCCCCTTTCTAGACTTAATTCTGTTTCATTAATCTACTGTTTATCCATGTGCTAAAAAACACATTGATTTATTTATTGTAACTTTATCACGTCTTAATTTCCATAGGGTTTGCCCACCCATAATGTTTGTATGCTGATAAGAAAAAGCCAATCAAAAGAGAGAATTTGATAATGAAGATCAATAGTTGCAGGATTAAAGTCCATGAGTAGATGAGAGATGATGAGACCCCCTGCCTTTGCCAGTGTAAAGAGTGACTCTAGATAAGGAAGGTACTCATTCCTGTAATAGATAAGAAAGAAAAATGCTTGAGTCTGTATTTCTGTTATATCCCATTGATCTATTTTGACAGAAATTACACTGAATTTATAAATTAATTCAAAACAAATTGACATGACATTATGCTTGTTTTTCCATGAATAAGGTTTACCTTTACTTTCTCTTTTTCTTATCTTATTGCATTGGCTAGAAATGTCAATGTCTTTTTTGGGGCTTTATTGAGGGTATTTGGTGGGGATATGCTCAGTAAGTTTAACATTTGTTATAGATTTCAGGTTAGGAAAATTGCTTCTATTCTTGGTTTGCTAAGAACTTTTTATAATGTGTTAATGTTGAATTGTAATAAATGCTTTTCTGCATTTAATGACATGGTCATAGTTTCCCCTTTACTCTATAATCTTTTCACAGGAATAGATTTTCTTACCCTGAACTGTGCTTGTCTCCTCTACTTACGCATTGTAGTATTATTACTTTTATAAATGGCTAAGTTTATTTTATTAACATTTTATACTTGATTTTTGCCCCTGTGTTTATAAGTGAGATTGAAATTTTAACCTACAGATTTATTTTGAGTTGAAGATTCTCTCTCTCTCTCTGTCTCTCTCTCTCTCTTTTTCCTTCTTTTCCTCTCTCTCCAGCACCCCTCTTTGTGTGGCAATAATACAGTTGCTTCTGCCCAGCTCCCCACTCTCATATTCTGTAGCCACGTTTTCTAATGGTGTTGGGGGGCTTCTATTCATCACTACTACAGGGGAGATATCAGTTATAGCCAATAAGGAGCTTGGCTCAGTTCCCAAGTATGAGGCTGTATATTCACCATTTCACTTCCTTAGACACATACTTTCATAAAAGACATACCTGGGTCAACAGCACTTCTTATTTCCAGCCTCCCTTATTGAGCTGGCTGGCCTCATGCCCTTCCCTGACTCCACGCAGCAGGCTTGGCTGGTGCTCCCAGCTCCCGCTCAGTCCAGCAGGAGGGATACCCTCCTCCACTGCCTGTAGGAGGTGGGCTCCTAGCCTTCACTGGCTTCTGCACCTGGATTCAGCAGGCCAGCTCACCACAAGAGTGTCAGTTCCATTGCTGATCCATAAAGATGTCTGCCTTGCTTTTCCGCCAGACTATTTCTTTTTAGCTTCCTCTTCTTTGTGTTTTATATATCATTGCTCTGTGTAATGCAGAAAGGATGTATCAAAGTGTAAACTCGTAGCACTCTCTGCCTAAATGGCACAACACACTCTTTAGAGGGAAAACTATGTAAAGCTTTGTTCAAGCCAAAGCTTGCCTGAATTCATTAGCCAATGCATTCATTGCCTACTCTATCCACAGTATAACAGTAGCATGAACAGGAAATGTTTCATCTTTAACTTTCCCAATATCTTCCCAAGAGAAATTTCCTAGTGTCTTACATTTCTATATTGGGTGGAAACTTTTCTATGAAGTTCTCTCTCATTGGCAAGTCATGATTACAGAAATGTGTAGACAGGCCATAATTTCAGATACACATAGAAAATCCCAGAAAGTTAAGTGACTTACCCATGGTATATCAATGAGTTAATGGCAAAGATCAACCTAGATGTAGGCTCCCTGGCTCTGCTTGAAGCTTCCATGAATCCTGGTTTGTAGACCTTAACTTGGAGAAGAAAAGCCTGGGGAGGACCAATGAAACTGGGGAGTGAAGGAGCTGTTGCAGAAACCCACCTGATTGTCACACCTCCATCATATCAGCCCTCATCACACCCCTGTCCTCCAGATTTGCCCTTGACCCCACTTGGCCCTGGAGCTCTGGTCCCTGTTAAACTGTCCACCTGGACTGACCCCAGTCTTGACCACGTGCACCTCTGGACCCATGTTTCATTGAACTCTCAACCTTGGTTCCTAGGCGACAGTCCTACTTTCTCATCACACAGTTTATATCACAAAATCTTGTTTCAACCTTAGAAACAAAGGGAGGGGGATTTTCTTCCTTCTCCCTAGGAGGGAGATTTTCTCTTATGCTCCAGTCTTGTTTCAATAAATATTTATCCAAATTTGATAACCATTTATCTAGAAAGCTAGAAATAATCACAACAGATTTTCCACCCAGCCCCTCACCCCTGACTGCTTTTCCCTGGGGTTATCCTGCCTTCCAGCTGCTGACTTTTCACTTATTGCTTTTGACTTATCCTCTGATAACTCTGTGATAAGTTGTTCAAAGTCAGCGCCCCACTGTCTCTGATCTTAAACCATCCCTGCCCCTACATCTTCTGAAACCCCACTCTAAATAAAATTCTAAAAACAAAGGGAAATCAAGCAGTGCAGTGTGACTATACACAGGAGCTCTCGTTCTCTAACACTTTCCTGACAGCTCTAACCTCAGGCCTCATGGTTATTTTTCCCTCCAGAAGATGGTGAAACTCACTGCATGTGGACCTGACTTTTTCCTCCAGAAGATGGTGAGACTCACTGCACGTGGACTTGTGTTCAGATCTTTTTCTGTTCCCCCTGGGAAGGATGAGGGGAAGGAATGACCATTCCTGTGCGTCTATCATATGCCCAGCACTGCTCTCCAAGCATAACGATTATGGTCTGTTTGTTGGCCTCATTGCATAGATCAGGTACATCAACCTTCGAGGAGCTGCCATTCAGCTACTGAGCGACAGACCCACGATCTGAACCCAGGTCTGTTGGATGCAGAGGCTAGGCTGTCTCAGAATAGAACAGAATGGTCTTCACTCTGTGTGAGAATATGTGTCTTGCTTGGAGACAGCAACAACGTGCAGAGAAACTGCAAAGCAATGCTCTGCAGTGGCTCGCTGGGAAATGCAAATGGGAGGGCTGTGGAGGAGTCCACTCGGCTCTCCCACTCCCCATCTGTGGACTCACAGCCACCTCCTGTCTTCTCCAGTCTGCAGTCTCCTAGTATCAGTTTCTGTTGCTCCCAAAGAAAAGGACAGGACCAGAGGGCAGAAATCACAGCATATCAGGCTGTGCTTCACAAAGTGGAAGCTGCTGGCAGCCTAGTGGGCAAACTTTGGATGAGGTGATGCCCAAGTGGAGACAGGATGACCACTGGGCAGAGGGAGGCCGAGCATCTTTTCAGACATGGGACAAGGCCAGGCCTCCTAATGCCTGGGCTCCATACCGGGGGCAGTTTACTGGGCCTGGGGTCACCATGGAGCCCTGCACAGACCTTGGCTGGCTACCTCAGTCCACCTTCAGTCAGCTCATCCTAGCTCCAGTGCGATGTGCACGTCTTGTTTTCTCTGCGTGCCATGATGTGAAAGAAACTAAGAAACAGCAGGCCAGACACCATTTATACTATCCCCAAGCCTGAGTGTTGATGGTTCTCCCACAGTCACAGGATGGGGCTCTTGTGAGACCCAGCAAGATGACTCACTAACAATTCCCCTGAAAAGCCTGGGAGAGGCAAATCCATCTCAACTCCCATTCCATCTCCAAGCTATGCCAAGTGCTGTCTGGAGCTCTGGAGAACCTGTGGGTCAACCAATCTCCACCCCCATATGCTGACCCCACACACGTCCACACTAACTGCTGCCTGTGGCCTCAGGCCACCTCCCTTGCTGCCTAGGGTCCCCTCTTGTAACCACCCATGGAGCACCTCATATCTGTGGGTTTCAGTCGACTTTTCTTGCCCTGGCACTGCTCCACCACGGCCCCTCTCTCTGCAGCCCCTGGTCTGCTGCAATCGCTGGAGCAGAGAGATGAAGCATCATCTGGCTCTGCCCCTCCCCGACAACACTGGCACTTTGCTGTGGGCATTTCAGGCACCTCAGCCAAAGAGGGAGACTTTGCCAAGTCTGCTGGTGCCACTGCAGGCCCTGCAGAGCCCTGTCTACCAGGCATTCTTCCTGGACTTGGGAATCCCTCACCTTAAGCCCAGCAGGCTCTTTCCTTCTGTGTCTGCCCCTCTCTTTGCTTCAGGCTGAGTCTGTGCCCAGCAGCCTCTCATCCATTACTGCTCTAGTCCTCCAGTCCTCATGCCACATCTCTAGATGAAAATATTATGCCCGTTTTACTGATGAGGAAATGGAGGACCACAGCCTCCCATGGCTGGGGGCAGGCAGCCATTTCAGTTCTACATCAGGAGTAATAGGACCACATTCCAGTTCCACAGCTTCTGGATGGAGAGCTTGAGCAATCCTTCCTCACCTGTAACAGGATGATAACAATAACAGTGCCCTTCTTCCTGGGTAGCTGTGAGGATGAAATGAGTCAATACATGCTAAGTGTTTAGAAAGCACTTCACACGTGGTACTCAAGTGATGATGACAATGAGGGCGATGATGAGAAGCACTCCATAAGTGAGGAAGAGGAGAAGAAGGGGCAGCATGATGATACTGATGACAACAATGATGATGATGATGAGCACTCCGTGAGGAAGAGGAGGAGGAGGGGTACCATGCTGCTGATGATGACAACAGTAGTGATGATAAGGAGGAGCACTATGCAAGTCATCATGATGAGGAGAAGGAGGAAGAGGAGTAGGAGCACTACACAAGTGATGATGAGGAGGAGGGCTACACAGTGATGAGGAGGAGGAGGACTACACAGTGATGAGGAGGAGGAGAAGGACGAGGACTACACGGCAATTATGATGATGATGAGGAGGAGTACACAGTGACGATGAGGAGGAGGACTACACAGTGAGGAGGAGGAGGACTACACAGTGATGAGGAGGACTACACAGTGATGAGGAGGAGGAGGACTACACGGTGATGATCATGAGGAGGAGAAGGAGGAGGACTACACAGTGATGAGGAGGAGGAGAAGGAGGAGGACTACACAGTGATGAGGAGGAGGAGAAGGAGGAGGACTACACAGTGATGAGGAGGAGGACTACACAGTGATGAGGAGGAGGAGAAGGAGGAGGACTACACAGTGATTATGATGATTATGAGGAGGAGTACACAGTGATGACGAGGAGGAGGAGAGGGAGGAGGACTACACAGTGATGATGATGAGGAGGAGGACTACACAGTGATGATGAGGAGGAGGAGAAGGAGGAGGACTACACAGTGATTATGATGATGATGAGGAGGAGTACACAGTGATGAGGAGGAGGAGGACTACACAGTGATGATGAGGAGGAGGAGGACTACACAGTGACGATGAGGAGGAGGAGGACTACACAGTGATGATGAGGAGGAGGAGAAGGAGGAGGACTACACAGTGATTATGATGATGAGGAGGAGGAGTACACAGTGATGACGAGGAGGAGGAGAGGGAGGAGGACTACACAGTGATGATGAGGAGGAGGAGGACTACACAGTGATGATGAGGAGGACTACACAGTGATGATGATGAGGAGGAGGACTACACAGTGATGATGAGGAGGTGGCAATGATGATGGTGATAATGATGATGGTGGTGATGATGGTGATAATGATGATGATGGTGGTGATGATGGTGATAATGATGATGATGGTGGTGATGATGGTGATAATGATGATGATGGTGGTGATGATGGTGATAATGATGATGAGGAGGTGGCAATGATGATGGTGATGATGATGATGATGGTGGTGATGATGGTGATGATGATGATGATGGTGATGATGGTGATAATGATGATGAGGAGGTGGCAATGATGATGGTGATGATGATGATGGTGGTGATGATGGTGACGATGACAATGGCAATTAGCACTACGCCAGTAGTCACAGCAATGATCATCACCATCATTTGCCTGGGTCAAATAAAGAGGAAGTGGCAGTACCAAGAGTTTAGCTCAACCCTTCTGGATTCCCATCCAAGGCATCACAGGAAGAGCCATCGGGCATTTTGGTAAAAGGAAGCTATCTGGTATCGGCTTGTTGCCTTTTGTAATTGGCTGAAAATATTAAGGGTGGTAATTCATAGGCCTTGAGCAGATTCTGACATGCGCCACTCATTTGAGCTCAGCTCCTGAAGCCAAATACACTGGATGTGGCAGCCTCATTTTCAATAAACTCTTCCAAAAGGGAAAAGCCCAAAATCTTTGAGCCCGAATGATCTTGAAATCCACATGAAGAAAAGCCCCCGAATGAAGATATTGCCTTCCTTTTTCTCCCCTCCCCTGACAAGTCACTTTGCCATGTTGTTGGGAAAGTTGGCGTTTTCCTGGCATTTTCCAGGATAGGCCGTAGCCCCTGACACCCAAGATGCCTAAGGGAGGACAAAGCCTTCTTCTACAACACCCAGAAGAGGTGGGGCTAAAGTGCAAACTCCAGAGACCCATGTGCACACACATGTGCATTTTGCACATGCACACACATACACACATGCACACATGCACACATATACACATACATGCACACATGCACACATATACACACACACATGCACACATATACACATACACACATACACACATGCACATTCACACACATACACATGCACACATGCACACACATACACACATGCACACATATACACATACATGCACACATGCACATGCACACACATGCACACATGCACACATATACATATACACACATGCACACATGCACATGCACATGCACACACGCACACACGGACACATGCACACACGCACACACACACACACACATGTTCACACACGCACACATATACAGATACACACATGCACACATATAAACATGCACACATACGCACATGCACACAAACGCATACACACATGGAAGCACATACACAGATACAAATGTGCACACATGCATGCATATACATGCACACATACACATGCACACATGCACACACACACATACACACATACACACACATGCACACACACGCACACGTGCACACATACACACATGCACACAGGCACACACACATGCACGTACATACACACACATGCACGTTTATACACACATGCACACATTCACGCACATACATACACGTATGCACCCATGCACACACACACATGCACACACACATACACACATGCACACACACATACACACATGCACACACTCACACATGCACACACACGCACACGTGCACACATACACACATGCACACAGGCACACACATACACACATGCACGTATATACACACATGCACACATTCACACACATACATACACGTATGCACCCATGCACAAACATACACACATGCACACATACACACACATGCACACACACATACACACATGCATACCCACACACACACACATCCTTCCTAAAGATTCAATGACTGGCCGGGTGCGGTGGCTCACGTCTGTAATCCCAGCACTTGGGGAGGCCGAGGCAGGCGGATTACCTGAGGTCAGGAGTTTGAGGCCAGCCTGGCCAACATGGTGAAACCCCGTCTCTACTAAAAATACAAAAAATTCGCTGGGCGAGGTGGCAGATGCCTGTAATCCCAGCTACTCGGGAGGCTGAGGAAGGAGAATCGCTTGAACCCAGGGGTCAGAGGTTGCAGTGAGCCTGGATCGTGCCATTGCACTCCAGTCTGTGTGATAGAGCAAGAGTCTGTCTCAAAAAGAAAAAAAAAATTTAAAAAGACTCATTGACTCATTGACTGAATCCTCAGGCTTCCTGGGAATAGGGTTTAGAGTGGGGAGCAAGCCTCGAAGGTGGAGGGGTCCCCTCAGGCAGGAGGCATGGAAAGGGGGTGCAGGGACACAACCCCAAAACTGAATGCTTCACAGGCTGATAACAGCTTGCTGTGCTAGTGAAGGACGCAGCCTGACACTCACATTTGCTAAGCCTCTGAGGCAGATGGACCACGCCGCGTTTCCTTCTAAGGCGATGTCTTCATTGTGGCAGGACAGGGGACAGTGCTTCAGCACAGAAGCACCCGGGGGCGAAACCCTCGGTCTTGCTTTCCCACCTTGATCCTCTGATGCTCTTTGGCTGCCAGAGCACAGAGCATCAGGTGATTTTCCAGCTCCATTGCTCCCTTCATATGTTCTGGGGCCGCAGTCACAGCCATCACGTTCTGATCCAGCCCCTCAGACCCCAAAGACAAAAACGAGAGCTGGCAGGGGACTGCTGGCTGCCCTCCAAGGCTGACAGACGGGTCAGACTTCGGAGGAACGTTTCAGGCCGCCATGTGTGCGGCCAGATTCTCCCCGGGATCCGCAAATCGCTTGGGTCAGAAAATGGGGAAGGAAAACCAGCCAACTTCCAGCCAATGTGCGAGAGAAGGGGAGGCAGAGTCTCGGTGTAGGCTGACCTGTGCTCAGCGGCAGTGTGACTGTGGTCTGTTTGACGACTTCATCTTCCATTGCCCTGATTTATTCATCTGCAAAATGGGGTTATTAATAGTATCCTCATCACAGGGTTTTTTATAATGATTAAGCAAAATAATACATGTAAATAAAAAGTGTTTCATGGTGGTTTGCATGTAGGAGGAACTCCACAAGTGTCAGCTATTGTTATTATGGACTTTAATAATATTAAATAAATAATTTTAATCATGTTAACAAACTCTGCCTTTCTGACCATCTAATCTTTTCTGTATAAGTACCGCATGCTAGCCGATTGTGCCACCGGAGCTCCAGACCATCTAATCTTTTCTGTTCTAGGAATGGATTAATCGTAGAGATGGAAGAATTCCAGAGATGACCACAGTTAAGTTTTAACAGGGGTACAGCAAAGAAACAGCACGGGGTGAGCTGGAAGCACGCTGGGCTCAGGGGTGCACGTGAGACATGGATGGGGAGGATGAGGGGAAAGAGGTGGTCAGTGAAAGTGCCAATATTTGCTGGAGCCAGCTGGCCTGGGAGGCAGGTCTTCATGGCTGGTGAGCAGGACCACAGGATCCTCAGCTGCAAAGAGAGGGGCAGAGTGGTTCCCACTTCACAGAGCCCCTGTGAGGCTGGAAGGAGCTCTCATGTGCACGGCATGTTGAGAAGAGTGAGGGACACATGGCAGCTGTCCATCCAAGGCTGGCTCTCATTCCAACAGGGCTGACATGCTTGATGGACAGTTCTAGTCAGTTACTCAAAAGCACTCTGCATTTTTCTTTCAAATAAATCTTTCCTGTGACTAGAGTAACCAGATAAAATTCAAGATGCCAGGTAATTTCAGAGAAACAACAAATGTTTTTTAGTATAAGTATGTCCCATGCAATATTTAGGAGGTGCTCATACCAAAAAAAATTTGTTGTATATCTGAAATTTGAATTTAACTGGGCATCTTGTATTTTCCATTTATGCTAAATAAGGCAATCTTATCTATGATGGGAATTGGCGTGTGCTGTCAACAGTAGAAATGTGCCACAGGAAACGGAGCCTGATGGAAACCAACAGCCAGCAGCAAGGACCTTTAATGGAAATGGTGACTGCGACTTGTCCTGGTCCTCAGAAACTTCAGCTGTGTGAGGCAGATGTGCGATCCTCCTTCCTGAATGTGATTGCATGAAACACACAAGCCTGCCGGCACCGCGGCTGGGAGGTGCATCCGCTTTCAGAGACAGAACCAAGGGAAATGATCATGAGTATGTACAAAGAGTTTGCCAAAATATTAGTCCTGGTAATATTTTTATAACAATGAAGAAGCATAAACAATTTAATTATCCAATAGTAGGAGACAGGTTCAATTCACTGCTGGGCTTTCTACAAAGGAATGAGAGACAGTCATTGACACCCACGGCAGTCCTACTTAGTGGTAGAGAAAGATACTACTGATTTTTTAAAAAAAGAGGGAATAAAACAGAATGTATTGTGTGGTTCAAGTTGTTGGCAGATTAGAAGAGTCTGGAAAGATTAAACCAAATGTTAGTGGTGATTTCTTAGGCAGGTACAATTATGAGTGTTTTTGTTTTCTTCTTTTGTCACTCTGGATTTTCTGATGTTTTTACATCAGGAAGGTTGAAAAAGCATCTATGCTTAGTGTAATAAGGGGAAAGTGGATTGATAAATAAAGTCCTCTGCTCGGCTCTGCCTTCCCAGGTTGGAGCCCCGAGGCTGCTCCACGCTATGTGGAGCTCGCCTTCCCCTCCCTCCCTCCTCATCCAGTGTTGTTGACATCAACAGCCTTCTGCAGCTAAACCCACTCCTGCTTTTCCAGGCTGTGTTTCTCATAGTTCCCAGCATGGCACTTCACAAAAGGAAAAAATCATGATAATATGTAAGTTCTCAAATTATTTTGCAGGAAAAAAAAGGGTGAACGCATATATGCCAGGCACTAAGCTCAGTGCTTTCATGTGCAATGTCTTGCTCTTTAGCCGTGGAAAAGAGTACTAGCACCAAGCTTCTTGTCAGCTTTCAGGGATGGATATTCATAAGTTTTGCACGAGTTCACATGAAGCTTCTTGAAGCTAGAGACCAAAGCTCATCTTGCCCAGTGATGTATTTAGTCGCTCACTGGTTCAACAAGTGGCCACTGAGCACATCCTTCATGCCAAACCCCACACTGTGTCTTGGAGATCCGAGAAGCAGGGAATAGGAGCAAATGCTCCTGTTCTCACTGAGGGTGTCACTCCACTGGAGAGACAATTAGGCAAGTCAGGAAATGTCGCAGTGCCAGAATTGTGGATGTGCAGACTCCCGGCATCCCTGAGCACACAAGAGGCAGCCTTGGACGCCGTGCCTCCGTGCCTTCGTTGAGTCCTTCTGTAGTAAGAATTGCCTGAAGCCAGGCTCCTCTCCAGGTCCAAGGCAAGCAAAAGCGACTTTGCATGAGATGGCTAGGTGACAGCTGGACTGAGAGGGGACATTTGAGCTGAGGCAATGACACCTGAGCTAAGACTTGGATGATGGATGGAGTCTGTCCAGGCGAGAGCTGGAGGAAGAGGGCTGTGGACAAAGGTAGGCGCAAGTGCAAAGGCCCCCGGGTGGGACTGGGCGTGGCTTGCTTGTGGAACAGAAGGAACATCAACAGAGCAGGGGCAGCGCAAGGCAAGAGCGGCGCAAGACGCAGAAACTGGATCTCCTGGAGCTTAGCAGAGCCAGGTCATGAACTCGCCTTGTAGCCTAAGTGCGAGGAAATGCCAGAGGAAGTCTTGGCCAAGTGGGTGACATGACTCCATTCGTATTTTCATCGGGTCACTCTCTCTGCTGGTGAGAAAAATACATCACGTGGGAAGAGGGACAACAATAAAAACAAAAGACCAATCAGGAAGCATTAGGATAACCCAGGAAGGGAAAACAGAGAATGTGGACTAGAGTAGTAGTGGTTGAGGGAGGGAGAGGTGTGACCAGCTTCAAGGTGTCATTTAGAGGTAGCCAGGAAGAGTGACAGCTCCCGTGACATGGAGCTCCCAGGGATCTCAACACTTCATGCACGCTAACCCCACGGAAGCCGCATGACCCTGTGAGTCAGGCGTACTTGTGTCTCCATTCTACAGAGGACATGGAAGTCTGAGATTATGTTTGTGGCGCTCACTAACAAATCTGCTGTGAGAATTAAGAAAAACATTGGACAGGGAATGGGGAGATGTTGGCCAAAGGGTACAAGGTTTTAGTTATACAGGAGAAATAAGTTCTGGGGATCGATTGCACAGAATAATGACTGTAGCTAATAATAATGTATCATATACTTGAAAATTGCTGAGATAGTAGATTTTAAATCTTCTCACCACAAAAAATAAGGACATGAGGCAATAGATATGCTAATTAGTTTAATGTAATCATTCCACAATAAACACATATATCAAAATGTCACATCGCACACCATAAATATATATGCTTTTCCACTTTTCAATTTTAAAACAAATACATTATAAAATAAAATGATAAAAATAAATAAATAAACATTTAAAAAAAAGAAAAAGGCTTGACGTTGCAGGTTGACCGTTGTGTCAGTCAGGATGGTCCAGATTGTGCTGCATAACAAACAGCCCCCACATCTCACTGACTTAAGACATTTCATTTCCTCCTCACACTATGTCCGTCACAGGTCTGTGTGGCCACATGGTGCAGGAGTAGGAGTCAGCCAGTCTTCAGGCTGCCCAGATAGTCACCATCTCGAATGTCAAGGGGTCTGGACCAGAGGGAGAGAGAACTCTTGATTTTCCTAAATTCACAAGTTAGTGATTTGATCCCCAAATGACACCAGTGATATCCACTTATGACTCATCAGCCAGCGCCAATTTCATGAGAATGGGGTCTGGAAAGCATAACCTAGCAAGCAGTATGGCACTAACAAATGTCATTGCTCCATGAATTAAAGTTCTTTGGTTGCAAGCAACCGAAATTAGCTCTTCTTGATGTAAACATTAAAGGAGGGGAGAGTTCAGAGGAACACAAGCTAACACCTGTGCCTCAGGGAGGACAAGAATCCAGGCGGCTCCCAGGGTCCCTGCAGGAGGAACAAATGGACAGCTCAGGACAAGTACCACCAGGAGAAACAGCTCCACAGCCTTCATCCTTGAGTAACTCTTCCCATGGAGAGAAAGCATAGTCAGCTCAGCTCAGATCACACACCAGCTCGGCGGCCAGGGAAGGCATGACACCTTGATGAACCCACCGATGGCAGCACTAAAGGAAATGCACGAAAATGGGAGTGTAGTGCTGAGATGCAAAAACAACGAATGTGCACCTGGTGGCCTGAATGTCCTCATCCATCACATCCGTGTGGTCTGTGATCTTCATCAGGGCCTCCTTCGTTTATCAGTGGGTTTGATCAGCAAGCATTTAGTGTGTGCCTCCAAAGCCACACTCACCCACAGCCACTCCGTGGACCCGCAGATCTTCCCACACATCACATGTCTTTCAGGGAGCAGCTGTGCCCACCTTCATGATGCTGGGTGTTACTGTCGAGCACAGATGCCCCACGTAAGATGCCACCTTTCTTACCTGTGTCCCCAGAAGCCACATGCTTGCATGTGGAGGAGGCTGTTCTGGGAGGAATCCTGTCCCCATGCTTGAGCGAGAGGGTCCTCAGGTCAGAAGCTATTCAGCCAGGGCTGCCCACGACTGACCCCCAGACACAGAGGACCTGCCAGTGGGTGACTGAGGGCCCCACAGGATCGCCTGGGCCAGGGGTTCCCAAACGGTCGTCCTTGGACTAGGTCAAGATTTCATGGAGGAAATGAGCACAATAAGTACAGTAGAGGTGAATGTTTCCATAAACCCAAATTATTAAATTTAAAGGACTGTCTTCATTCTGAAGGTTTCCTTTTTGATACTAAAATGTTCTATTGTTTATAAAGCAATTAAGCTAGCTGGGCATGGTGCCTCATGGCTGTAATCCCAGGACTTTGGGAGGCTGAGGCAGGTGGATCACCTGAGGTCAGAAGTTCAAGACTACCCTGGCCAACATGGTGAAACCCTGCCTCTACTAAAAATACAATAATTAGCTGGGCGTGGTGGCAGGCACCTGTAATCCCAGCTACTCAGGAGGCTGAGGCATGAGAATTGCTTGAACCTGGGAGGCAGAGGTTGCAGTGACCCGAGATCCTGCCATTGCACTCCAGCGTGGGTGACAAGAGTGAAACTCAGTCTCAAAAAAACAGACAAACAACAAATAAACAAACAACAACAAAAACAATTAAGAAAAAAAATAGATCTTTCTAATGTCCTCGGCAATAAAAGAGAGAGAAGAGGCCAGCTTGTTAGTCAGCAAATTCATTTGTTCATTTGTTTTGAATGTCCCAGTAGACGGTATCCAAGCCTGGGAATCACTAACAGAATCTAACTGCTTACTGATCCGACGAGGAAGTCAAAGCCTAGTAGGTGGAGATGCCCAGGCTCACATGCTCCCCACGGGCCTGGCTCTTCCACTCAGCGAGTGTGACGCCCTCTCCCAGTTCTCCTCCTGCCCGGGTCCTTGCCACCTCCTGTGGGTCCTTCTTTGACCTGAAACTCACAGGAGCAGCACTCCCAGCTGGCCGCTGAATGTTCCTGTCCCCAGACCGAAGAGAACAGACCACCTGCCGCCTCATCCGGTCATCTCAGCGCAGGGAGCCGCTCTGCACTGACCACGTGCCTCCTTCCAATCCAACATGGTTTTCAGTGGAAGGTTAAATTATAGGTGCTGCCTTCTTAATGTTATCAAAAGTAACTATAGTCATTTAAAAAGCCAAGAAGTCAAACTTCCACCAATTAGTTAGGTAATTTGTTTCTTTAAGAGCCCCCACCATGAATTACCCATTAAATAAATATCTGATGCATTTACTGTGTCCTGCACCATCAAGCTGAAAGGGCAAATGAATGATAATTACACATAAATATACTCCAGTTCCATAGTACTCATTCCCAGGGTCGGATATAATTTACAAACCCCAGTGAGATTAACTCAGTAACCCTAGGCTCTCACCCATTTTCATGACAGGAAAGCTGAAGAGAATCAACAAGAAATATTTAGGTAGAAAACATGCCTTTTGGACTACTAAGAATCCCCAGTATCTCATTTATTTATTTTGAATCATTAATGCATGCTTACCATGCACCAGGGTTTCAGTTCGCAGCCCAGGGTTTTGACTTCCGATTGCCATTTGTCCTGGGCTATTGGGTTTATAGAGGATGAGGTTGTTCAGGAAAATAACTTGGGAAATGCTTGGTTAGATGCCAACGGCCCTTCTGAACTTCTGTGACATGAGTGTTCACCAAGAGCCATTTTAGGATGTTGTATTAGGCCATTCTTGCGTTGCTATAAAACAACACCGGGGCCAGGCACGGTGGCTCACACCTGTAATCCCAGCACTTTGGGAGGCCGAGGCGGGTGGATCACAAGGTCAAGAGATCGAGACCATCCTGGCCAACATGGTGAAACTGCATCTCTACTAAAAATACAAATATTAGCTGGGCGTGGTGACATGCCTGTAGTCCCAGTTAATTGGGAGGCTGAGGCACGAGAATTGCTTGAACCCAGGGGGCGGAGGTTGCAGTGAGCAGAGATCACGCCACTGCACTCTAGCCTGACAACAGAGCGGGATTCCGGAAAAAAAAAAAAAAAAAAAAAAAAAAACCTGAGACTGAGTGATTTATAAGAAAAGAGGTTTAATTGGCTCACAGTTCTGCAGACTGTACGGGGGCTTCTGCTTCTAGAGCGGCCTCAAGGAGCTCTTATTCATGGCAGAGGGGAAGGGGGAGCAGGCATCTTACATGGCAAATGCAGGAGTGAGAAAGAAGGGGGGAGAGTGCTACACACTCTTAAACAGACAGATCTCACGAGAACTCACTATCGCAAGAACTGCACGGAGAAGGAAATCCACCCCCATGACCCTCACCCCACTAGGCCCACCTCCAACACTGGAGATTACAATTTGACATGACACTTGCGGAAGGAACACAGATTCAAACCACATCAGATGTGGAAAGTTGACAGCGTGTGCCTGTGGTCCCAGCCACTCAGGAGGTTGAGGCAGGAGGATTGCTTGAGCCCAGGAGGTCAAGGCTGTAGTGAGCCATGATCACACAGCTACACTCCAGCCTGGGCAACAAAAAACAAAACAAAACAAAACAAAACAAAACAAAGTGGAAGAAATTCAAGAATATTCCCAAGAACAAAGATCCTAGTAATTTTTTTAACCAAGCTGGAATGTTTCATGAAAATGAAAACCTTTATTCTGCCTAATATCCTATCTTATTAACTTGATAGAAAATGTTTCACTTTTTCAGAAGAAAAAGCCCTTTTCTAAATGAGTCAATGTTTGCATGTTTTCTAATTAATTTAAACCTCAGGGCCCTTCTCTTCTTAGAGGCTGCCTGGGACTTGGGATCCACCAGACGAGCATGGCCCTCATTGTTCCACTGCCTGCCCGTGGTGTGACTTTTTCGGCAAATCACCTCGTGTTTCCAGCCTGTGCTGTCTGATCTGTAGAATGGGGAGCATTGCAGCTGCCCCGCGGGGTTTGTTACGAGGAATGAAGATGGTGAGCTTGAAGCACACAAACCCTCAAGAAATGAGGCCTAAACCTTCCCAATGACACTCATCTCCAGGAGGAGCTCAGGGATTGGTCTCGATGTCCGTGAGTACCAGCCTGCCCGGGCATCGCAGCCGCCATCCACAAACACGAGCACAGCACAGACACACAGCAAATGTGCTTGTGAGTGATCCAAGCCCACACTGCCAATCTCCCACCACTGGATTAGGACATTTAAAGAATTGCTTCTCTTTGGAACTACAGTTTTCTCTTAGAACTCAAATGCAAAGAAAAGCCTCTCAGCATGGGGGTGGCACAGAAAATCTGCAACCCTGATTACTCTACGATGTACAGTTTTATTTCTACTGATGTTCACGTGAGCTTGGGAAACAAGATTTTAGCTTCAGTTCTCAAATAATTAGAAGATGTCAGCCAGGCATGGTGGCTCACGCCTGTAATCCCAACACTTTGGGAGCCCAAGGTGGGTGGATAGCCTGACGTCAGGAGTTTGAGACCAGCCTGGCCAACATGGTGAAACCCCATCTCTACTAAAAGTACAAAGATTAACTGGGTGTGGTGGTGCCTGCCTGTAATCCCAGCTACTCAGGAGGCTGAGGCAGGAGAATCACTTGAACCCCCACTAGGCAGAGGTTGTAGTGAGCTGAGATCGAGCCACCGCACTCCAGCCTGGGTGACAAGAGTGAGACTCCATCTCAAAAAAAAAAAAAAGGAAAAAAGAAGATGTCCTCTCTAGGTGGAAAGGGCAGTGAGCCTGCCTTCTTGCCTTTGTAGCATAGTGAAGAATGGGATGTTCAACTTGTCACTTAATCGCTTCAGGTTGCGGCTTTTAATCTATTAAATAGAGACATTCACAGAACAGTTGCAAAGGATTAATGAGATAATATTTGTAAAGCGATTGGAGATAACATGATGAAAAGCACATATAAATACAGAGTATTACTATTAAGTCTCTAAAGAATAATAAAATGCATAATGACACGTCTGTGGTAATCTATACTTAATTATGTAATTTTCTAATACCCAGAAGGTATGCACAAGCCTAGATGAGTAAATGGCATTGCATGGCATTCATTTCATGAGGTCACTGGCCATTAAAGTTTAATCATGTCCCATTAAAAAATAAAGACTTCTGTTTTCACTCTTTCCCAATACTTACTAATACGTGCGTGTGGTAAGGTATGAAGTCATATCGATTTTTTAAAGAGAGAGAGGTTTCATATCAGGCTTAGCCAACTCTCTCCACCCATTCCCCATAAGCACCTGCCAGGCCATCACAAATGCCAGAGGCGGGGTCCCCGTCTTCCCTGGCTGGTGCTCCGGCTGGGCAGTGAAGACCAGCCTATGTGAAGGATGGTGACGGACAGGCGCTGCACAATGCCCTGTCGGGCTGCAGAGCCCGTCTTTCAGAGCTGGGATCGGGAAGCAGCAGTAGCAGCCTCGTGAGGTCGGGGATTTGATTCCTGTCCTGTGCCCAGAGCCTCAACGCTGGTATGTAGGGAGCGCCCCACAGGCATTTTTGGACACACAGCTGAGTGACTGCATGAATGAGGCCCCGCTGAACCGAGGAACGCTCCCGGAGGAAAGGGCCCTGGGAGCCCCTGCAGGAGGGCTGAGCTGGCCAGGGAGGGCCCCCGTCACCAGGAGCAAGGCCCAGAGGGAGTCAGCGTGGTGCGGCCAGGGAAGAAAACCGGTTTGGCTGCTTCACACAGAGCCAGGGAGACGCTGGTGAATCACAGAGGGAGGCCCACCCAGCGGCCTTGCAAGCCTGGCTGTTCTTAGCTCCAACGCCTCTAAGAGTCCTTTTGCCCAAATTTCAGACCCAAGAAAGAACAAAACTGCATAGATCCGCCATCTCACCATATCTTCTCCTTCCACGGCTTCTGGCCACCGCAGTGCACACAGATACCAGGTGTCGGGCCTAGAAAACAACAAGTGCTTCCAAATGGAGCCCATGGGGCCTGCAGGACCCCCAATGGCAGCCGCAGCGACCACGGGCGGACCCACCGTGAGACAAACAGCCCCAGCCAGCAAAACAACCAGAGGAGGCCTCCCTGGGCACTGCAATGATCACAGGCTTTCTGGGTTTCTCAGGAGGACCACTGGGTGCAGCTGAGGGTACCCGACGTCCCGTAGCTAGCCAGTGAATTCAACAGGTGGTGAGCCCGACCGTCTGGAGTCAGACTCTGAGTCTGACCCTCACCCACCGGGGACCTGGGACAAATCATGAAATGGGTGAGGCCTCTAAAGCACCAGCTTCATCTACCCAATGGCCTCCTGCAATGCCCAGGCCATGCATATGGAAACTCAAAGCTGCCCCAGGTGGCACTGGCCACAAGGATTAAGGGGCGGTGGACAGAGCACACACAGGGCAGGCAGCATTTGGGTGCACAGCTTTGTACAAATCACTCAACTGCTCCAAGCCTCAGTTTTTCCACGCATGAGATGAGATTGTTGGATGAGTTTAGTGGCTCCCCAAGTCGCAGTCCGTGAACCAACTGCATCACAATTGCCCGGGACTCCCATTTCTAATGCTGATGGCCAGGCCCCACTTCAGACTGGCAGGGCCCAGAATCAGCAGCTGGAATGCTGTTCCCAGTTCCTGGTGATGGATGCACAGGCAGCTGGGTTTGGAAACCAACGGGCCATGTCCCTCCCTGCTCTGAGCCCAGGGTCTCATACACCATAGCAGGTGCAGCTGAGGTGTAGAGCTCAGTGAGGGGTGGCTACAGGCAGGTACCCACCAACCTAAAAGCTGCAGCTGGCTCAGTGGGTCCCCACCAACCTAAAAGCTGCCCCTTGCAGGGCTATCTGTTGGCTTCTTCCTTGACACAATGGGCTGTTGGTACCATCCATGCTGTTCATGCCACGCTGCACAAAGGGTCCCTCAGGGGCCGCAAGTCCAAGCTGCTCTGGGGCCACTACGGCCTCAGATCCCGGGAAGAAGCGTGGGGTCTGCCCCCACCCAGCATCAGCTCCTTCTGTGCACCACTATCCGCTTCGATTTGTGCTCTGGAAGGAAGTCCAGCAACTGGAGTTAGGCCTGGTCTTTTCTCGGAGAACAGATGCCCCTCCTCCCAGCCCCCTCAGCTTCCCCCTACCCCCGCCCCGCCAAAGCTCTACTCATCCTTCTTTCCAGACCTCGTTGTTGATGCCCTACTCTATGCAAGGCCCGGGCAGGCACGGGGGCAGACACCAAAGCTCCATGAAGCTAAGTGAGCTGCATCTCCACATATCCTGGTTTCTAAAACGCTGATGTGATTGAAGCAGGTAAATTTACACGCTTGGCTCTCCTAAAGAATGCAGTAGAGCTCCTGGAGCTTCCCAGGTGGAGGGGGCACCTGCTGATATGACCAGGGCATCTTTCGACCATGAGGGCATCCTACGTGGTATGACCTGGTGATGGGGGGCACCTGGTGATATGACCCAGGCATCTTTTGACCATGAAGGCATCCTATGTGAACAATGCCCCTGGGGAGGGTGGCTTCTCCACCTGCACTGGAGCAGGACCACACTGGGCCATCAGGGCACCGGGTCCCCCCCAGCAGCCCTAGCCCACACCGCGACTCCCCTGGCTGAACCCCGATGGCCACACGTCTCTGTGGCCCCTCAGTCCTGAACAAGCAAAGCATCCCTCAGCCCCGCCTGGGCATTTGTCTTCTCTCAGGCAGGTGGAGCGTGCCGCGGACAGCATAGTGCAGCCTTCACAAGATGAAGCACAATTTTGAAGAGAAAGGGAAACTAGGTCTGGACGACACCCTACCAGGAAATTTTTCTCTCAAGGGTCTCAGATCCTCAGACAAAAATAAGCAGCATGAGATCAAAGTTAGGGGAGTTCTTCCACCCCCACCTCAGGCCTGGATTCAGGATGTTTTGTTACATTCAGGTTCATTTTTATTGCAACGCATCCCTGGAAAGTCATCACCAAATAAAGAATGACACAGACCCCACACCCATGGATGGAGCAGGACGGCAGGGGGAGGCCTGAGCAACGCTTCTGGGACTGTCTCAGGTTCCAGGAATCCTTTTCCGGGGGGTTTTCACCAAAGCCCTGAGGCCCACCCCTGCTGCCGCCTCCTGGCTGGGAGCTGCTGCCCCCTCTAAGGTGATACCCCAGTCTGCAGGGGCGAGACCTGCTCTCCCAGCCTCTCCTGCCCCGAGCCTGCACCCAGGCCCTCAGGCTGCTATGTGGGGCTGGCCACTGGGGACACAGGCAGGACCCTGGGGGTGGGGAGGCCACGATCACAGCGGCCCTGTGGCGGTGGCTGCAGCCTCAGCAGCACAGCCCCACATCCATCGCTGCCCTCGCCAGGCCCTATGACCCCGTCCTTGCCAGGCCCTATGACCCTGATAACCCCATCCAGACTTGGCTCCTGCCCTCCACCCTGCTGCTCCCACATCCCACAGGGGCTTGGAGGGTCCCATGCTGGCCTCTGCAGGGCCCCCCACCCTAAACTCTTAGCCCTGAGTGACACTCCATCTCCCGCGGGACCCTGCCCAAGGCAGTCAGTGGTCACTGGCGCCTTTGACTCCCTCCCACAAAGTTTTCCTGGAACACGCCAAGCCGTGGTGACCTTTCTCCTCTAAAGCCTCGTGTGTTTATCTTGGAACTCAGAGCCACCGCGTGCTGCTGTCTGGTGCATGACTGTACACCCCGGGGCCCAGTGATCTCACCAGCTCCTCTGAGATCACGTTTGCATCCTCAATGCATAGTTCAGTATCCGGCGTGGCCAGTGCTACACACACACACACACACACACACACGCACACACACATGCACCAAAAAAAACACACAATGCACACACAAACACACACCACACACACAATGCATGCAGAAACACACACACTACACACAATGCACACTCAAACACACATGCACACATGCCACACACCATGCACACACAAACACACACACAAACACACTACAAACACATGCAAAATGCACACACAAACACACCACACACAGACACACACAAAATACACACACAGACACACACACAAAATGCACACACAAACACACAAAATGCACACACGCACAAAATGCACACACAAACACACCACACACATGCAAACCATACACACAAAATGCACACAAAAATGCACCACACATATATCCACACACCACTCACAAAAATGTACAAACACACCACACACATATACACACATGCACACAAAATACACACACACAAACACACCACCCAAAAACATACCACACGCATATATTCACACGCATCACACATACATATACACACACAAACCACACACATATACATACAACACAGGTGCACAAAATGCGCACACAACACACCACACACACATATACAAACACAGATATAAGCTCCACACACACAGTTACACACACACACAAACACACGTGCTGGTCATATTTATTTAGTTCCGGAGTGGTTCTAAAAGATGTCCACAAACAATTCTCCATTGAGGAGGGGAAGCTTAGACCCTCCCGTTGAGCGTAGGCATGACTTAATGACTCCCCCTCTAACCGACAGATGTGATGGAAGTCATCCTGGGCCACTTCCAAAACCAGGTCACAAAAGCACTGTAGCTTTCTCCTCACCCTCTCCAATCCCTCGCTCTGGGGAAGCCAGCTGCCTTATCAAGGGCACCAGGCAGCCTGTCGTGGGTGCCTGCAGGGAGGAGCTGAGGCTTCCCCCCAGTAGTCCTGAGAGTGAGACTCGGAAGTGGGCCTTCTGGCCTCGGTCAAGCCTTCGGGTGAGCATGGCCCTGGTCAGAGTTCTTGACTGCGGTCTCCTGAGACCCAGAACAAAACTACCAGCTAAGCTGTTTCCAAATTCCTGACTCAGAGAAATAGTGTGAGGTGTTAAACATTTGTTGTTTTAAGCTGCTGGGTTTTGAGTTAATCTGCTACACAGAAATTGATCACAATTACAGGCTCTGACACATCAAAGCTATACAGCAAATCCATATTTTCTCTGATAACTGGAAATAGAAAAAAAGAAATAACCTCTGGTTGCAAAATCAGTTGCCTCCTGGAGCACCTCTCCCCACTGGTGCCATTGTTGTGTATGAGGGATGCTTTTTAGAGCAAAAGTTGAGATCTGCCTGCCTACCTGCCACTACCCATGTGCTGGCAGGGGCCAGGAGAAAGTGATGTGGCCCAAATTAGGAAAACTGGGGATATGAACAGAGAGGAAGAGAAAAGGAGAAGAGGCTGTCTGCCTGGGGCCATGGAGAGTGGCCCCTCTGCACCTCCTGCTTCTACCTCTCTACTACACAGAGATCTGCCCTCGAATAAGTGAGGAATCTGTGTCTTCGCCAAAGGCTGCAGCCACAAGCACCTTCCACCAAGCCCTCACCAAACACACAGTCGAGATAAGTGTTCACGACGGATCACTGAAGGCTCGTCACTTGGTCACCTTCCAGATCAGGGCGAGCAAATGCTTTCTGTAAACAATCAGAGAATAAATACTTCCAGCTTTGCAGGCTATGTGGCCTGGGCCTCAAACTACTCAACACTTGGAGATATTGCAAAGCAATAGTGAGGTGGCAAGTGGTATCACTGGTAAAGACAGAAGCAAAGGCACAGAAGACCATGGAGACAGAAGTGTCTCCCCTGAGCTGAGCCTCAAAGGCTGCAAGGAACCAGGCAGATGGAGGGGATGGTGAGAGAGGGGAAAGGACACTAGGAAGGTGGAGGTGAGAGCAGTGGCATCAACAGAGGATGGCGTTGAGGGTCCCCCAGAGTGCTGAGGAGAGGGGCCCGTTGGAACCGGAGGTCCCACAGAGGAGCAGTGGACACCAGGGTTCTGGAGCTTGGAGGACATCGGCTACTGTGGGCCAGAGAGGGCAGGAGGAAGTGTGGAGTTAGCTCTTAAGAAAATGAGGGATCTACTGAAGGTTTAAATGGAGGGGCGCAATGTTCAAATCTGCATTGGATTGAGAAGAGATGAAAGGCACCTTGGCGGTCAGCAGAGAGTGGGATGAGCTATCAACAGAGGATACTGCTGAAGGCTTTCCATGAGCCCTAAGAAAATGGAGTAGGTGACCATGGGTCAGAACTTCCTGTGGAGCTCCCAGGCAAGCTTTGCAGATATTAATGTCCAGAAGGCCACCGATCTCTGCCAGAAATGCCACAGCCTTGCATTCAAGGTCCCCAACCTCCATCTTCCAGGTGAAGGTGGCATGCTTATAAGAAGACTGGTGATCTTGGCGTGCCATCCCACTTAATCTTCACAACCACTAGGCTAAGTGAGCATCACTATCCCCACCAGATCTGTAGGTAATGGTGGGAGGACATGGCCAGGATCACACACCTCCCATTGGACAGCGTCTTCTTTCCATCTTTCATTGGATGAACATTTGCTAAGCCTCTTAGGCCAGCCAGGCAGTGGGCTGGGCACCAGGCACTCCTCAATGAGCACAGTCCCTCCCCAAGGTCAGCCCCATTATTGTGGGAGAAATCAATTGAATAAATAAGCAGATGGTGGTGGCAGCCATGGAGGAAGAGCAGGGAGAGCAGACGGGATGGAGTGGCGGCTCTGAGAAAAGACTGCAGGTAAGTGAAGGAACAGCCACGTGAAGGTGTCTGGGGAAGAACATTCCAAGCAGATGAGCCAGCCAGCCAACCCTACCTACATGTTCAAGGGAGAGAAAGAACATCTGCATGGCTGGAGAAGGGTGGGACGGTGGGGAGAGGGTAGTGAAAAGTGGTGTCAGAGCAACAAGCCAATGGGACCCTGTATCAGTCAGCTCAGGCCACCATGACAAGCCCTGAGGATGGGAGGGACGGGCAGTGAGGCTTAAACAACAGAAGCTTATGTCTCCCAAATCTGGAAGCTGGACCTCTAAGACCGAGGTACCAGCAGGGCTCCCTTTTCCTGAGCCCTCTCTCCGAGGGTCTTCACATGGTCGTCCCTCTGTGTGTCTGTGTCCTCATCTCTTCTTCTTATGAGGATACCAGGCAGGTTGAATTAGAACCAAACCTACTGACTTCGGTATGACTTAATGACCTCGTTAAAGACGCCATCTCTAAATACAGTCACATTCTAAGGCACTGGGAGTGTAGGACTTCAACTTATGAATTTGGAAGAGACACAGTTCAGCCCATCATGGATTTATAAGCCATCACAAGCCTCTTACCAGAAATGAGGCACCCACAGATCACTTTCCCTCATCGAGTTTCAAATCATGCTCCTCGCACTTCCATAGAGGGAATGATGTCTGCTTGGCAGAGCCATTATCCCAGAAACCAGCTGCTACCAGGAACAGCCAAGAGCAGGACCAGGGGAGTGCTGGGAACACAAAACCCTTTACCAGGTAAGATGCCTCATGCGAACAATTTCAGTGGTTCGGTGCTGGAGGCTGGGACACGCAGAATCCTCTGCACCATGGGGCAGGTGCATCTCTTCTTCATTGCTGTTTCCTGGTGTGTGACACAGTCGGGGCTCCAACATCTGCTGCATAAATTGCACCTCTTACACACACACACACACACACACACACACACAGAGGAGCTTCGCCTTAGGAGCCAGAGGCAGACCCCTTCACAGACCTTCCTTTTGAACAATGAGATCTACAACATCAGTGAATATGCTAGTGATGCTCATTATAAAAGAGCAAGTGCTAGTCATCAGCAATTCATTAATAGCTGACCTGCAATGGGTGACAACTCGTTGGGGTCTTTCGTACTGTTTAGAAACTCCAGCCTGTTGAGGCAGAATGTAAGTTCAGAAGCCCCAGGGGCCCTGGCTGATGATGGCGGCCTCCTCACACTTCACTTTCACGAACAGAAAGTGACGCATGCTTCCTCCAGCATAACCTGCTCCAAGATCCCACTTGGTAAGATTCCAGAAGCAGATGTGGTTCCCCATTTAAACTACTAGTTATTAATATACACTATGAGGCACAACTGACCAAAATTTTGGATGAATCTCTGTTTGGGGAAACTAGATGTTTTGGTTACTTGGAAGAGCCAGCAAAAATAATCTACTTCAATTAGCACAGTGGGTTTACAGATTACAGTCAGCTGCATGTGGTCACAACAGACCGCTCAATACATTTGGGGCCAAACGCACCAGAAGCTCACTTCTTGTTCAAGCAGGAGTGCAAGGAGGGCAGTTCCTGCTGCAGGAGGTGGCGACTTTGGGACCTGGGTGAATCCCATCGTCTGCCCTATGTGGTGGACTCACTCGTGCTTCCAGTGCAAGAAAGGAGGAAGAGTGTGCAGAGGCCCAGTGCTTCTTAAGGACTTAGTCCCCAAAGCAAAACATGTTCACTCTGCCCATTTTCCATGATGCAGCCATGTCTAACCATAAAGGACCTGGGACGTGTGGCCCAGCAGTGTGCCGGGGAGAGGGGTCCATGTGTGAGTAACCAGCTCCATGTGGCCCAGCGGTGTGCCGGGGAGAGGGGTCAATCCGTGAGTGACCAGCTCCGTGTAATCCAGCAGTGTGCTGGGGAGAGGGGTCCATGTGTGAGTAACCAACTCCATGTGGCCCAGCAGTATGCCGGGGAGAGGGGTCAATCCATGAGTGACCAGCTCCGTATGACCCAGCAGTATGCCGGGGAGAGGGGGCAATCCGTGAGTGACCAGCTCCTTGTGACCCAGCAGTGTGCTGGGGAGAGGGGATCAGTGTGTAAGTGACCAGCTCACGCCCCTGCACGCGAAGCTCCCTTGGCAATGTGGTTTCTCTCTGGCCTCCACCTGAAGGGCCCAGAAGGGAAGCGGTCTGTTGAACGTGAGTCATTATTGTCAACGTTCCCCCAGCTCAGGACAGGAGGCAGATGCAAAGGTGGAGGGATCGAACCTGCCTCTGTGCTGGCTCTGGGGAAGCCCCTCTCACTCACGTCATTCTGGACTGGATGGGAATCCGCATGCCCATGGAGCCCCCGCTCCAGGCCCTGCCCATGCGTGACCAAGGCAGAAGCACCCCTCAAACCACGGCATCCCCATTGTGGACCAGCCCTGCCCTCACAGGCGCCTGCCCCAGTCAGACAGTGCGGACCCCACATGTGGGCTGCAGGGCGCCCTGCAAGTGTTGGGGCTCCCACCCTTTCAAGCATCACATGGGGAATCTACTCAGCTCTGGAAAACAAACTTCTGAAAGACTTTGGTGCCCTTTTTGTAAGACGTCCTTCTCTTGCAATTCACATGGAGCTAAGTCCCCCGCAAATATAAAAGCCCTGCTCAGGTGCCCCAGAGCCCTGTGAACATGGGCACCATGGAAATAGGCCACTTTCTCTACCCTCTCTCCCAGACTCCTTTGCCCTCTTCCAATCCCCTTTCAAAGACGACAGTTACATAAGTGGATTCCTTCTAGCAAATAACAGCTGGTGATGTGCTGGCAAGGAACGTCCAGAAATAAAATTTCAGCCGAAAAGAATGCTGAGAAGTTCCAGCTGATGAGCTGGGAAAGGAAATGTTTGGGGTAAGAGAGACTGCCGATGTCGCTGGCCCTGCTTCTTCTCCCCGCGAGGGCACCTCAGTGACTCTCCTCTGTCTCAGGCTGGGACCTGGCATCTCCTGCTCCTCCCCATCCCTCCCCATCAGATGCTAAGAGCTGGGGCTTGTTGAGCCCTGTCCCTGTGCCAGGCATAATGTTCAGTATTTTGTACTCATGAGCTCATTTAATTCCTCACAATGACCGTGTAAGCAAGGTGTGCCCATCTACAACTAAGAAGAGTGAAGCACAAATAAATTTAGGAGCCTACCCAAGGGGAACAGGAAGTGCCACCTCGGTGCTTGAACCCAGGTAACTTGGCTACAGGGCTCACAGCCAGTGAGCCCAATCCTGTACTGCTAGTCTGTGTCCTGTCAGTTCCCCAAATAGTAACTCACAGCTGAGCCTTCCTTTCTAGCCTCCCCTCTCCACTCATGGACTGTCATGAAGATCTCAAGACTGAGGGTTCTGTCTCCAGCCTCCATCCACTGTCATCCATAGACCATGTCCTTGAGAATTGTCCAGCCACTGGAAAGATTTGAATAAGCACTCATGTAATTATCAGCGCAGAATGTGGAAAGTCATAAAGAAAGCTGGTCCAAACCAAGCCCGATCCAAACCGAGCCCAGTCCACATGCTCATCATACACAGTAGTTATGCCATAAACAGAAAATCAGCAGCTGAACCTCAGTGCCTAGGAGAAATACAAGGCTAGGTTCCTACAGGCCTCTGGTCACATTCTCATCAGCAATCAGTACATGACCTTGTTTCATCTGTGTTTTTGTTTAGAGATGCCTTGTTTAATATATACTATTAATTATATTATATATACTATTGGTAACACTCATAGCCAGTAGCACCAGAACACAGCCTGCTTGAAGCTTCTCTGAGACACATATTTTCTCTTAAGGCGCATCATTGCCTTCCTGCATTGGGAACACAGCACATCAGCACTGAGCTTGTGGGCCACTCTAAACAGCAAAAGCACCAACAAAAAGCATTAAAATGTGGAAAAAGTAGCACTAAATAGACCTTAAAACAACACATTTGTTTACAGCGTGGGTGCGAGAAGGCAGGCAGAGCTTTGTTCCACCTGAGCTGGGAGCTCAAATCTCTCACCCCTCTGCAAGTCTGCAGATGACTGTGAGAGTGCTGCCAGGGTTGATTTGGGGGTTAGAGATGGATTTTCAAAAGTAGGTGAATTCACAACTGTGGAATCCATGAATGATAGGGATCGACAGTGCTTTGTTCTAAACAGGACAGTGGGGGAAAGTAAGGACTCACAATGGGGATTAAAGGTAGAAGGAGGACGTGGTGCTGGAGCAGGAAGGGGGTGCTGGTGCAGGAAGACATGGTGCTTGTGCAGGAGGACATGGTGCTGGTGCAGGAGGGCATGGTGCTGGAGCAGGAGGACGTGATGCTGGTGCAGGAGGGCGTGGTGCTGGAGCAGGAGGGTGTGGTGCTGGTGTAGGAGGAGGTGGTGCTGTAGCAAGAGGGCATGGTGCTGGTGGCAGGTTAAGCACACTCAGAGCTTCTGCTGGGAGAGTGTATGGAGCACATGGAGACACCCTGAGGCAAAACCACCCACCTCCCAAAGCCTGCACTCCCGTGGCTTAGCCTGAGTATTCCCAGCATGGTCCACACCTGCCACTCCTGCCTCCACGCTTGTTCTTGGCTCCTCCACTCCAATCCCAGTTTCCTCTGCCTCCCTCCCATGCTTCACTGCCCATCTCAGAGCTCAGCCCCGGCCTCCCTGTGGTGATCCAGGCCCTGCTCAGAGCTGGGCTGGAAGCTTCACAGGTCATCGCCCCAGCCCTCCTGCCAGGCCACACCCAAACTACCCCTGATTTAAGGGGCTGCGGCATGTCAGGTGGCAGACATGTGAGAAATTAGCCACTGCCCCCCTCCCTTGAAGCACAACTCCCTTCCACCACACACGTCCCCCTGTACTGGAAAGCTCCATGGTGGAGAATTAACTACTTCATAACACACCCCTTCTACTTCCATGTCTTTTAGGATTGCTTTAGTCAGTCCAGGCTATCACAAAATGCCTAGACTGAGTGGCTCGTAGACAACAGGAACTCATTTTTCACAGTTCTGCAGCCTGAGAAGTCCAAGATCAAGGTGTTGGCAGTTCAGTGTGGTGAGGGCCACATCCTTCTCCCTATAACCCTATGCCCTGGAAGAGAGGCAAAGCCTCTCTGAAGTCTCTTTCATTAGGGCACTGACAAGGTTTGGCTGTGTCCTCACCCAAGTCTCATCTTGAATTGTAGCTCCCATAATTCCCAGATGTCGTGGGAGGGACCCGGTGGGGGGGTAATTGAATCATGGGGGCGGTCTTTCCTGTGCTCTTCTCCTGGTAGTGAATAAGTCTCACAAGATCTGATGGTTTTACAAAGGCAGTTCTCCTGCACACACTCTCTTGCCTGCCACCATGGAAAAAGTGCCTTTGCTTCTCCTTTGCCTTCCACCATGATTGTGAGGCCTCCCCAGCCATGTGGAACTGTGAGTCCATTAAACCTCTTTCCTTTAGAAATTACCCAGTCTTGGGTATGTATTTATTAGGAGCCTAAGAACAGACTAATATAGGAACTAATCCTATTCATGAGGCTTCTCCCTCATGACCCAATCACCTCCCAGAGGTCGCACCTCCTAACACCATCCCATCAGGTGTTGGGATTTTAACACAGAATTATGGGTGGGGGGTGCAACATTTGGTTCGCCCCCCCATAATAGCATTGATATTTAAGGAAGAAAGAGAATCAATTTCCCTGTAACTTCCACCCATCGATCCTAATGGCTGTCTCAATGGACACCAAGAAATGGGATTTGGGAACAGCCACCACGTTCCTTCATGGCTCTCACACCTCCCACCACACAGAGCACTTCTGCATCCTCCCTACCTCCCCTGCTCTGGTTTTGAGTCCAGACCTTTAACCATTCTTGCCATGTTTCTCTGCTAGACCCAGAACAGAATCACAACAAATCGAGTGTGGTCAGCACAAAACAGAAACGTGGCCTCTGCCGGTCTGGGTCCAAGTCTTCCTGCTTCCCCAGCATGTGCTCAGGAAGCCGAAGTCAGGACCCGTGCTCAGCACCTTACATTCATTCCCGTAAAATTTGGTCCTCATCATGGAGTGAAGTCCCAGAGGAAGCATCACCTAAATAATCAGCTGGACCCAGGCAGGCAGAGGAGGAGGAGCAAGGACTCAGGCTGGGGCAGACGGGCGGGCAAAAGCTCAGCAGTGGGAAGATTCAGGAATCGCAGAGTCCGACTGGAACATTAGGAACATTCCCTACTGTTCCTTGTGGCACATTAGGAAACTCCTAAAGAGCTTTTCTCCATAAAGAAAAGATGGAAGAGAAATAAATAAGTAGCAAGCCTTGAGCGTGAGCCCAGTGACCTGGGATCATGAGCATCATCAATGTCTCTTGGCAGATGGTCCAGAACTCCTAAGCTCCACAGCCGATAACGTCCTTACTTTGGGTTTACTCCATAAAAATGAGTGGGATCTCGGCTAATTCTTGGAGCAGCTCCTGGACAGAATGACTTGAGTGAGCCACTTCAGGTGTCAGCCCCAAGTGCTAACAGAACAGGCTCAGTGTCTCTGCACCCACCAAGAGGCAATGCACTATCTGACCCTGAAGGCCCACAGAATGGCCTTCTGCGAGAAGCCCAGACAGGAACACAGCAGACGCGAGGCCTCGGGACAGGGAGCACTGCTGCGACACCTGCGCTCCAGCCCCACATGCACCGAGTTTAAGAGGTGCTGTGCTCTGTTAATGCCCTCCCCTTCTGAATGTGCTCTTGTCCATTCCACATTCCACCCCATAACCTGGAAAGAGATCTTGGATTAATATGATTGTTAAACTGAGGCCCACAGAGCTGGAGCAGCTGCCCGATATCACCCAGCTAATGAGTGATGCTTGGGGCTGCAATACTTTGGATGTGGCTTGCTCGTCCCACCCCAGCGTGGGGTGTGGAGAGGTGGGCCAGTAGGAGGGGTTTGGTTGTGGAGGCAGCTTCCTCCCAAATGGTTTAGTGCAGTTCTCCCATAGTGCCTGAGGTCCCCCTCTCTAGAGACGATTCATTCTGGCCGACTTACATTCATTTGTTAAAAAGCCAGGACAGCCCTTGAGTTTCCCCTCACTGAAGGCATCTTGTTCCCCTTTGTCCTTCCCCACCATGTTATGAGGAAGCACAAGAGGTCTCCCCAGAAGCCTGGGCCATGCCCTTGAACTTCTCAGACTGGAGAACCGTGAGCAAAATATACCTTTTTTCTTTATAAATTACCCAGTCTGAGGTATTATTTTATAGCAAGCACAGAGTGGACTGAGACAGGGGCTAAGCATAAGGCCCCCAGAGCCTGGCCTGGCCCCCTGTGTGCAATGCCAGCTGACCAGGTGGCCCCATCGGCCAAGCTAACAGCATAGAGCCCAGCGCTTTCTCCCACTCAAAATGTGATCCTTTTTGGCATCTCTGAGCCTCACACACACCCTGAAAAGCAGCCTGGGCAGGAGTGTTTTTCTCATTGGACAACTGAGGAAACTGAGGTCAAGGGAAGGTGAGTGACATTCCCAAGATCACACAGCAAGTCGTGTCAGACCCAAGAGTAGCCCCAGGTCCCTCTGTGGCAGCCCAAGGAGCCAGCATGGCCTCCTGTTCCAACGCCAGACCACCTTATCCTCCCACCCTCTGCATTCGGCCTCTGCTGTCACATGGGATTGGGGGTCCAATCACTCAGCCGTGGCCAGGTAAACCGCGATGCAGCTGAGAGGGTGGCCAGGCTGACAAGCACAGTTACAAAAAGGCCCCTTCACCATCAGTCCTCCCCGCTGACTCGCCACACTGCCCTCCTACCCAGGGACCCTGCCTCGGGGCTGGAGTAATCTGGGGCTCCTGGATTCATCTTGAACAAGGCAGTCTAGGCTGGAAACAAAGGCCAGGCCAATGCCAGATTCCTGAACGTGGGAGGGAGACAGAAGCAGAGGAGGTTAGAAAAGAGGGGAAGGAAATGAGGAGAGGAGAACTGAGGGCAGGGAGGAGAGGGGGATTCATGAGGGTGTGGTGGGAAGGATGCCTGCACTCACTGCCAGGGTCAGAGGCTCCAGAGGGCTGGGCGGAGCACGCATGTGAGGCTGGGCTCAAAGAAGGGGCTTCACCAGGTACCCAGCAGGCCACTGAAGACCTGGAGACGAAGCAGGAAGTCTGAACAAAAAGCTTTATCTCTTTCCCCCACCCCTCCCCCTTCTCCCTACCTCTCCCTCCCCTTCCTTCCCACCTTCCTTCCTCTCCCCCTACCTCTCCACCTCCCCTCTCCTTTTCTCTACCTCCCTCCTCCCTCTCCCTCTCTCTCTAAAACACTTTAGCTCAAGGTAAACAGAACAAGTGAACACCTTAGGTGAACTGTTCAGATGAGAGCAAGGAGTTAATTTTTCAAAATCCAGGAGCTGCAAAGCAGAGGGGAGGAAATATGCTCTCAGAACACACCACACACTTCAAGGTCAAAGTCAGCAATGGTCATTAAAAAAAGTATTAATCTTGGTGCTGCTGCTTGACATCTTGTGGCATATTAGGAAACTTCTAAAGAGCTATAATTGTACAATCCAATACTGCAAGAACAGGGCAAGAGCAAACTTCGGTTCCTGAATCCGCCCCATGCCAAATCCGGATATTTTTATAACTGACCAAATCCTGGGGCTGGTGGGAGGGTTCGTGATTCATGTCTCCAGACCCGAGGGCACTGAGTGAGGCCCCCCTGCCCCAGGATGGACCCTACAGAAAGAGGTGCCAGCAGAGTCCAGCACACACACGTCAGGACACTCCAGACCAAAGCATGGACGGTGACCTGTGGGTGGCAGGAATAGGGCTGGGATGTCACCCTCCCTGCAGAGAGCCATATCCCAACACGGCTCTTCAAGATCTGGAGCAGAAAGTGCTTGAGGTTGGTCCCCTGGCAGGAGGTGAAGAACCTGCAATCCGCCCACAGACAGACCTGGCTCCAGCCCAGCTTTGTCATTGTTTTTATTTCATTGTTATTACTGTTACCTTAGCCTTAGTTTCCCCCTCTGTAGAACAGAGGTAAACACACCTACTCCCAGTGTTATGAGAAAGAAGCGGCCCACAAGTGTCCAGCCTGCTGTCTGGCACTGATCACGTGCTCGGTGGATCAGAGCTCCTGTGGATAATCCTCCTGGGATCATTTTCCCTACAGGGCCGCTCACCTGGACCCATCCTCAACACGCATTGTCACTGGCATTTTGGATCTCCAGGCAGCATGATGGCTTGCCCCCCACCTCTTACCACATCTTCGGCCATTCACTGTCCCTGTGTCCACCCACACAGCGTGCCCATTGCTCCAACAGTGCATCCCACAGCCTGTGCTCTATGGGTCCTCGGGCCCTAGACACACAAAACATCTTACCTAAGCACAAAATATCTTCTAATTCAAGCCCCAGCCACCATTCTCTTCCCTTAGTCTTACCCATGGTCTTCCTTTCTTGGACTGATGACTTCTGTCTTCCTTGGACTTGGAGAATGACTCAGCCTTGCCTCCACCTCGAAGCCTTTCCCAGGCCCCACTGCTTCATCCTTCCCTGGGATCCCAGGGAGAACCAGAGTCCAGGGTGCAAGGAGCGACTGCTTCCCTTAAGACATGCACCATTGCTGCCCGGATCACCGTGCCATCTGCCACCAGCAGGTCCAGACTCCAGGCATCATCCACAACCACTCCTCCACCCACCTGATAAAGCTGTCTCTAAAACACACCCGTATCTTGTCCCCTCCCCCACAGCCAGCCCCAGGACAATGTCCAAAGACTCAGTGTGGCATCTGAGGCTGACCCAGGAGGACCATCACCCATCACCCATGGGCTCAGTGTCCCGCTGTTCCAGACCACACACCACATCCTCACGCACTGTTTTTGTGCCTCCACCTTCTGGCTCAGGCAAACCTCTTTTCTGCATCCCGTTTCCTGCCTGGCTGCCCCTTAGGGTCGCTCGCCTGGACCCATCCTCAACACCCATCCCTTTTGCCTGCCTGTACTGGAGATGTCTTGATATAACTGCTTACTCTCTCACCTGCCAGGGCAGCTAAAGGTGGCCTGGTGGCACCATTCCAACAATGAGACTGAAATAGAAGTCTGCGGGTGTGCCCCCTCCCCTTCCTCTCTTTAATATAAGTTGATCCTGGAACTGTGGCAGCCATCCTGTGACAATGAGGAGATGAAAAAGAGAAAGTCCAAGCAAACCCCAGAGACATGGGTCCCAGCATCCTGAAACCTCTGAGCCAACATCGAAAGTCAGCGCCTCCAAGCTTCTTAAGGGAAGAGAAACCTCCCTTTCTACCTGGCACACCTGCTAGGCTTAGGTCAAACGCTCTTCTTTCTAAGCACTTTCTGAGTCTTCCAGCCCCATCTGTAACACAGTGTATTGTTCCATCCTCATCAGTCCTATACACGTGGCATTTCGCTGTTCACTGTATGACGCTGGGCTATTTGACCTGACTGTCCTCCAATCAGATTCCAAGCACTGCTGTGTACCTAGAACCAGGGTGGGTGCTGGGTCAACAGTGAGGAACAAAACCTATGTGGTCCCTTCTCTCAAGAAGCTGAATTCCAGAGGGGGGCTGCTGACACTTTGCAAGCACAAGTGATGGCAGAATAAGAGGCCCTCCAGTGATGTCTGCATCCTGAAATCTGTGAATATTCGGGGTGACAGGACAAAGGAGACCAAGGTTTCAGGTAGAATTAGGGCTGTAATCAGACAATCTTGAGATGGGAGATTGTTCTAGTTTATCTGGGTGGATCCAACGTCCAATGTCACAGGGGTGGCATTATAAGCCAGAGGGGGATGCAGAAGAGTGAGTCGGTGTCAGAAAGGTATTGCAAGAGGCCAGGCTGCTGTCTTTGAAGAGGAGGAAGGGCTATGAGGTGCAGAATGTAGGCGGTCTCAAGGAGTGAGGGCAAGAAGGCCACGAAACAGATCATCTCCCAGGGGCTCCTGGAGGAGTGTGGCCTTTGCAATGCCCACATTTTAGTGTATGCAGGATTTATAATTATGGAATGGTGAGATCACATAGTTGCATTGTTTTAGGACACTAAATTTGTGGGAATTTATTATAGCGGCAATAAGACACCAATGCACCCACAGATCATGTCTAATGATAAGTGGACTTGGTGCAGGTGGACCTGCTGGGTCTCAGTGTCACCTTCCCTACTGCACTTAGCTTCTTTGTCAAATAGGGGGATGATATGGTTTGGCTGTGTCCCCACCCGAAACTCATCTTGAATTTTAATCCCCATAATCCCCACCTTGGATGGAGGGTCCTGGTGGGAGGTGATTGGATCACGGGGGCGGTTTCTCCCATGCTGTTCTTGTGACAGTGAGTGAGTCTCACAAGATCAAGATGGTTTTATAAGTGTTTGAAAGTTCCTCCTTCACACGCTCACACTCTCCTGCCACCTTGTGAAGAAGGACATGTTTGCTTCCCCTTCCACCATGATTGTAAGTTCCCTGAGGCCTCCCCAGCCATGAGGAACTGTGAGTCAATTAAATCTCTTTCCTTTATAAATTACCCAGTCCCCAGTATTTCTTTAGAGCAGTGCAAGAACAGACTAATACAAGGTAATAATAACAGACTTGCAAGATTGCTGTGAGGACTCAATTATATCTCTGAATCATAATGCTCTTAGGATAGTACGTAAAACACAATAAGTCCAAAAAAGGGTGGATAACACTTCTGGTATTAGTAGCATTCGTGTTGTTTTCATTAATGTATGTAAATAATGTCTCCCTATCTTTATTGATTGGAGTACTGTCCAAGCTTCTATAGCAAAATTATCCCAAATACCATGGTTTAAACAAGATTGGACTTTGTTTTTTCTTGTGTAACGGTTCAGACGTAGGTGACTGGGGACCCTAAGGATAGCTGTGCCAACCTCAACATAGACCTTCCATTCTGGGCCAAAGGTGGCTAATTCAGCCAAAAACCCGGTGGTGGCAGGTAAAAGCAAGGAAAGTGCACAGCCATTCCTTGTAAGAACACAACCCAGAACAGACACACACCACACCCCATGGGCCAGGACGTGGCGGTGGAGATGTGCCCAGCTGCAAGGGGAGCTACAGACGCTGCTGTGACAGCAAAGCAGCAGAGGAAGCAGGGAGCAGCTGTGTTCATGAGCCACCAGCCAAGTCTGCCACATGGTACCCACTGCCTGTCTCTAAATGTCCCATGACTGACGGGCTCTGGGAGGCCCAGTGCTGGCGATGGGGGAGACACTGGAACCCCATTCCGCTCTGTCCCTTCTCAGCCTCCATGGGACGTGGGGTCCTGCCCATCCCTCTGTGGCATCCTGTGGTGTTCCCCATCCCTCCCCTGGTGTCCCTGCAGGCCTCGGCACACATCATGGCTGGGGTTCTGTTTCCCTCTTTACGTTGCTGGTAAGAGAGAACCCTGGGTTTCTGAGGACGGTCAAACCCATGACACCTGGCACTGGACAGATGCAATCAGTTTCTCAGCCACATAGACGGGCAGCCGGGAGGCCACACGAGGCTCTGCTGGGGAGCAGAGTGCACATGGCTGTGGGAGGTAGGCTTGGTAGTGACATAGTGAAGGCGGAGGGGCGGGAGGCTGGTTCCTGCAGGAGATGGTGAATGGCTTCAGTGAGTGGTTCCGGGAGTGGACAGGAAGGTAGAACCAAGCTGTGGGCCTGGTGGGATGTAACCCGTGCAGCCGAGGGGCAGGAGCCTTTCCCACTTGGTCGCAGGGAGGGGATGGTAGGGTCATGTCTGGGGAGAGCAGGGTACTCAAAGTTTAGAGTTAGGGGACCTGGAGGCTCCAAGATGTCAAGGCAGTGCTGGACGTTGTGTGCCCTCCGATGCAGCGTGCACCCAGTGGTCTACACAAGGCTCATCCCTGTGCAAAGCCAGCTCCCTCCAGGATTGGGCAGCCTGGCTGAGAGACGGCTGGCCTGGGGCTCCTGCACTCAGAACCACTGTGTTCTCTTCAGAGCTACATTCCCTGTTCCACCCTTTGGGCACACTCAGGCTTTCCTTGCTGTCTGTCTTTGTGCTCAGGTTTCCGACCAATGCGGATGGTTTAAATGGCAGCTTTCACTCCACTCCAGCATCCCTAGTCCCCAACCTGCTTTTTATTTCCACAGTAGCATCACCTTCAACATGACATGTTTTTATTGATGTCTGTTTACTGTTTCTCTCCCTTCACCACACATAAGCTCCTTGAGGGAAAGACTTTTTGCCTCCTTTACCTGTGTCCTGATCCCCCTACCTGGAACCGTGCCTGGAACATGGAAGGTGCTCATTAATACCCCACGAATGAATAAGCAGATCCAGCAACCATCAAAAAGACCAGCCAAAGTCCACTTCCCCATCACTCTATCTGAAACAAGAGGCTTCTGACCGTCCTAGCTGCCAGGCTAACAACAAGTAACCTACTCACCCCTTCTTGCCACCCAACACCAGCCTCAGCCCCTTCCACTCTGCAGAGGGCTCAAGTTTAGTGCTGGTCGGGCCTAGGTGTGCATCCTCGGCCAGCCCTCCCCAGTCACTACTGGTCACCATAGCCTTGTGGCTGCTCCACTCCTGCCTCCCTGTGGGCCAGGCCTCCCGCCGCCTTTCCAAGGCACCCAGTCCTCCCTTCCGACCCTAGAACCTGGGCTCAGAACTGAGCTCACAGCAGGAGCCCTGCTCAGACTTAGGACAGCCGGGGCCTCACCTCCACTCTGCCACTAACAAGCTGTGTGGAAAGTCACATTTTCTCCATTTCTTTCTCAGGAAAATGGGATGCCAACACCTGCCGTGACTCACAGGGTGGTGCCTGGAGCAAGTGGAATAACGACCATCTGTCCAAGAGGGTCTCTAGCTTGTCACGGTCATCACCCCCGTTGCTCCTCTCCCTAGAGTCATGGACAGGTCACACGAGAGTTTAATCAATGCAAATGCCTGGAAAGGGGGCCTCTTGATGCCACCCTTTCCAGGGAGTTCTGAATTTGATCCAAGCTCAAACCTCTTGGGAGGAAGCAGCAATTTTGCAGGGGTGGCCTGGGGGCCGCTGAGCACTGAGAGGGAAACAGCGACAGCCACCTTGATGGAGCCCACAGCTCTGTGAGGTTGGCCATGTGCACCCCACTCTGCAGACAAGGAAACACAGGCTCAGGAGCTGAAATAACAGCCCCTGAAATCATGGTGTTGCTGGAATTTAAATCCAAGTGTCCATGTGCTGTTTTGTCCCAGAACCCTGGAAAGGACAGCAGGTGCCTCGGTAACCCATGAGTGGAGGCCCTGTTCGGAGCCATCACCCTCCTTGTGGTCACTGACGACACAGGTGGAGGTACCTCGGTAACCCGTGAGTGGAGGCCCTGTTCGGAGCCATCACCCTCCTTGTGGTCACTGACGACACAGGTGGAGGTACCTCGGTAACCCGTGAGTGGAGGCCCTGTTCGGAGCCATCACCCTCCTTGTGGTCACTGACGACACAGGTGGAGGTACCTCGGTAACCCGTGAGTGGAGGCCCTGTTCGGAGCCATCACCTTCCTGGTGGTCACGGAGGACATGGGTGGGAAGTGCTTGCTTTGCCGACATGGAGGCAGAGCATTTGATTACTTCTTTGTAGGGGAATGGAGCCCTTGTTATCACCCGGTGCAGTCCCACTGTCCCTCGGAGGGACCTGTGCTATGGTCTGCGGCCACCATGCTTCTGGTCCGTGTGTTTGGGGAATCTGCCACATTCTCCCCAACCTTGTGACATTCTACCAGCTTCAGCACTGTGGCATTGCACCAGCCTCAACACTGTCCTCAGCACTGCCCTCAGCACTATCCTCAGCACTGTGGCATTGCACAGGGGTGACATTTTACTCACCCTCCTGCCACTGACTTAGGGACTTCCGCAAACAGCAGTAGGAGCCCCCGCAGCCAGCAAAGGTCAAGCGCTGACATCTTCCAGGGCTCCCAGAAACTCTGCCGTGAGCTGCTAGGGCACTGTCATCCGGGGACAGGAGTGGGATTAGGCCCAGCCACCAACCCTCCCCAAGTCCCCACACCCTCACCCTCTCCCTTCTTGACACGTCAGTGAGAAAGCTGGGCCGGGGCCTGGCGGGGTCACACAGCCAGCCTGGCCAGAGGCCCAAGCTGCTGCCGTTAGCTGTGGGCTGGGGCCATTCACTGCTTTATGTGCTATCTCATCACAACACAGGCGTTTTCAATAGCGGTTTAAAGGCCCACTTGTTACCATACATTGTATTTCAGACTCCTACAGGTTTTGAACGAGACAGATAGCAAAGCCGGGTATTGAGAAAAGCTGGCGCTTGGGGTTTTCATTGTCCTGGATAAAAGTAGGCTTTCGTGCCCAGACCTTCCAAACAGTCCCCAGCCTGAAGGTCACAAAGCAATGTGACCAAGCCAAGGCAAGCATGGGGTGAGCAGTAAGTCTCTGGAAAATCAAAATCCTTTTGTTGTCCAGCTGGAAGGTCAAAAATTGCCATTTGAGATTGCCTAGACAAGCAGGGAGTCCGCCCCCATGAAGGTGACTGCATCTGGGACAGAAGTCAGCATCGCCACCATTGGCCAATAATGTCACATTGAGCAAAGGCCCCATGATCCACTTGCAAACAAATGCCATTGTCATCTAGAAATTGCCCAAAATAAAGAGGTGCTTGTTCGAAAGGCCACCAACTCAGCTGGGCCTGGAAGGAGAGGTGGCCCCGGGGCAGCACCAGGCACCCAACTGCAGGACAGCTGCCCACCCCACCCAGACTCAGGGGTAGCTAAGATGCTGTCAGCGCCTGTGCATAGCAGTCATGTTCTGTAAAGTCTCCATGAACACAGAATTAGCGGGCACTGAATGGTGGTTCCTAGGGGAAACTCAGGGTTAGGTTCCTGTGAGCTTCTGGTCACTTCAGTTTCATCTATCAATAAATACATGACCTTGTCTGATGCGGGTTTCTGTTTAAAGACACTGTATTTAATGTATATTGTCAGCTTATCAACACTGAACTCAAGGCCAGCAGCGCCGTCACTCAGCCTGAACAAAGCTTCTCTGACACGCATATTTTCTCCGTAAGGTGCATCACAGTCTTCCTGTGCTCAGGAACACAGATGCCACCACTGCACTGTGCTTGGGGCCATTTCAAACATCGAAATGACCAATAAAGAACAAAATTGCAAAACGTCTGAAACTAAATGGAGCACATGGAGGGGAGGCCACGCTGCTGCCCTAGCTGGGGCAAGAAGGCAGTGCACCCAGTTCCACCTCCCCAGGAGCCTGTGCGATGGGGGCTCGCACTTTCCACCATTCAGAATGTGTCCAAAAATGACCACCAATGTTCTGCAAGTACTGATTTTGAGGGTGCAAACATACTTTCACAAGCAGACAAACTCACAATACAGAATCTGTGAGCAATGAGGATCATGGTCTAAAGGCCATTTCTCAGCAGAAGTCTCCCAGGTCTCCTCAGGAGACATCACCTCAAGTCACCACTGCCCAACAATCACCAAGGGCTTAAACACAGCCTCTCCCATCTAGCACCATCTCGAGAGGGTCCTCTCCACCCGAGCCACACCCCGAGCCCACTGCCAAGCCTGGCTCCCTGCTGAGACCCCCAGTGCTGGGGTCCCTGAGGTTGGACCAGGAAGACCAGGTCTCTGTAGAAGACAGCCAGCTCCCTCAGCCTCAGAAACAGCTGGGCCACTCTTGAGAAACTCTATTTTTTTATTATAAACATTTTCAGCTAGTGCTTGATAGTATTTCCCTCTTACAGGGAAGCATGAAAACCTCAGAGCGAAATTGGTGGTCCACCCCTTGTGAGCTGGCAGGACCCCGTTGTATGGTTTATGAGAAAATCTCCCATCAGGTTTCGTCCCTTTGTCTCCATTCTTGCTTTCCTTTTATCTCTTCTTCTCTTGATTATTATAGTAATTTTAGCCTCAAGTCTTTTCTGAAAAAACATGGGAAGAGAGAGTATACAAATGACCACAGCATGAGAATTCTTTGCTAGGCCTCCGGTGGGAAGCCTGGGGTTAAGACTTCTGCAGGGAGGGCTGGGGCTGAATTTCCAGAGGCTGGACACCAGGGAAAAGGCTGGAACACAGGGCTCCACCTTCTAACTCATCTTCATCATTTGTTGACATCTTTGCGAGCAATAGCAGAAATGAGACAGAGACAAGATCCCTGGAGTTGAGGAGCGAGAGTCAGAAGTGGGGTTGGGTACCAGAAAGGAGAAGTGGAGCATAGATTGGGAAGGTGGAAATAGGCCAGAAGCAAGTTTTACCAGCATCACATTGTTCCTAGGACAGACCACAGTGCACAAGCATCTCAGCAGCACCTTGTGGACCATGGCATTCAAAATCATGTCACAGGCTCACTAAGAAAGGAACCAGGAGTTCTAAAACCCCAGACCTTGGGCACCATGTCTAAAATCATCACAATTGGGCAAAAGCTTTGCCAAGGATCCCTTGAGAGTGATTCTGTCTACCAACCTCAAATATGATTAAAGTTCTTGCCGTTCTAGGCTGGGCATGGTGGCTCATGCCGGTAATCCCAGCACTTTGGGAGGCCAAAGCAGGCCAATCACCTGAGTTTGAGACCAACCTGGCCAACATGGTGAAACCCTGTCTCTACTAAAAATACAAAAATTAGCAGGGCTGTAGTGGCACGCATCTGTAATCCCAGCTACTTAGGAGGCTGAGGAGAGAGAATCACTTGAACCTGGGAGGTGGAGGTTGCCGTAAGCCAAGATCACACCACTGCACTACAGCATGGGTAACAGAGGGAGATGCTGTCTCAAAAAAATAAATAAATAAAATAAATAAAAAATAAGAAAAACCTTGCCATTCTGGACAAAAATGTGATGGCCATTCCAGCAAAAGTTTGATTTAGTTCAACATTTCTTGAGTGGCTACTATGTGCCTGGAATCATGATAGTCACTGGTGCTACACAGGAGGTAGTTTCTATGCTTGAATCTACCAGAAGGTAAAAACTTCACTAACACTTTTCAGAAGGAAAGCAGGTATCATATTTGACACCGAGAATTTTCTGGCATTTTGAAAAAATTTAGTTGCCCAGATTGAAATTCTCTTAAGAACCAAAATACTGAAATAATCGTCGGTGTGAAACTGTCAAGGGTTGGTAAGAGAAGAACAGGGCACGGTGACCCATAAACGAGTCATCTGAATCTCAGGATGTTTTAACCCACAGATCACAACCCAAAGGTTAAAAGCCACTTTGAACGCTCGATATCTGGCCTCATCTCTCCCCGCTAATCCCTCGCCAGGAAGGTTCACGAATTCGTCTCCTACTTCAAATGCTGACCTGTTTCTGCCTGGGAGATCAGGCTTCGCCCTCTGTGATTTTCCCCAGGAGGAGCTGAAAGCACAGCAAGGGCTCCTGGTTGCAGCACGGGATCCCTGAGGCTCCCTGCAGCTGGTCCCCTGGCCCCCTGTCCAGTGTCCACAAATCCCTGGCCCCACAGCACTGACTTTGCCCTGCGTGTTTTCTGAGGCTCAGCATGCCTGCCTGGCTCTGGGAAGCAGCCTTCTCCAGCCTCCAGCAGCCCGGCAGTCCTGAGCTCTGCTGCCCTCAGCTCTCCCCCTACCTGGGTCCCAGTCCATGGTGGGGCAGGTGACTATGTTTCATCCGCCTTACAGCTTTTCCTTCAGGAACGGCCTCTTCCCAGCCTCATGAGACTCTAAGGAGTCTCTCACCCAAGGGCCTTGCTTCCCCTCCTTCAGGGATGTATCGGTGTTGACCCAGTCTGGGGCAACACAAGTCCTTCTCTGCAGGGTTTCAAATGTGGAAGGCAGAGCCTCCCTGAGCCCCTGGAATTGTAAGCTTTGAGCACCGTGGAAGTCTGCAGCTGCTATGGCCATCTTTGCTGAAAGGTGGTGAAGCCACAGCTCAGAATGAAGCCGAATACTTCTGGGAGGCCTGGAGAAGGACAGTCTTCGGGTCTGCACCTCTGGATTCAGCAATACCAAAAACACCGGCCCCCAAACTTCCCACCTACTTGAACCAATAAACTTCCTCTTGTGTTTAAACTAATTTCAGTTGGGTTTCTACCACTTGGAAGTGAGACTCCTATTAATCCACACGGCCTTGGCATAGGGACAGCCATTCTGTTCATAGACAAAGTTAATTTATTCACTGAGTTGCGGAAACTAACAGACTGACACCCACAATACAGAGGACATGGACAGAGTAGCTGTTCAGGGGATATTAACTAAATGAACAAAGCCACCTTGGAAGCACCTGCCCCTGCCTGACCAGCTGTGGTGAAGGTTCCTTCCTCCCTGGAGTGAGGTCAGCAAACCTCATCTCTAAAGGGCCAAAGAGCTCAAAGCTGAGACTTTGAGGGCCACCCAATCCCATGTGAAACACACAAGAGAAAGTCGGGCAAATCTCCAAGAAGAAAAGCCCATTATGGAGCCAAATGCAAACTGTTCTCTTCATCGTAGTAGCTAACACTTTGCATCCGCTCTTTAGCGAGAGAAGTTTATGTTGTAAACATACAGGCAGACCTCAGAGATACTGCAGGTTGAACTGAACCTGCACTATCAGAGATAAACCTGCAATATCATCTCTGAGGTCTGCCTGTATATTTATAACTTAAACTTCTGCCCGCTCTACTGCACCACAATAAAGCAAACATCACAATAAAATGAGTCATACAAACTTTCTGGTTTCCCAGTGCATATAAAAAAGTTATGTTTTAACTGTATTGTAGTCCATTAAGTGGTCAACAGCATTGTGTCTAAAAAAACCAGTGTTCATACCTTAAGCATCTGAGCTTTCAGTGAGTCATCATCTTTTTGCTGGACAAGGGTCTTGCCTCAATGTTGATGGCTGCTGACTGCTGGTGGTGGTTGCTGAAGGTTGGGGTGCCTGTGGCAATTTCTTAAAATAAGACAATGATGTTTGCCACATCAGTGGACTCTTCCTTCCATGAAAGATTTCTCTGCAACACATGATGCTGTCTGATAGCATTTTACCCACAGTAGAACTTCTTTCAAAATTGGAGTCAATCCTCTCAAACCCTTCCACTGCTTTATCAACTAAGATTTTGTAATATTCTAAATCCTTGCTGATGTTTCAACAGTGTTCACAGCATCTTTGCCAGGAGTAGACCTGATCTCAAGAAACTACTTTCTTTGCCCATCCTTAAGAAGCCACTCCTCATCCGTTCAAGTGTTATTCTGAGATTGTAGCAACTCAGTCCCATCTTCAGGCTCCACCTCTAGTTCTATTTCTCTTGCTATTTCCACCACATCTGTAGTAACTTTTTCTGCTGAAGTCCTGAACCCTCAAAGTCATCCACGAGAGTTGGAATCCACATTGTCCAAACTCCTGTGAATGTTGAGATTTTTACCTCCTCTAGTAAATTTCAAATGTTCTTCATGACACCTAGGATGGTGAATACTTTCTAGAGGGTTTTCAGTTGAGTTTGCCTAGACCCATCAGAGGAATCACTGTCTATGGCAGCTATAACCTTACGAAATGTATTTCCAAAATATAAGACTTGAAAGTCAGAATTACTCCTTGATCCATGGGCTGCAGAATGGATGTGGTGTTAGCAGGCATGAAAACATGAACTTCCTTGTACATCAATGTCAGAGCTCTTGGATGACCAGGTGCATTGTCAATGAGCAGTCATATTTTGGAAGGAATCTTTTTCTCTGAATACTAGGTCTCAATCAAGAACTTAAAATATCCAGTAAACTAGGATGTAAACAGATGTGCTGTCATCCAGGCTTTGTGGGTCCATTTATAGGGCATAGGCAGAATAGATTTAGCATAATTTTTAAGGTCCCTAGGATTTTTGGAATGCTAAATAGCATTGGATACAACTTAAAGTCACTTAAATTGCATTAACCCCTCACAAGAGAGTCAGCCTGTCCTTTGAGGCTTTGAAGCCAGGCACTGACTTCTCCTCTCCAGCTTTGAAAGTCCTAAGTGGCATCTTCTTCCAACAGAAGTCTGTTTCATCTACACTGAAAACCTGTTGTTAAGTGTAGACATCTTCATCCCTGATCTCAGCTGGATCTTCTGGAGAACTGGCTTCTTCACCTGGCACTTTCATGTTATGGAGACGGCTTCTTTCCCTACGGCTCACGAAGCAACCTCTGCCAGCTTCAAGCTTTTCTTCTGCAGCTTCCTCACCTTTCTCAGCCTTCATAGAATTGAAGAGGGTTAGGGCCTTCTCTGTGGCTGTGGCTTCAGGGAATGTTGTGGCTGGTTTGATCTTCTATCCAGATCACTCAAACTTTTTTTCATATCAGCAATAAGTCCGTGTCACTTTTTTATCATTCAGAAAAGGTCCAGCTTTTGGACTAGCTTGGCTTTTGAACTGGCGGCCTCACTAAGCTTAATCATTTCTAGATTTTGATTAAAAATGAGAGATGTAGCTGGGCACAGTGGCTCATGCCTGTAATCCCAGCACTTTAGGATGCCGAAGCAGAAGGGTCTCTTGAGCCCAGGAGTTCAAGGCTGCAGTGAGCTACAATCGTGCCACTGCATTTTAGTCTCAGTGACAGAGCACGACCTCCATCTCTTAAAATTAAAAAGAAATGAAAGTGAGAGATGTGAGACTCTTCCTTTCACTTGAACACTTACAGGCAACTGTAGAGTTATTAACTGGCCTAATTTCAATATTGTTGTATCTCACGGACTAGCAAGGCCTAAGGAGATGGAGAGGGACAAGGAGTGGCCAGTTGGCGGAGAAGTCAGAACACACAGAACATTTATCGATTAAGTTTGCTGTCTTCACATGGGTGCAGTCATGGCAACCCAAAACAATTACAACAAGAACATCAAGAATCACTGACCACAGAGCACCGTAACAGATACTATAATGAAAACATTTGAAATATTGTGAGAATTACCAAAACGTGACGTGGAGACACAAAGTGAGCACATGCTGTTGCGGAAATGGTGCCATTAGCCTGGCTCGATGCAGGGTTGCCACAAACCCTCAGTTTATAGAAAACATAATATCTGCAGAGCCCATAAAGCAAAGTGCAATAAAGCCAGGTTTGCCTGTACTTTGTGTCTTTTGCAATCATATATGTTCACACTCAAATTAAGAAAGAGGAAAACATAGTTCTTTAAAAACAAAATGTCTTCCAATTGACATTTGGGAATCTCTAATGAAGTTCCTTTTCCACAGAGAATTAAATACTGAATTCCCTCATCAACAGGTAGGATCTCTTAGTGGGCAGTAATAGTTTTCTCAGCATACTGGTTTTTTAACTACCAAATAAAAAAGAAGACCTGGCAGATAACAATGGTAATAATGATGGTTACCAAGGCTCCTGAGCCCCTGCCATGATCCAGCCACTAGAGAACCATTTGCCAGCATCATCTTACATGGACAATATATGGTAAGCACTAGTTCCATTTTATTAGAAAACAAGACAAGGACCTCACTTTAATGACTACGTCTCTGCAATTTCTCATTAAGTAGCACTGCTGGGATTGTATCTGGCCCTGGGAGGGTGGCGTGGCCAGATGCAGTGGGGAGGAGGAGGCAGCGGGAGCTGGGCTGGGCGTGGATGGTGGATCCTGCAGGACACTGGGCTCAGGGTCACGAGGCCTTCAGACCCGGCTCAGCCACAAACCACCTATGTGGCTTCCAACAACTCTTCAAGCCTCAAAGTGATTAGATTTGTTCCTCTCTAAATTGGAGAGGTCAAGGGTTGCTAGACTGTGAGAATTTTACAGCCTCTGCCAATTCTGTGAATAAGTTGACAAATTGGAAAAATGTCTCTCAGTGGCAGCAGAGAGGGTTTCAGACAACTGACTGCTCCCTTTTAACACCCTGGTGACAGCTTGACCCTGGAGCAGAGATTCTCCTGCAGAAACAGAGAAGCCCCACAGCCACACAGTGCTGCCTCCCCTCTGGCACACAGAGTGTCTGCCCTGTCTGCAGCCTTCCCAGGCGATGGCCAGGGGACAGCCTGACAGCAACTCATGGCAATGTCACCTCCCCGCACCAGGGAAGAGCCGCTGCCTGCTGAGCACGCTGGCCAGGTTCCCCTCCTGTTCCCTCTCCTTGTCCAGCCTTATTCTCTGACGAACCTCCCCGCGCCTGGGTGGGGAAGGACCGTGAGTGTTGAGGGAGCCAGGCCAGCAGCTCCACACTTTCGTCTGCAGTCCCGAAGAGAAGCAGCTGTGGGGGCTCATTCAGGGGTTCATTCAGGGGCTCATGTTCCTGCAAAACGCCACGGGGGACTCAGGTGCTCTGGAGAAGCAGCTGCAGGGGCTCATATTCCTGCAAAACGCCACAGGGGACTCAGGTGCTCTGGAATCCAGCATGGATTTTCTCTCTCATTATTCATGCAGCCCTAGGCAGGTGGGGTGGGATAAGGGATCCCTGAGGTTCCTTCAAGCTCTCCTGGATGCTCACCTCCCTTGCCCTCTCCATCACCACTATATCCACCATCTCCAGCACCTCCATCACCCCCACCACCACAATAGCCACCACCTCCACCTCCAGCACCTTCACTACCTCCATCACCACAGCCACCTCTATCATCTCCATCAACTCCACCACAACAGCCACCACCTCCACCTCTACCACCTCCACCACCACTCTTACCACCTCCATCACCACCACCTCCACCACCACCTTCACCATCATCATCTCCACCTCCACTTCCACCACCATCTTCACCACTTCCACACCACAACCCCCTCTATCACCTCCATCACCTCCACCACCATAACAGTCACCACCTCCACCTCCACCACCTCCACCACCACCTTCACCATCATCATCTCCACCTCCACTTCCACCACCATCTTCACCACTTCCACACCACAACCCCCTCTATCACCTCCATCACCTCCACCACCATAACAGTCACCACCTCCACCTCCACCACCTTCACAACCACAACCACCTCTATCGCCTCCATCAACTCCACCACAACAGCCACCACCTGCACCACCTCCACCACCATCTTCACCACCACCACTTCCACCACCACAACCACCTCTATCACCTCATCACCCCCATCATCACAACAGCCACCACCACCTCCACCTCCACCACCTCCATCACCACCTTCACCACCAGCACAACCACCTCTATCACCTCCGTCACCTCCACCACCATAAGAGCCACCACCTCCATCTCCACCTCCACCACCACCACCT